>NC_000013.11:94737827-95040857 GCF_000001405.40 Homo sapiens | reverse complement strand
TCTTTGTAGGCAATCTTATGGGTGTATAATGTATATCTTTCTTTCTAAACCCAAATCTCTTTTTAGTAGCGTTTCCTCAGAGAAAACAAACTAGAAATCGTTCTAGCAGAACCAGCTGGAGAAACACAACTCAAAGCTAACCTGAGTTTTATTTAAATTCTATGTTTCATCTTCATGGAACTTCTCTTTAAGAAACCGACAACGGCCACAATTAGAACATTTCAGAAGAGGAAAAATTACTTCTTGAAAAATATGCTGAGACATTTAATTAAAGTGTTCAGGGGGACAAAGAACTAATGTGAAGGTAGAAAGCACAAACTGGGGCTGGGCGCGGTGGCTCATGCCTGTAATCCCAGCACTTTGGGAGGCCGAGAAGGGCAGATCACCTGAGAGGTCAGAAGTTTGAGACCAGCCTGGCCAACATGGTGAAACCCTGTCTCTACTAAAAATACAGAAAAATTAGCTGGGCGTGGTGCCGTGTGCCTGTAATCCCAGCTACTCGGGAGGCTGAGGCAGGAGACGCTTTTGAACCTGGGAGGCGGAGGTTGCAGTGAGCCGAGATCGCGCCACTGCACTCCAGCCTGGGCGACAGAGTGAGATCCATCTCAAAAAATAAAAAATGAACACACTGGGAGAATAAATACACACAATTGCAGAGCTTTGGGGAAGTGGCTGAGTGGGTCACTGGGACCTACCCTTCATCTTCCCCAGGTGAGAAGAATCATTTACTGTTTCAAGACCTGAGGCAGGATTTTAAGTAATCTTTGCCACATGCCATAGTATCTTGTCCCAGAGAAGAGTCACAGGCACCCATTTTACCAGTGAGGGAACCAATCTCCAACGTCAGATGACTCTCCGTACACCCCTTTCATCATGGTGGCCCAGAAACGACTTCTGAAATGGAAACCCTCCCACCCTCACTCTGCCTGTTGCTAAGTGGGGTTTCTCTGTATTGCTTGCTGCCATAGTGAAAGCTGTTCCGAGCTTTTCTTTTCCTATGGTCAGGCTTTATCCTTCACCCTGCCCTGCCCTTCCCCTGTTCCTGAGATCACCCCACTATCAGCGATGGCATCCTGCCAATTAAATGGATTAAATTGTTTTGCAGTTTGTTCACTTAATTTTTATATCTAGGACAGCTACCTGGAATATCTGCAGATATTTAGGCCTGATAAACACATCTTCATTGAGCTTATGTAACTGAGTAACTGACTAATGCATTCCAGTATAATGTGTTTTTCCTTGACCTTCTAGAGAGCAGCAAGTGATTTGAGGTTTGCATTGCTGGAGAGATCCTGGGGCCACGGGACCAACATCAATGCATGGCTTAGTTTACAGTTTTACTTGGGTAGAGGAAAGGTGAGGACCAAGCAGGAGATTTCAGGACTGTTTTCATGTAGCTACAGAAGATATGAAGATACAAATTCAAGATTATGCCCTTTTTTCTGTACAAAAAGAAAATTCAGAGTCACTTTATTTTGTTGTAAAAGATCTAGAATCTTTGGTCAAATCAGTAAATACAGATTGAGTCCCCTAATCTGAAATCTGAAATGCTCCTAAATCTGAAACTTTTTGAGCTCTGATGTGAAGCTTGTAGGAGACACTCATTGGGGCATTTCAGATTTTGGATTTTCGGATTAAGTATGCTGAATCTGTAAGTATGTATAATGCAAACATTGCAAAATTCAAAAGTATCTGAAATCTGAAACACTTCTGGTCCCAGGCATTTCCTAAGTATACTCAACATGCATAAAGGCTAAGTGGGTAAAGTTCTATTCTTAGCATTTTTTCATGTGCATCCTAACTTGGCCCTTGTAGCATCAGATTGTTCCTTATTTTCTCTTTTCCAATATTTAATTTGTGAGTCAAGCCTCTGCCCTCATTCCTGCTGTGTCTCCTTTTTGCTTTTTCTCTCTCTTGTCTATAGCCATCAACTTGAGGCATGTGGTCCTCCAAGGCTATAGCCTGAATCCTAGCATCCCTATACCTCCTTCCATATCTGTTTTCCAGGGCCAGCTAGACTCTTTCTCTGCTGGATCTCACTCTGTGGTCTTACCAGACTGCACCACTGGTCAGTCACCCAATTGTGCCCTGAATTTCCCTTCCTTTGTATTTAACTTTTAGGCAGTGTGCATGGGGTGCCTGCTCACACGTCATGTGCAATGCCAGGCCATGGAGATGCAACAGTGAACAAGAGCAAGCACATAACCCTGCCCTTGAGGAAGTGATAGGTGAGCTGTCAGACCTCTCGGCATCTGGAATGACCACGGTCCTCCCACCCCTCACCTCCACCACCATTTCTACGTGTCTAAGTCTGTCCATTCCTCAAGGCCCAGTTTGCTATTTTCTCCTCCCTGAAGCTCCTCCTCAGAAATTTTGGCCAGAGGTGACTTCTGCTGCTGCTAAACTCCCGCTTGTTTTGCCTTTTTTCTGGCATTCTAGTCACTTGAGTGTTTTCTTCTGTCTTTTTTTTTTTTTTTTTTTTTGAGTATGGGCTTCCTAAAAGCAGGGGCTGGGACTTACCCATCTTTGCCTCTTCCACAGCATCTAGCATAATGACATGAATGCAGTAAGTGTGCAATAAATGTGTGCTGAATAAATTCAGGAATTCATGAAGGTTCACTTCCATTTTCCTCCAATGTGTTTTGGCAGAGTGTCACTTGCTCATTATTAATCCTGAAACTTTAATGAAGTTTGTTTTCTTGGGCCATATGTGGGGGCTCATGCCTGTAATCCCAGCACTTTGGGAAGCCAAGGTGGGAGGATCGCTTTGAGCTCAGGAGTTTAAAACCAGCATGGGCAACATAGCGAAACCCCATCTCTACAAAGAAACAAAAATTAGCCAGGCTTTGGCGGCGTGCACCTGTAGTCCCAGCTACTTGGGAGGCTGAGGCTTGAGTCCAGGAGGTGGAGGTTGCAGTGAACCGAGACCACACCACTGCACTCCAGTCTGGGTAACAGAGTGAGACTCTATTTCAACAACAACAACAAAAAATTTGTCTTCTTTTTCTGTGAGTATATGCCAGGCACACAGTAAATAATTTTGAGTCCTGGGTGTAATAGGACTCAAATTGTAGTGGAAAGTGAATAGGTGAACTTTTTTATGCTTACAGGCATATTTTTCTTAAAATATGCAGTTATTATCCAAATGAAAAGGTGTCTTAGAAAATTAGCTGTTTACAGTTCTCATTGCCCATATTTTACTTCTGAAAACAAAGAAACTGAAAGTAAATAATAATGTACCTCTGGGAACTCACATGAAGAGGAAAGAAGACAGGTTTACACCCGGGTTCAAATCCCAGCTCTGCCATCTTCCGATTTGTGCAGCCTAGGCTAAGTTGTTTAACTTATTTGCACTTCCATCTTTATCTCTGGCTGTCAGCATCTTGATAGACTGTTTCTTGCTCATCTTTGAATCTCCCATTCCTAAAATGATACTTTGGAAATAGACATTCACTCAATATTGGATGAATGGATGGAAGGAAGGAAATTACCTTATCCATTCTATTTTGGGAGTTTTCTGGGATGACTGTAAAAGCAGAGCATGTTCAACCCATTTTATTTTCCTTTTCAAGTTCACAAACTGATATTTTAGTTATGGGGTGCTTTCATTGATTTTTATGGTAGCCATACTCTTTGTTAGGTCATATTTATATGCCAAGGATGCCTTGTCTCAAATCTTGCAGATTCATCTGCAGCTATAATAATCCAGTTCATTATAAGATACTATATTTGGGGGGTTATTTGGGATTTTGGGGTTTTTTTTTTTTTTTTTTGGACACAGAGTCTCACTCTGTTGCCCAGGCTGGAGTGCAGTGGCATGATCTTGGCTCACTGCATCCTCCACCTCCTGGGTTCAAGTGATTCTCGTGCCTTAGCCTCCTGGGTAGCTGGGACTACAGTTGCACACCACCATGCCCAGCTAATTTTTGTATTTTTAGTAAAGGTGGGGTTTTGTCATGTTGGCCAGGCTGGTTTCAAACTCCTGGCCTCAAGTGATCCACCTGCCTTGGCCTCCCAAAGTGCTAGGATTATAGGCGTGAGCCACTGAACCTGGCCTATATTTTGTTTTAATGCATATCAAAAAAATATTAAAGAGGTCGGTTTTATTTTATATTTTTTAAGTGTGAAACCTTATAGAAGTTAAAATTTTAAGTTCTAGTAAATTATTAAGGTCATGGTTCTATCACCCCTAAACTCAAAAACTCTCCTAACAAATAAAATGCAGTTGCTAAGTTGTTGATATTTATAAGGCTTAAAGTATTTTGACCAAATGATCTTTCTGTCATTTTTATTATTAATCTAATAATAATAATGCTTTTTGAGAACATTATTTTTTTTTTTCTGGCTCTGCCTTTTTAGATTCTGGTCAATTTTGAGAACTCCTGGTCTCAGTGGCATTCATGTGTTTTCAGACAATGAGAGGGAATCTGGAAAGATTTACTAGTCACTCAAATGTGAATAAATTTAGTAGGAATTTGGACAAGGACCAAATAGTAGTAGGACTTCCTTTCCATTAAACATTATGTAAAGTCTTTACAGAGAACTCACTCACTCTCAACTCTGTGGGAATAATTTTTAAAAGTTTACTTGTTGCTTTTGCAGACTAAAACTTCATCATTTTAGCAAGTAATTTGGTTCACTTATTTACTTAGTCTTTAGCATTAGAGAGACCTGTATTTTTAAATTGCAGATTTTTTCCTTCCTCGTCAGGAGGAGTGGTTATGTTCTGTAATGCTATGCTTAAGTAAAATTACACATTTGGGGTATCTAAATTGGCATGCCAAATTATAGGACATTTTAATTGTTATGTGGATGTGACAGATTCAATTATTCTTGAACTCTTTTGAGAAAGCTGCCCTTAGCAGTGATTCACAGTAGTAAACAAAAGATTAACAGGAAAATGCCCTTTATGAGGCTTAATAAATGTGTCCGATTAAATACCATGGGACGGAATTAACTGCAATATCTACATGTAGAAAAACAACCTGTGTCCTGCTTGGAGGTTCAGCATATTCTCTTAAGATAAATTTACTCTAAATATGGCCTAACTGAAGAACTAAGTGCCACTTAACCTCAGAACTGTTTTCCTAGGTACGTCATTTGGGCCAATTGTTCAGACTCTTTCTTCCCTCTGAAACCATTAACCAAAGCCACTAATAAGTAGAAATGCAGAGTTAAGAGCCCCTTCCTCCCTCTTTCAATTTCCAGTGGACATATTAATGAGCAATAAAGCAGCTAAAAGGCAAGCAGCTCAAGAAAGAGAAAGAAGCAAAGAAAGGTGATTGGGAAAACAGATATTCAGCCCTCAGCAATGCAGACTGGGCTGCCCCGTGTGCCATGTGGGCTGTGATCACAGGAATTTGGAGCTCAATTTCTTAATTGGTTCTTTAGTCTTATCCAAAGAGAAAATTGGATTTCTAGAGATTTCTTCTGTGCAGAGAGCAATTATGCTAAAGCTGCTTAGGTAACAGCTTTTTCGGCTAGCCTTTCTCTCTCGGAATAATAAAGTACACCCAGAGCCGATTTCAGAATGCACCTTAACCTCACCATCCAGAGTTTAGCCCCTCTTGGCAGCTGACATGTTCTAGAACCTTAAAGAAATTCCAGAAGCATTTACTTCTTTTCCATTGCTTAGAGTCTATGAAACTGGCTCGGCAATTAATTTACTGTCAGGTCTCTCCCATCTGATTTTTATGACATTACCCTACCTTTTAGATAAATTTAATTTGACTTTCTTAAATCAAGAAGTTTCCCAACTCTGATCATATGTATAAATACCCCTCAAGGCTGAGAGTCTGAGAGTTAAAAGCACTAAGTAATGATAAGAACCCAAAATGCCTTTGGCAGAATATAAAATGCCACAGGACTGCTGAGTGCCCAGAATAATAGTCTAGAACTTTCATTTTCTTCCTTTCCTATAACATTATAGTAATAAAAGGTCAGGTTAGGCCTTTGTTTGCTTCGTAAAACAGGGTAATCAAACCATTTAAATACTATCCAGGCCTACCACCCAAACAGATTCTCTCCCTCTCCTGCCCCTTTCCGAAATATTGTCTCTGTTATAATATGTTACTGCAAAACATTGTGTTTCAATGGGTTTCTTTCTGCTGATTAACAGGTTTTAGATTCAGGAAGACTGAAAGAATATGATGAGCCGTATGTTTTGCTGCAAAATAAAGAGAGCCTATTTTACAAGATGGTGCAACAACTGGGCAAGGCAGAAGCCGCTGCCCTCACTGAAACAGCAAAACAGGTGAGCGTGCTCCAAGGAGTTGTAATTAAAGTTTGTCTCAGCGGCTCCCTCCGCACAATTTGGCACCATGGGTATGGTAACAAGCACTGTGTACCCTTTTCAATTATAAGCCTGCAGAGACAAAGCTTCATGAGTGGGTCTTAACGGCACGTCCCGGGTTGAAGTAAGGTCTGCAAAGAGTTGGCAGAAGCGGGTAGGGGTTGGGGGGTCGAGTGTGTGCACACATGTGTGCATGCCGTGTGCCCAAGAAGCGGAGAGGTGTTAGACCAGACTTTTTACACATTTAGACTCTGTGGGTTCAGATTCTCATAGAAAAAGGCATAGAGCACATAGTACTCATATTCTGCAAACCCATTGCATTTCATTCTTATTGATAGGCAAATGCTGTTGAGGTACATACAGGAGATTTAAGAGTTTGGGCAAAAAGTGTGGGATATTGTTTATTGTTCTAGAATGATCTACCTAGAAAATGTTCTACCTAGATCTACCTAGATTGCTTTTGGTTTCTGTTTTATTATTTGTAAAGAAAACTGTTACATAATACTCTCACTGTTGACCTGGGTTTTCCCCTCATTCTTTGTTGTTTAGAATTAGGCCCATATAGCCCATATGCTTCCTCCACCTTCTATAAGAGGCAGTTGTCAGGCTGGGCGTGGTGGTTCATGCCTGTAATCCCAGCACTTTGGGAGGCCAAGCAGGCAGATCACCTGAGGTTGGGAGTCTGAGACCAGCCTGACCAACACGGAGAAACCCCGTCTCTACTAAAAATACAAAAATTAGCTGGGAGTGGTAGCACATGCCTGTAACCCCAGCTACTCAGGAGGCTAGGCAGAAGAATCACTTGAACCGAGGAGGCGGAGGTTGCGGTGGGCCAAGATCACGCCACTGCACTCCAGCCTGGGCAGTAAGAGCGAAACTCCGTCTCAAAAAAAAAAAAAAAAAGATGTAATTGCCATCAGGACAAATCAAGAATTTATAATATGTTATAGCTATAGCCTGAATAATCCTTGAAGTATGTTTATAAGGCATTAAAGACACGCAGGCTACGTGATCTCTTTCCAACAATGGTGATGTGGAAGTATCTCATTCTACAGATGTGATAACTGCAGTTTGATTTAAGGGACTTAGCCAGATGTCACATGGTCACCTGTAATTCTTCCTTAAAATTCTGTGAGGTGAGAGTTGTATTGATGGAGGGAGGGAAGGAACATCCAATGTTCTTGGCTTAGGGTGGAAGGAGACTTCTAGCAGTACATGGTGAGGCTCCCATCAAAACTGTTCATCCATAGGCAGTATAATATGGGTATAATTTTCCTTCATTGTTTTCTGTATTTTTCAGGTTTTCATCACTGTAGGTAGAATAAAATTGCTTGTTTGTGTGTAATATTTTAAATATCTATTACAGACAACAGAATAAGAAAATAGGGGCCAACATGGTGAAACCCCATTTCTACTAAAAATATAAAAATCAGCTGGGTGAAGTGGCGATTGCCTGTAATCCCAGCTACTCGGGAGACTGAGGCAGGAAAATCACTTGAACCTGGGAGGTGGAGGTTGCAGTGAGCCAAGATCATGACACTGCACTCCAGCCTGGGCGACAGAGCGAGACACCATCTCAAAAAAAAAAAAAAAAAAAAAAGACCAGGCGTGATGGCTCACACCTGTAACCCCAGCACTTTGTTTGGGAGGCCGAGGCGGGTGGATCACAAGGTCAAGAGATAAAGACCATCCTGGCCAACATGGTGAAATCCATCTCTACTAAAAATACAAAAATTAGCTGGGCGTGGTGGCACACATCTGTAGTCCCAGCTACTCAGGGAGACTGAGGCAGGAGAATAGCTTGAACCTGGGAGGCGGAGGTTGCAGTGAGCTGAGATGGCGCCACTGCACTCCAGCCTGGCAACAGAGCGAAACTGCGTCTCAAAAAAAAAAAAGAAAAAAGAAAAAGAAAATATGTTCCCATATCTAATGGTATTTCTGTATTAAAGATTTATCCAAATAAAACCTAGGTTGCCTTCAGCTCCTATTTCATCTCATTCTCCACAGAAGTGAGGAACTATCCTTGCCACTGTCTGTAGGATATTTCTTTGAATCCTGCATTTATCCTCAAAACGATTCTATAAATGCCTTTGTGTGCACAGTATTACGCTGGGCACTAACAAATACATTAAACATGCCCCTAGTCATTGACAATATAAGCCAAAGAATAGAGCAGAGCAGAGATTTGATTGATGTGGTGAGCCCTGATGGCAATGATGATGATGATGATATGTGTCAGATGTGCACTGTGCACTTCTCATTATGCCTGTTTAAGAGGCTGAGGCATAGAGAGGGAAGGAAATTGCCCATGATCTCATAGCTAGCAGAATTATAGGCAGAGTCCGGATTCAAGCCTGGCTTTAGGATCGACAAAAATCTGTGTTCTGAATTTTCATAAGAATCACATTGTGTATGAATAAAGAGGGAAGCTGTACTTGAAGCACTGTATTTCTTTTATACTTGAAATTTACAGAATACTTTTATCTTCTAGCGTGTCTCCCAGCCAAAGCTTCCCTCATAAAACCCGATCAATCATTTGGGATTCCCTGTATAATCTAGTCACAAAAGAGCCAGGAACCTCAAAAACCCTTTTTGTTCTTTGGTACCTCAGGCATTTCACATCAAAGAGATGTGTCCCTATCTATATATCAAAATACCTATTTAAAAAATATGTTATATATTATCAAGGCATGGAGTAATAAGAAATAGGTCATAGAATTTTAGCATGTTCCAACTAACATAAGATAATATAGTTCACCTTTGTTTTACAGATGAGGAAACTAAGGCCCCAAGAAGTAAGTGGGCCCTGACTAATTTATAGCAGAGACAGAATTAGGAATCTTTTTTTAAATCAATGTTTAATGCAAGTATAACATACATATAGAAAGGGACATTGGTCATAGAATTGAAATCTCAATTACTGGTCCAGTAATCTTCCATCTAATTCAACAATATTAATCGTAACTTACGTTCGTATAGTTCTTTATAATTTATTTTACATTGTTTACATAGTTCTTACATGTATGATTCTACTTAATCCTCACAGCAGTCTGTAAGTCTTACTGTATTGATGAGGATGTTGGGTCATGTGTCTTCATGTGGACACAGAGCTGGTCCGTGGAGAACAGAAGGTAGATTGCTGGGGGAGGCCGATGTCTTCCCCTAAGTAGCGTTCTGTGTCAAGCCTGAAAACGCTGCTCCTTGTCTCATTTGGTATCCAAGATGCAGCTAGTCGCCCAAATTCACACAGTGGCAGAATTTCCTTCCTGGATTTTAGTCCTGCCTAACCACTGGCTCAGGTCACCTCCTCTACAGAAAGACATAAGGAAATACACAGCTTGATTCTCATCCAAGTTGAATATTTTCTTGACATTTCTGCATACACTTGGTCCTCTTAGGAGAACAAGCTGTCAGATTGTCAACCTTTTAAATGTGCAAGCATCAAATATCAATGCATCATTCACAACTGTAACACCATGAGGATTAGTCTAAATCAACAAGCTTTTCGCTCTCACAGATTAGAATTCATTTGTTGGAAGGAAAACTCAACATCTGGGAAAAGGTACTTCCAAGTCACGTATTCTTGACCACGGAGTTGCTTTCCTGAAAATGCTGGTGCAGGCAAAGCTGAGTCTCTCTTTTGACTGACCTTTGCAGATGACTCAGTATTTTAATATTTTAAAGTAAATTTAAATTGCATAATTACATTTCAGGTACATAAAGCTGAAGGGTGCACTGGTTTGCTCAGGCTGCCATAGCAAAGTAGCACAGACTAGCTGGCTTAACCCACAGCAGATTATGTTCTCACACTTCCGTGCTGGAGTCTGAGATCAGGGTGTCAGCAGAGCTGCTTTCTTCTGAGGCCTCTCTCCTTGGCTTGCAGATGGCTATATGTTCACGGGGTCTGTTCACGGGGTCTTTTCTCTGTGTATGTCTGTGTCCTGATCACCTCTTTCTCTAAGGACACCAGTCATATTGGATCAGGGCCCACCCTAAAGGCCTCATTTTAACTTAATTACACCTTTAAAGACTTTCTCCAAATACAGTCACATTCTGATGTACTTGGGGGTTAGGACTTCAACATAGGAATTTAGGGGGATGCAAATCAGCCCATAACACAGGGTAAATTCAATCATTGTCTTCCCTGATGAAGCCGACCTAATTTGAGGTTCCCAGTGAGTAACAGAGGTGCCATTTTATGCACTCATGAAATTGCCAGATACAACTCAAAAGTTATGAAATCCTGGCCAGGTGTGGTGGTTCACACCTGTAATCCCAGCACTTTAGGAAGTTGAGGCGGGTATATCACTTGAAGTCAGGAGTTCGAGACCAGCCTGGCCAACATGGTGAAACCCTGTCTCTACTAAAAATAAAAAAATTAGCCAGGCATGGTGGCGCATGCTTGTAATCTCAGCTACTCGGGAGGCTGAGGCTGGAGAATCACTTGAACCCAGGAGATGGAGGTTGCAGTGAGCCTACGTCACACGACTGCACTCTAGCCTGGGCGGCAGAGCAAGACTCCGTCTCAAAAAAATATGGATGGATGGATGGATGGATGGATGGATGGATGGATGGATAGATAGACAAGAAGTCCTGACATCCTGGATCCTAGGAGCCTGGGGCCTGTTTGAATAGGTGGAGGAGACACTTAGCAGCCAATGGCCTTACAGAAGTCACCCAAGGCCTGTGAGCCTCAGAGGCCTCACCTGTCATGCCAGGATTGCAGTACTGCTCCGGTTTCTTCACTGTTAACATGTATTAAATGAGATAGTGTATGTTTAAGTGAGTCAAAGAATATAAGGTGTTTTACAAATATAAGCGAATTCTAGCTATTGGTTATAAAAGCTCAGTACTTTTTTAAGACTGTAGACTGAACTCTTAGCTCCCAATAATAGCAAAAGAAGTATCCAAAGTTTTGTAGCTTTATAGACTAAATAATTACAAATTATTTTTAAGAATCAGCTTACCAAATGATATATGCTCATGTTACAAAATTCAAAGCATTGATAGTTTTGCAAAAAACTTTAATAAGTAAAAAGTAAGTCACTCTGCCACACCTGCCCTTCATCACGCAGTTCCTCTGCCAGGTTTCAGCCCTGGCACCTTCTTCTCCACTTTGTTGATGTATTCTGTGCATAAACAAGCATCTGTGCATATATAGCTTTTCTGGTTTTTGAGCACAAATAATAGCTATTCTTTACGGTTTTTCACTTAATATTATATTCCATATTATATCAATACATATAGTTACCTCATTTTATTTTATATGTGTATTTTTTATTAGCGTTCTCTCTCTCTCTCTCTCTCTCTTTCTCTCTCTCTCTCTCTCTCTCTCTCTCTCTCTCTCTCTCTATATATATATATATATATATATATATATATATATATATATATATATGTATTTTTTTTAAAGCAGTTTCACTCCTGTTGCCCAGGCTGGACCTCTATGGTGCAATCTCAGCTCACTGCAGTCTCCATCAAGTGATTCTCCTGCCTCAGCCTCCTGAGTAGCTGGGATTACAGGCGCCCACCACCATGCCTGGCTAATTTTTTTGTATTTTTAGTAGAGATGGGTTTTTACCATGTTGGCCAGGCTGGTCTTGAACTTCTGACCTCAGGTAACCCACCCACCTTGGCCTCCCAAAGTGCTGGGATTACAGGCGTGAGCCACCATGACCGGCCAGTTACCTCATTTTTTAATGGCTACCTAGTATTTATACTTTTTCCACTCTGTACTTTTCACTTTTCCCAATTAACTTCCAATTAAGTTAGCTATTTTTGTTTTTTTCCTGGTGAATGACTTACCAGATTTATTTACTAGTTTATATTCTGTTTTCCAGTTGATCAGTTTCTGCTTTTATCTTTATTACCTTTGTTTTTTGGTTTTTCTCGTTGCTTCTTCTTGAATGCATTTGTGTCCATTCTTTCTTCCTTAGTATTTTAGCGCTGTGAATTTTCGTATTCTGTTGGTTTTGATATGTAGTGCTTTCACTCATAGTTTATTTTTTATTTATACATTCTGCAATTTTGGATTTTAATTTTCTCTGGCCCAGAAATTATTGAAGAGGGAAGTTTTTAAAACTTTTTGGTGGTAGCGGTTTGTTTTTTCTGTTCATTTCTTTTCTGTTTTACGCATCAGTTTCATTTTCATTGCATGTCATCCATATCCTTTCTATCCATTTGGAATTTTCTTTGTGTCCTAGTTTTTCTAGATGTTCTTTGGGCATTGAAAAGATGGTGTTATCTGTTTAAGGTATAGAGTTTAATAAGGTTTAATTAGTTCTACTTTGTTAATTACATTCTTATTAATCCTTATTTATATTGGTCTATTTTCTGTGACTTGGATCTAGAGGTGAATTAGTTTCACACTGTACATATTTCTCTTTGTAGTACCTGTCATTTTTGTTTTGGTAACTTTGATGCTATGGTTTTCAGTCCACAGATGTTCATAACTTGGGTTTCCACTATGAATTATATTTCCTGCCATTTTAACACACCTTTCTTTGATTCGTGTAATGGTTTTGGTCCTAAATCCACACTGGTTCAAAACTAGACTGGGTCGCGTGCTTTTACTTTGCTTTCTTTGTCTGCTATATATGGGATTGTCTTTGAATATCCAAAGGTGTGTCTCCTGTATATGGCGTGGTTAGGTTTTACTCTGAGGTTTAATCTTAGCCTTTGTTTTTAATAGATGATTTTAGTACATTTACATTTATTGAGATTATAAGTATGTTTTGTCTTAGTTCTGTCATGTTATGCTTTCAGTTTTTAGTATTCCTTTTTACCTTTTAATTTGTAGTAGATAATTTTTGTTTCTTTGAATATTGTTTTGCATGTGTTCCTTTTGTTTCCTCTAAATGCTGTTTCTTGACTCCCCATTATAAACAATAACAATATAAATACACTTCTGTCTCCATCCTACCACCAAATTTTAGCTTAGTTTTTCTTCTATTTGCCTTCAAACCCCAAATATACTTAAGCCTCTGTTATTTGGCTTTTCTTTAAATGATACTTTCTCCATCTTTTAGTTAGCTAAAGTTTATCCTTCAGTGCTTTTTAAACCTCAGGCTACAACCCACTAGTGGTGCTGTGGAATCAATTTGGTCCATCATGACTAGTGTGTTTTAAGATGTAAAATAGAATACAATGGAATAGAAGAAAAATAACATGTATCTTTCATAGTAATGGTAATATTTTTTGAAATGCTTTTCAGTATAGATACAGATATAGGTAGTGGATGCGTACCAAGTCCCTGTGTACAGTGAAATGTGCCACCCATTATTGTGGGTGGCAGTTTAAAAAAAAAAAGTTGCAAAACAATGCTCTATACCATCTCAAAGGGAAAGGTTCCTTGGAATTTAGAATCCCTGACTTATTGCATGTCTGAAATCTTTGTTACCCCTCTGATTTAAATGTGGTGGCTGTACCATGGCACACATTTACCTATGTGACAAACCTGCACGTTCTGCACATGTTATCCTGGAATTTAACATAAAAATAAAAATTTTAAAAAGTTGTGGATATAAAATTATTGGGTCACACCTTCTTTCACTTAGTATGTTGCAGCCTTTGCTCTAAGGTCTTCTCGTGTTGTCTGTTCATATGGAGACATCTATGACCATGTTTGACATAACTCAGCCTTTTTTCTTTCTTTCTTTCTTTTTCTTTTTTTTTTTTGAGACAGGGTCTTGCTCTGTTGTCCAGGCTGGAGTGCAGTGGCACAATCATAGCTCACTGGAGCCTTAACCTCCCAGGCTCAAGCAATGCTCCCTTCTCAGCCTCCCTTAAAGCTGGAACTAGAGGCACATGCCACCATACCTGGCTAATTTTTTTTCCCCCCATAGAGACAAGGTCTCACTGTGTTTTCCATGCTGGTCTTGAACTCCTGGGCTTAAACCATCATCCCACCTTGGCCTCCCAAAGTGCTGGGATTACAGATGTGTGCCACTATGCCCAGCCAGATCTTTTTTCTTGTATGCTGAAAGGGTCATTAGTTTTCCTAGGACATTATTGTGCAGTCTTTCAGACTTTGATTCAAGTTTTCTTTTTTTTCTGGAAGTTTACTTGAATTATATCCTTGAATTTTTTTATTTGATTATATTCTCTTCTTTACAAATATCTATCATGTATATGTTTTATGTCCTTTGTCTATTTTGTAAAGCTATTTTCTCCTTAATCCTTTTTAGTTCTTTATTAACTTTTAGTTATTTTGTTTGTTTGCTCAATCCTATCCTGTGTCTCACACTGTTTTTTCAGCATTGGCTAATCTTTGTGCTGCCTTCAGTAGAAATGCCACTTATTTTTTTATTTTTTATTTTCCCTTTTTTGAGACAGAGTCTCCGTCTATTCCACAAACTGGAGTGCAGTGGCGTGCTCTTGGCTCACTGCACCCTCCAACTCCCGGTTCAAGCAATTCTCATGCTTCAGCCTCCCAAGTAGCTGGGATTACAGGTGTGCGCCATCACAATTGGCTAATTCTTGTAGTTTTACAAGATTTCATTATGTTCATTATATGATACAAGTTTTCATTATGTTGGCCAGGCTGGCCTCGAACTCCTGGCCCTCAAGTGATCCTCCCACCTCAGCCTCCCAAAGTGCTGGGATTACAGGTGTGAGCCATTGCACCTAGCCCATTTCTTTGATATTTTCACTTTTCTTTTCCACTTCACTTTTGACCACTGTCAACTCATGTTTCAGCATCTTCTGTTGCTCTGCCATGTTTTCCTGTATTTTTGTATCTCTGTTATGCACAGCCTGATCATTCTGCTGCATTTTCTTTGAATGAATTATATTCATAAACTCTATGTGCTCAACATTTGTCATGTGTTTATCTTACTTCATTTCTTATTTGTATAATCTCCAGGCCCTGTACTACTCTTAAAATTATAATAATAATTTTTATTATTCCTACTCCTCACCTATGACTAAAACGAACTCTTCCTAGACCAGATAGTTACAGGATAGTTGTGGCTAGGGCCTTGTTTCTGGCTAAAGGGAATTTTCTGTGCTTAATGTAGAAGTACTTTATGACCCAGAGAGGCTGCGTGTGTGGTGGGGGGGATGCAGGGAGGGATGTGAGTGTGTATGTGTATGGGTGTGTGGGTGTGTGGGTGTGTGTGTGGGTGTCAGGGGATGTGGGTGTGTATGGGTGTGTGGTGGGGGTATGTGTGTGGGGGTGGGAGGGTGTGTGTGGGGTGTGGGTGTGTGTGGGGGTGTGGGTGTGTGTATGGGTGTGTGGGTGTGGGTGTGTGTGGGGGGTGGGCGTATGTGGGTGTGTGTGGGGGTGTGTGTGGGGGTGTGGGGGTGTGTGTGTGTGTGGGTGTGTGTGTATGGGTGTGTGTGGGGGTGTGTGGGGGGTGTGGGGGTGTGTGGTGTGGGTGTGTGTGGGTGTGTGTGTGTATGTGAAATTGAGAGTGCATGTTTTGCCTTTCTTCCTCCTTAGCTTACAGAATTGGGCAATTGCAATCTGTCTTCTGTCAGGACCTCACCAATGTACATAGGTCAGTCAAAGATGTTTCTAATTGATTCTTTATTGACATACCTTAGCGCTCCTCCAATTAACTGGAGAATTCCTATGATTGTTGAGGCTTGCTCTTCATAGACATCTTCTCAGCCTTGCCACAGCCCCATTGGTTCCAGTTGCATATGGCAGCCCTTCATGATATTTTACCATTCAGGCTCTCCTGATTTCACAAAGATTTAGCTTATTTTTTATTAATGAATATCTTTGATGTTCAGAGTGGTTTCTGAAAGGAAAAGGAGAGGAAATTCATTACTCCATTATATTAAAAGCAGAAGTCCTTTCTAAGTCTCCATTACTCTTTGACAATATGCATGCCAATTATGTACACCAAAATTAGACTGGCTTTAAAAATGATGAACTTGAGGCCTTGAGAGTTACTGTGATTGAATTAGGGCCATACACATCAGTAAAAATGAACTGACAGGGTCTTGAGCCTGAATTCAACACATCAGATGGTATCTTAGGAATGCAATGTCAATCAAAGCCCAGTTGCTCTCCTTTGTCCACGTGCGGGAGCTTGTATTGCTCTGTTGATTTTAGTAAAATCTAGCTCTGTTACGGTGGCTTTACTGATGAGTTAGAGTTTAAATATGAACTTAGTTTCAACCTACATTAGAGGAACTATAATGGAGCAAACTCAAGAGAAGAAGGAAAAGAGGGACAAGGTTTCCCATACTCACTGACCTGATACTCTTCTTGCCGCAAACGTGAACGCTTATGGCATTGTCTCCCTTAAGCTTCACAGTCCTTCTGAACTGCTGTTATTATCCCCTTTTGACACATGAAAATGCTAAAGTACAAGAAGCTGAGTAACTTTTTTTTTTTTTTTTTTTTTTGAGACAGTCTCTCACTCTGTCACCCAGGCTGGAGTGTAGTGTTGCAGTCTCGGCTCACTGCAATCTCTGCCTCCTGGGTTCAAGTGATTCTCCTGCCTCAGCCTCCCGAGTAGCTGGGACTACAAGCGTGCACCACCATGCCTGGCTAATTTTTGTATTTTTCGTAGAGATGGGGTTTCACCATGTTGGCCAGGCTGGTCTCAAACTCCTGACCTCAAGTGATCCACCTGCCTTGGCCTCCCAAACTGCTGAGATTACAGGTGTGAGCCACCACGCCCAGCCTGAGTAAGTTTTCAAAGCCACCAGTTCAAAAGTGTTCATACTCCATCTTCTATGATCTTTCAGTTCTACCTTTCTGCCTCCCAGGTTACCATATTCATTCAGTTGAAATTGTCTCAGCCACAGCTTTGGGATTCTGTAAAGATAAAAGATGCACCAGAGGGATTCCTAAATGCTTTGTCTTCATCCTTCGAGCTGGGCGATACCTCCACGTTCTGTGTGCTTAGGGGCCACTTCTCTGAGCAGCATTCATCATGACACCCAACACTAATGCAGCAGGTTTTCAACCTGTAGTTTGTAGCCATTAATCAGTTCCTGTGACGTAAGCTATTGTTATCTCATGTTACAGATGAGGCAGCTGGTAGAGAGAGTGGTTAGGTAATTTTTCCAGAATCAGCAGTGAATCCAGGAGAGAGCTGAGACTGGACCTGTCTATCCCAGACATAGCTTACAACATGAGGGCTTTGCTAAAAGTAGTTCAGTAATCTCAACTCCCTTCATCACCTGCACTGTAAAAAAGATGTTTCATCTCACCTGTGCTGTTACCCATAGTGTGTTATAAAACCTGGTAGCAGAAGAGAAAAAGAAAGGTCAAATCAAAGAATATATACACAGGAAGTTTGTTTTTGACTAAGTATTTCAGACCATGAAGCTAAGACCATTTGGGTTTAAAGTTGCTAATAACAACACTTTCTTTATATATATTTAAAAAAATACATCAAGAGGGTTACACAGAAGGAAGCAGCCTATTTGGGGAAGGCTATCAAGCAGTAGAAAGTGATGTGAATGTCTATTTGTTCTTTTGGCTGTTTTTAGTTTCACTACAGAATAGCCTTTTTGGAGTACATAAATCTATAACCACACAAAATATGGCTAGCTTAAAAAAGTGGGAGAGGGAGATGATATGAAATTATCCCCTGAAAAGTCTTACTTTTGAACACTTGCATTATAATGGAAATAGCCTCAGATTTCTTCTGGTGGCATTCCAGCATTATTGGACAATTTATTTTCTCCTTAAGTGACATTTTAGTACATTGTGTGTTATATGTAATGATATTTCTGGAGTAACAAGTGTGCAAGAAGTGAGAGAAAAAGAAAGTACACTTAATATGTAGGCAGGTGTCTCAGCACTTTCTTTTTTGTACGTGAATCCCATTATCTCCAGTGATAACTTTGTTGACAGCACCCACCAATATATTCAGAGCAAGGTTTTATAAAATAGATCCAGAATCGTATGACTAAGAGACCCAGGTGACACGTGTCAGCCTCAGATAGTTGCTACATTTTCTGTTTTAAAGATTCAAACAAAACTTTTCACATTCTTCTTTGGGGAAAAAAAATTACATTTGAAGTCCTTTTTCACCCAAACACGTTTTGAGATAAGAGCTCACAAGTCTTGACATTATTTCATTTTGTTATGCGCATCTGTCAAGGAACCAAGATACGATACAGCTACTAAAAACTGATGATTGTGGAACAGAGAAACTTGACAGCATTTCATTTCCTTTATGTTCTGATTATACGTTTATCAGAAAACCTGTATCTCTTCTAGTTCAGCTAGAAATTGGTAGAATTCAGGAACTCAAAGGCTTGGCAAAGAACTGTCCTATTATTTGGTATCATCTTACATTTTAGAGAAGTTGCTTGGTTGAGTCATTGTTAAAGCTTTTGCTTCTCTTTTCATTATTGTGGGCCACTATCCACAGACCACATTTCTATAGGCCCTATAACTGCTTTGCCGCACAAATTAAACGCCGGGATGTTTCATACGTATATGCCAGCATTTCAATGCTTGTCAATCAGAGTTTATAAAATATAGGGATTACAACTTGATATTAACATCCAAATCTATTGTGCTCATTTTACGTGTGAAAATGAGAAACCCTCATGCAGACGCTAGATTTCCCAGCCTCTTTGTCACCCTGTTTTTAATTTATCTCCAGGTTTTGAGTCAGTAAAATGATTCCGCTTATCAATTTAATACAGAGATAAAACATATCTATGAATCAGAGTGATCGGAACTAAAATGGATCTACAGGTTGTTTGGCATTCAGCCCAGCCCTGCTGAGGGTTTTAGTGGGGCTAATTTCTCTGTACAGTAGATTCATCCCTGTTCTTAAATTGTGCCTCAGTGAGGGATATGATTTGCTTCACATGAAGAAGTAGACACAGAAGTGCATTGTTTCAGGGAGGAGACTTTAAAATTTTGAAACATTCTTTTTATGCTTACCTTTTTTTTTTCTAGGTATACTTCAAAAGAAATTATCCACATATTGGTCACACTGACCACATGGTTACAAACACTTCCAATGGACAGCCCTCGACCTTAACTATTTTCGAGACAGCACTGTGAATCCAACCAAAATGTCAAGTCCGTTCCGAAGGCATTTTCCACTAGTTTTTGGACTATGTAAACCACATTGTACTTTTTTTTACTTTGGCAACAAATATTTATACATACAAGATGCTAGTTCATTTGAATATTTCTCCCAACTTATCCAAGGATCTCCAGCTCTAACAAAATGGTTTATTTTTATTTAAATGTCAATAGTTGTTTTTTAAAATCCAAATCAGAGGTGCAGGCCACCAGTTAAATGCCGTCTATCAGGTTTTGTGCCTTAAGAGACTACAGAGTCAAAGCTCATTTTTAAAGGAGTAGGACAAAGTTGTCACAGGTTTTTGTTGTTGTTTTTATTGCCCCCAAAATTACATGTTAATTTCCATTTATATCAGGGATTCTATTTACTTGAAGACTGTGAAGTTGCCATTTTGTCTCATTGTTTTCTTTGACATAACTAGGATCCATTATTTCCCCTGAAGGCTTCTTGTTAGAAAATAGTACAGTTACAACCAATAGGAACAACAAAAAGAAAAAGTTTGTGACATTGTAGTAGGGAGTGTGTACCCCTTACTCCCCATCAAAAAAAAAAATGGATACATGGTTAAAGGATAGAAGGGCAATATTTTATCATATGTTCTAAAAGAGAAGGAAGAGAAAATACTACTTTCTCAAAATGGAAGCCCTTAAAGGTGCTTTGATACTGAAGGACACAAATGTGACCGTCCATCCTCCTTTAGAGTTGCATGACTTGGACACGGTAACTGTTGCAGTTTTAGACTCAGCATTGTGACACTTCCCAAGAAGGCCAAACCTCTAACCGACATTCCTGAAATACGTGGCATTATTCTTTTTTGGATTTCTCATTTATGGAAGGCTAACCCTCTGTTGACTGTAAGCCTTTTGGTTTGGGCTGTATTGAAATCCTTTCTAAATTGCATGAATAGGCTCTGCTAACGTGATGAGACAAACTGAAAATTATTGCAAGCATTGACTATAATTATGCAGTACGTTCTCAGGATGCATCCAGGGGTTCATTTTCATGAGCCTGTCCAGGTTAGTTTACTCCTGACCACTAATAGCATTGTCATTTGGGCTTTCTGTTGAATGAATCAACAAACCACAATACTTCCTGGGACCTTTTGTACTTTATTTGAACTATGAGTCTTTAATTTTTCCTGATGATGGTGGCTGTAATATGTTGAGTTCAGTTTACTAAAGGTTTTACTATTATGGTTTGAAGTGGAGTCTCATGACCTCTCAGAATAAGGTGTCACCTCCCTGAAATTGCATATATGTATATAGACATGCACACGTGTGCATTTGTTTGTATACATATATTTGTCCTTCGTATAGCAAGTTTTTTGCTCATCAGCAGAGAGCAACAGATGTTTTATTGAGTGAAGCCTTAAAAAGCACACACCACACACAGCTAACTGCCAAAATACATTGACCGTAGTAGCTGTTCAACTCCTAGTACTTAGAAATACACGTATGGTTAATGTTCAGTCCAACAAACCACACACAGTAAATGTTTATTAATAGTCATGGTTCGTATTTTAGGTGACTGAAATTGCATCAGTGATCATAATGAGGTTTGTTAAAACGATAGCTATATTCAAAATGTCTATATGTTTATTTGGACTTTTGAGGTTAAAGACAGTCATATAAACGTCCTGTTTCTGTTTTAATGTTATCATAGAATTTTTTAATGAAACTAAATTCAATTGAAATAAATGATAGTTTTCATCTCCATTCAGAGATCTGTATTTCTGTGCTTCAAGGGATTCCTGACTCATGTTCTTGCTGATGAATGCCAGTGAGTTTTCCTGAGATCGAAAAATACAGTATCAAAGGATACCTTCTATCATCAACCGGTTCTCTTGGCAAATTAGGTGTACCAAGTATTCTAACGGGTAGATTTCAGTGGGTTTCAGACAGTTTGAAGCAGTTGCTATTTAAGCAAGTCCATTTGCACCATTCTAGGAAGAAAGAGTATTAGCTTATGCCTCAGGCTTGAGCAGTATTAAATGGTTGAGGTTTTTGCTTTTGGTTTTGGTTTTTAAGGTGACTTTGTCCAAAACTAACAAGAAACATCTACCGCTGTTACGCTGAAATCACTATTAAATAATGATTCTCAAAGTGTGGTCCCTGGACCAGCAGCATACCGCATCACCTGGGAACTCGTTAGAAATGCACCTTTTTGTGCCTCACCGCAGATCTACTGAATCAGAAACTCTGGTGGTGGGGGCCAGGAATGTGTGTTTTAACAAGCCATAGGGTGACTTTTTTTAAGGGGCCATGCTAATCTCTGTATCATTACAATTTTAGTATATGTGCTACTGAAGCGAGCGCCCTAAGTGTGATTCTGATGCAGGCTAAAGTCTGAGAACCAGTACCATAAACTTAAAGAACTCTTAAAACTCATTAAGAAAAACACAGAAAGCCCAATTAGAGAAATGGACAAGAGATTTGAATGGGTATTTCACAAAAGAGAATATCCAAATGGCCAATAACTGGAAAAGTGCTCACTCTTTATTAGTTACCAGGGAAATGCAAATTAAAAGCACCATGAGATACCACTAGACACCCACTAGAATGTGTAAAATGTAACAGACTGAGAATACCAACCCAGTGCCAATGAAGCAACAGGAATTCTCAGGTACTGCCATGTAAGTACATTGAAAAACCATCTTCGGAAAACAATTTGACAGCATTGACTCAAACTGCACACTCTGCGATCTGTCTGTAGCACTCCAAATGTGTACACATGTGCACCAAGAGATGTTGTCAAGGATGTTCCTAGAAACATAATTCCTAACAGCCCAAACGAGATAATCCAAATACTCATCAGCAGCAGAAGGAAAACAAATTATGAGGTATTAAAATACTTCTACAGCAATGAAAGCAATTGACTACATGAAGAACTCATGAGTTTCACAGACATGATATTTATTCCAAAGAAACCTGGCCCAAAAGATTATTTATGATCCCATTTATATAAAATTCAAAAATGTTACAGCTGAACAAAGGAGTGCAACACCAGAACAGTTCATAACTTTGGGGAGATGGAAGGTGTTGGTAATTAGGGGAAATACACATGAATCTTCTACGATACTTAAAATACTTTTTGTGGCTGGGCATGGTGGCTCATGCCTGTAATCCCAGCACTTTGGGAGGCCGAGGCGGGCAGATCATGAGGTCAGGAGATCGAGACCATCCTGGCTAACACGGCGAAACCCCGTCTCTACTAAAAATACAAAATATTAGCCGGGCATGGTGGCGGGCGCCTGTAGTCCCAGCTACTCGGGAGCCTGAGGCAGGAGAATGGCGTGAACCTGGGAGGCGGAGCTTGCAGTGAGCCGAGATCGAGCCACTACACTCCAACCTGGGCGACACAGCGAGACTCCATCTCAAAAAAAAAAAAAAAAAATTTTTGTTTGGCTGGGTGGTGATTAGATCGTTATTAATTGAACACTTTTATGTGTCATACTTCACACTGAGTTAACTTTTTAAAAAGTTGGTCTTGTTTTTCCTTTAGAATCTCAGATTCAGTGCTTCAGTCTTCAAAAAGGGAATAATTTACACGTAGGAAATTACTTCTGCTGAGTTCTTAAAATAAGAAGCTCTTTGACGGTTGTCTTTTGTGGTCCATCACAGCTGATGCGTCTGATGGTTTTGGTACCTGAGAAGCCAAGGTCTATATTTTCTCTAACCAATAAATAAAATAAATCTCACTTCCTCTTCAATTTTAGGATAAGTACAAAAATAAGGAACTCTAAGGTTTTTCTGGATTCTATTTGTTTAACCACTCTACTGAGGTATGACTGGCATATAGAAAGTTATACATATTTAATGTGTATGCTTTGTGTTTGGAGACAAATATCACCTATGAAACCATCACCACATTCTATGTCATAAACATGTCCATCACCTCAAAGTTTCCACCTGCTCATTTTCTATTTTTTAATCTCCATTAGAGGAGATGAGGTACATAAATAAAATAATTTCAGGGACTTGGTCTCGGCAAAGATGTATGGCTAAGACTTCAAGGACAGGCAATTTAAATAGACAAATGGGACTATATTAAACTAAAAAGCTTCTGCACAGCAAAGGAAGCAGTCAACAGAGTGAAGAGACAACCTGTTGAATGGGAGAAAATATTCTCAAAGTATTCATCCAACAAGGGACTAATACCTAGAATATACGAGGAACTGCAACAACTGAATAGTAAAAGACCCACATAATTCCATTAAAAAGTGGGGAAATGACATGAACAGGCATTTCTTAAAAGAGGACATACAAATGTCCAACAAATATATGAGAAATGCTCAACATCACTAACCATCCAGGAAACTCAAATCAAAACCACAGTGAGATATCACCACAATGAGATATCACCTTCCCCTGGTTAGAATGGCTATTATTAAAATGAGAATAAATAACGGATCCTAGTGAAAATGCAGAAAAGAGGGAACTTTTACATACTGTTAGTGGGAATGTAAATTAATAGAATCCTATGGAAAATAGTATGGAGATTTCTTTTTTTTTTTTTTTTTTTTTTTTTGAGATGGAGTCTCACTCTGTTTCCCAGGCTGGAGTGCAGTGGCATGATCTCGGCCCACTGCGACCTCCGCCTCCTGGATTCAAGCGATTCTCCTGCCTCAGCCTCCCAAGTAGCTGGGATTATAGGCACCCACCACCATGCCCAGCTAATTTTTGTATTTTTAGTAGAGATGAGGTTTCACCATGTTGACCAGGCTGGTCTCAAACTCCTGACCTCAGGTGATTCACCTGCCTTGGCCTCCCAAAGTGATGGGATTACAGGCGTGAGCCACCATGACCAGCCTGGTATAGAGATTTCTAAAAAAACAAACCTAAAAATAGAAGTCCTTACGGCTGGGCGCGGTGGCTCACGCCTGTAATCTGAGCTCTTTGGGAGGCTGAGGCAGACAAATCACCTGAGGTCAGGAGTCCGAGACCAGCCTGGCCAGTATGGTGAAACCCCATCCCTATTAAAAATATAAAAATTAGCCAGACATCGTGGCACATGCCTGTAATCTGTAATCCTAGCTACTCGGCAGGCTGAGGCAGGAGAATTGCTTGAACCTGAGAGACAGAGGCTGCAGTGAGCCGAGGTCATGCCACTGCACTCCAGCCTGGATAACAGAATAAGACTCTGTCTTAAAAAAAAAAAAAAAAGATGTACCATACAAACCAGCAATCTCACTAACTGTGTATTTACCCAAAGGAAAAGAAACATATATTTCTTTCATCAGTATATCAAAGGGATACCTGCACTCTTACGTTTATCATAGCACTATTCACAATAGCAAAAATATGGCATCAACCTAAGTGTCCATCAATGGATGAAATAATTTTTTATATGATGTACATATATGTACCATGCAATACTATTCAGCCATAAAAAAAAGAATGGAACCATGTCATTTGCAGCAATGTGGATGGAACTAGAGGTCATTCTGTTAAGTGAAATAAGGCAGGAACAAAAAGACAAATACCACATATTCTCTCATATTGGAGCTAAAACATTTAATCTCTTGGAAATAGAGAATAGAATCATAGATACCAGAGGCTGGGAAGGGTGGGTGGGTGAGAGAGGGAGGCTGGTTAATGGGTATGAACACAAGTAGAAGAAAGAAGTTCTAATGTTTAATAGCAGCCTAGGGTGACTATAGTTAGCAACAATACATTATATATTTCAAAGTAACTAGAAGAGAGGACTTGAAATGTTACCAGCACATAGAAATGATAAATACTGAAGGTGATAGATACCCTCAAATGCCCTGGCTTGATAATTACACATTCTATGCATGTAACAAATACATGTATCCCATAAATATGTAATTTTAAAAATATATACTATGTATCAATAGAAGAAATAATGCTAAGTGCTTTTATTAATAACACTATAAGTGGTTGATGTCTTGTGAAGAAACAACTTTAATCAATTCAATGAGTCAGTGAATTAGATTTATTATGTAGTATTGTTCAATTTAGTGAGTTGAGTTAATATTAATTTATCAGCTGATTAACTTGTCCTTATGTACTGCAATGAAAATTCGTGTTTTTCTTTCAGAGGGTTTGACTGTGGAGATTTTAGAAGCCTGTCTTCTCAAATCTCGGTATTTGTTTCAAATCCTGTTCTCAAAAGATTAATGTATGCCCTGAAGTATGTTAGATTTTGCACCTGAATGAATGTGTAAGTCACTTCCCACAACCAATTCTGTTTTAGAGCGTTTTCAAGATCTGCCTTTACCTAGAAGACTGTATGACATTCTGGCCATCACAGCTCAAAATAATGTCTTTATAATTCCACAAATGTGATATGCATTACTAATGGACTTATTTTACTAAAAGCAAAGAGAGAAATCTATCACCTGAAATAAAGAAAACTAAGAATGTTCAACAAGTAATGCTCATCCTAAAAGCCATGTCTATGCTCAACCCAACTTATTCACCAACTGGTCTAATTCTCAAATCCTCATTCTTTGAAAATTGAGTAAATGTGTGTCAATGAAATACTTCCACCCTACTTGATAAATAGTATAGTTATGGACTACATTATTCCCCAAATATAGATTGAAAAACAAATAGTTTTCCTCAAAAATTGTAATAAACTCATGGTTTAATTTCCACAAAATATGTTATATGTGTTTTAATGGATATGTTGATCCTTATCAAATGGAAGTTTTCAACCCAGAGGGTAATTCATTCACATACAGAGTCCTTGTTTCCACTATTTTATATCGGATTTCAGGATTTAGAAATAAGTGTTATGATTCTGCAGAAGCTAGATGGGGGTTGGGAAGAAATAAGTCTTACGAATATAACTAACAGTTTTCAAGTAAAAATCCTCCCCAAGCCCTAGAAGCTTCTTTGGTCTGTGCTGCAGTTTGATTATCTGGGATGCAGACTCTGAGATGGAGTTTGGTGTTCCGGATGTTTATTACAGAGTTACCCTTGGAATTAATCCTTGTGGAATGAAGAGGGAAGAAGCAGGATTGGGTGGATGGAGAAATTGAGCTGGAGTGCTAGCCAGAGAGACCAGCTGATCCCACCAGGAACCCTGGAGCTAAAATGGTCCATGAGGGTCGTCCTGTGTGCCAATGGCCAGGGCTTTCTCCCTCCACCTTGATTAGTCATTGCATGAGGGCTGTCCCCAAAAGGGGTGACAGCAGAAGGTTGCCCAGCAACTACACCTCCAGAAGCTGGGACAAGTCCTTGAAGGGGGTGATGGGTGGCACATCTCCATGTCCACCACAGTGTATGTTCCAGCTCTGGAGGGAGATTATTGAGGTGTTCAGTGGCAGAAGACTCCTGGTGATTGGCATTTAAGTCAAAATGAATTGCCAGTTGACAGGAGATGGCTGATGAAGTGATTGTCTTCAACAACCTATGACCTGAAAAAGAGAAGAGAAGGTCCATGCAGGGGAAATATCCTCGTTGTCTTTATTCTCTAAAATCAGCCGTGTTCATTTATTCCAGGAAGTGATCTTACGAGCAGTCTTCGGATTGGCTAACTCCTATGTATGTCGATAATACCCTGAGCACCCCTCATTACAATGAATCATAGCTGGGGTCTGCAGTGTGCAGGACTCCTGCTTAGAAGGACCCAGCACTTAGTTTAATGCCCTGTTTTCGCCATCTAGATATTCTGAAGTTTTAAACAAAGGGCCCTGCTTTTGTATTTTGCACTGGGATCTATAAATTATATATGCTGCCCTGAGTATTTGTGGTTCTGTTTCCTCTCTAAACCATGAGCTTCTGAGGACTTGGACCATGCCCTGTTGATTTTAAAATCTGCATCTTCTAGCACAATGTCTGTCACATCGTGGGTGCTCATAAATGTTTGCTGAGTGAATGGATAATGACTGGGAAGAAGCCTTCCTTTAAACTGTAATTCTGAGATTTAAGGGAGTATCCTGGGGTAGTAGAAAGATCCCTAGTTTGGGGGTCAATCCCATATATCTGGCAGCCAATTCTGTCTTAGCTACTCCCTAGCAATGTTGGGTGATCAAAGTATATGCTGTCCGATGTCGGAGACTTTTGAGAGTGAAAAGAAAGCACTAACCAGCCATGGTGCCAGGGCAATAAATTGGGACTGTCCTTGACAAATGGGGATATGGCCACCCTATAGCCATGTATCCTTGGTTACATGCTTGGATAAGTTTCTGTCTCTATGAACCTCAACTGCTTCATCTGTAAAATGGACATAGTTCCTGAACTTGCACAGTTGCTTTGGTTGGGATGATTGGTGGACCAAGAGCATCCAACAGAACAGAAAGGTTAGGACCTAGAGGGAAATGCATTGAGTTTGTATAGTAAGAAGGTCCCTTCTTCCATCATGAGAGGAGAGTAAGATAAATGTGGATGAAGGTAGGTTTGTAAACTGTAGAAGGTGTATTTCAGGAGGTCCTCACCATGGCCTAAACCGAACTGTTCTTACTTTACATAGAGTTAAAATGAAACAAGCACACACGAGAAGGAGCCCAAGCTCTGGAGTCCACCTTCCTGGGTCCGAATGCTGGCTCCTCTGTGCAGTGGGAGTGGCTGCCTGGGTTTGAGTCCAAGTTCTACTACCTGTTAATTGTTGGCCCTTGTGTTGGGAAGCACACTATGCTTCCATTTCTTTTTCTGTAAAATTGAGGTTGGGGTGGTACTTTTCTCAGAGGGCTGTTGGGAGGATGAAATATGAAGGACGTACTCTACAACAGTGACGCTCAAAGCATGGTCTGTGGGCTAGTGCCAGGCCATGAACTGTTCGTAACCTCAGGCCACAATAAGTACAGGAATTTCAGGAAAGCCATTAGAAACCTTTATAGGCTTTTGACTTTGCCATGACATCCAAACTCATGATTGGGGGACTCCTTGTGGAGCAGCCAAGAGTTTGTTGAACCTGGATAATGAGGCATGTGTGGTGTGAGTAGCACATTAGCCATGCACAGTAGAACTACTTATTAGTTTGCAATGGATTGAAAATTTAAAATAATTAAATAAAACCTATTCTTAACCCCAGATAATTGAGAAGCACCATTTTAGAACAATGCCTGGTGTGCAATTAGCTCTCAGTAAACACAAGCCTCTTTATTAATCAGGGAAAAATTATACCATGACTTACATGTTTAAAATTAGGCTACACAGACTTTCCAAATGCTCTACTATACATTAGCAATATTCTAAAATAGCATTAAAAGCCAAAATCCTGCTCATTGTTAATTAGGGATGTGTAAAGTCTAAAAGTATTTTAAAAACGATGCTATGCATATGTTTACACCAAGTCTATTCTTGAATTAACAGCATGATCTTGATGTTGAAGGTGGTAGCTGGGTACACATCAGGCCACTTGTAAAAGTGGGGAACATGGGGCCGGGTGCGGTGGCTCATGCCTGTAATCCCAGCACTTTGGGAGACCGAGGCAGACAGATCACCTGAGGTCGGGAATTCGAGACCAGCCTGACCAACATGGAGAAACCCCGTCTCTACTAAAAATACAAAATTAGCCAGGCATGGGGTCCTGCGCCTGTAATCCCAGCTACTTGGGAGGCTGAGGCAGGAGAATTGCTTGAACCAGGGAGGCGGAGGTTGCAGTGAGCCAAGATCGCACCATTGCACTCCAGCCAGGGCAACAAGAGCGAAACTCTGTCTCAAAAAAGAAAAGTGGGGGGGAACACGGGTTGATATGCAGGGTATTGACTTTCCTTTAAAAACAGAAAGAATGTGGGTTAACTGAGGTTTTGCTTTTTAAATGTAATGTTCTAAAGAAAATAACCTCATCTTTTCAAAAATAAAGCAGCAGTGTAGATTGAAGGCTGAGAGAAACATATTTATTTGAACTTAGAACTAAAAAATAATAAAAGGATAACATACCCTGGCCCTAAAAGACCTTCACTTACACTCCAGGTTTATCTCACTTATCACAGGGGGGGGGTCCACATAGGGATTATATGGTTTTTCAAGAAGGACCAAGATAAAAACTTAGATAAAATACAGATACTTTACAGAAAGCTTACACTGGAAAGTTCTGGCTAAATTCAGTATTTTGCTCAGCAAGCATGCTCATAAAACAACCAATGCACCATTATCCGTAGCAATAGATGGAAAGCCTTGGGTATTGCAAAACGGCGTTTGATCCAAAAGTTACTCATATTTGATTTTGGAGGGCATTACGAGAAACCTTTTGAAAATAAAATTTTGCAGACTACTTAGAGAAAAATTAAAATGAGTCAAGGCTGGGTGCAGGGGTTCATGCTTGTAATCCCAACACTTTGGGAGGCCGAGGTGGGCGGATCACCTGAGGTCAGGAGTTTGAGACCAGCCTGGGCAATATGGTGAAACCCCGTCTCTACTAAAAATACAAAACTTAGCCAGGTGTGGTAGCACACACCTGTAATCCCAGCTACTACTCCTACTCCAGAGGCTGAGGTGAGAGAATCGCTTGAACCCGGGAGGCAGAAGTTGCAGTGAGCCAAGACTGTGCTACTGCGCTCCAGTCTGGGCAACAAAGCAAGACTGTCTGAAAAATTAAATTAGTAAAATAAAATGAGTCTCTATGAAACAGAGTTTATATCACATTATTTTCAGTAAAAAGAAGAATCAACAAAGGATTGAGGTGGTTTTTTTTTTCTTTTTGGTTTTTGGTTTTGTTTTTTTTTTTTTTCAAGATAAGGTCTCACTCTCTCTCCCCGTCTGGAATGCAGTGGCACAATCATGGCTTACTGTAGCCTCAACCTCCTGGGCTCAGGTGATCCTCCCACCTCTGCCTCCTGAGTAGCTGGGACTACAGGCACATGCTACCATGCCTGGCTAATTTTATTTTTAAATTTTTTGTGGAGACAGGGTCTCACTATGTTGCCTAGGCTGGCTGGTCTCAAACTCCTGGGATCAAGCAATCCTCCCCTCTCAGCCTCCCAAAGTGCTAAGATTAGAAGCATGAACCACGGCTCCTGGCCCAGACTGAAGATTTTTAAATTACATCTTATAACATAATTAATTAAAAATAACCCATGAGTTCATACTGATTCTAATAAGACAGATGAAGATAGATAGGAAGATAAGATAAGATGATAGATAGTTAGGTAGATAGGTAGATATGTAGCTAAGTAGATGGATGGATAGACGGACATATGGAAGGGAAAGGTCTTTTAGAATTTCAACTAATAAATATAGAAGGATTGACACAAAGAGCAGCATGCGGAAGCCATCATTGTCATAAATAATTCAGACAAAATTCAACATTGGCTCCTAAATGAATATAGGGTGAGTGTTTGGGTGGGAACAATGTATTTGCATGGACAGAAAGTATCTTCTTGTATTAATTAAAAAAGAGAGGAATTGTATCTTTATAGTAGAAGAATCTGGCAGACATCACCCTAACCAGGTGACCAGAGTTAACATCAATAATAGGACCAGTAGACACCCTTGTCTCTTGATGTATAAGGCAATGACAATGACACCATTTCTGTGTTTTTCTTTCTGGCCTCACCCCCCAAAAAAGCCAAACCTGGATCAAATCAACAGAAAAGCCCAAATTAAGGGCACTCTATAAAACAACTTGCCTGTATGCTTTGAAAATGACAATGACCATTAAAGGTTTAGAAAGTGTTTCAGATTAAATGGAAACTTAAAAGACATGATAATTAAATGCATTGTGTGATCCTGGATCCAAAAGCATGCAATAAGGACAGAACCGAGACAATTAGTGAAATTTGAATAACTGTGTAGTTGATCATAAGTTGTATCAATGTTGAATTTCCTGAATTTACTCATTCTACTATGTAAGTGAAGGTCCTTATTCTCAGGAAATACACATTGATGTATTTAGGGTAGAAGGGCTATGATGTCTGCAACTTGGTTTCAAATGGTTCAGCAAAAATGATTTTATATATATATGTATACATGCACACACATCATATATACGTACACACATTATATATAACAATATGCACATTATAAACGCATATATACATATATAACTTATATATGATCCTGGATCAGAAAACTACCATCTATTTATCTGAGAGAAGGCAAATGTAGGAAAAAATGCTGAGTGAACCTAAATGCAAACTCCACAGGAGTTTATTGTATTATTACTGCAAGTTTTGTATAGATTTAAAAGTTTTCTCAAAATAAAAAGTTAAAGACAAACATTAGTCTGCCACAGCTCAGCCCACAGAGTAAAGAATTCACATCTAGATAAGCAAGAGTTGACTATAGGTGGTGTTATAAAAATCATCAGACAAGTTTTAACTTTGTGAGTATGGTTTGCACAGCTCCCTCCAAGCTGAAGGGCTCGAATCTAGCTTTAGGCAAAGCACAGAAATATGCATACTTCTGTGGAGAATGCATGTGGAGTCAAGCGCTGCGCAGAACCTGGACCCAGAATGCAGGTAGATCCATGTGGCCACTCCCTTCAACAACAATGGAGTGAATAATACCATCCTGGAAATCTGGCTCATCAGTGATTCTGCATTTGGCATTACTATGCTTTGGAAAATCACATGATGCCATATCTTGCCTAGATGGACAAAAATAATTTTATTAACAGAAGGGATCTGGATGATGCTGTTCTAGCGATAATAGAGCAGTTAGGAGTAGATGCCTTGTGTCTTCACCAACAGTTGAAGCGCAAAGCGCTGCCTCTTGCCGCTCAACAGAAACCATATGGATGATCCCGAATTCTGTATTTTGGTAGAAATTGATTTTATACAGGAGGCTCTCTTTTTTCCATGATAAGCAGATGTTCCCACCTGGCGTTGTGCCCGTCAATTTTATTCTGCTGTGCACTTTCCTAATATGAAAATAGCTAACTCCTTTTCATCAGTTTTCTTAAAGACCTGGTTTAACTCATCTGACTCTGCCAGTAGTGAACTTTTTAAGAAAGTAACATCATAGTTGCTACCTTTTATTTATTTATTCATTTGTTTTTTTTTTAGGCACAGTCTCACTCTTGCCCAGGCTGGGATGCAGTGGTGCAATCATGGCCCACTGCAGCCTTGACCTCCCGGGCTCAAGCAATCCTCCTGCCTCAGCCTCCCAAGTAGCTGGGATTATAGGTGCATGCCACCAACATGCCCCAATTTTTTTTTTTAAACGGTCTTACGATGTTTTCCAGGCTGGTGTCAAACTCCTGGGCTCCAGCCATCCTCCTGCCTCGGCCTCTCAAAGTGCTGGGATTATAGGCCTGAGCCACTGCACCTGACGTTGTTACTTGTAAATGTAGTAATCAAGCATACAAGCAACCAGGTGAAGGATATTGACTACATTTCCTCACCTCCAAATGGGAAACAGTTTCAAAAAAAAAAAAAAATCACCTTGGCAATTTGAAATAATGTTGAGAAATGTTGAGAAATGGGGGATGTCTGATTTCACAAAACAGAAGTTAACATTTCTGGTCATTTTAAAGTTCTACTGAAATCTGCGAATTTCATTTGCTAAATATATCCTGTTTTTCTTTGTTGTTTTATAGCGAATACAGTGAAAATGAGGGAACACTGTATTCTCCAATTTGCAAGGGTTCTTGCCAACGGGCACTATTCACTATTAGCAAGAATACAGCAAAACAATCACCATCAAACATGCTGGCAAAAGTGTGAATGATACAAACTTTCTGAAGTTTGGTACATATGTCAAGGTTCTTAAAATGTTCCTATATTTTGACTCAAAAAGTTATCTTCTAGGGATCTACCCTATGGATATAAATTCCAACAAAACTATACATTAATAGATATTTTGCAATATAATTTATAATATCAAAAATGGGAACAAGCTAAATTCCACAGTCAAAATTTGCTATGTTCATGCAATAAAGTATTACATAACCAATAAAACAATTTTTCCAAAGATAATGTAATGATGTGGGGTGATATGGTTTAGCTCTGTGCTCCCACCCAAATCTCATCTCCAATTCTAATCCCAACAATCCCCATGTGTTGAGGGAGGAACCAGGTGGAAGTGATGATTGGATCATTGGAGCGGCTTCCCACCCACATCTCATCTCGAATTGTAATCCCCATAATCCCCACGTGTCGACGGAGGAACCAGGTGGGAGGTGATGATTGGATCATGGGGGCGGTTTCCTCCACGCTGGTCTCATAATGGTGAGTGAGTTCTCACGAGAGCTGATGGTTTTGTAAGGCAGTTTTCCCTGCTCTTGCTCGGTGTCTCTCGCCTGCCGCCATGATTGTCGGTTTTCTGAGGCCTCCCCAGCCATGAGAAACTGTGAGTCAATTAAAGCTCTTTCCTTTATAAATTACCCAGTCTTGGGTATTTCTTTATAGCAGTGTGAAAATGAACTAATACATGAGGTAAGTAAATACCCATTTTTTATAAGAAAAACTACCAAAAATTGTATTTTATAAGCACATTTGTATCTTTAAAATTCTGAAATTAATAATCAAAATGTTAACAATAGTTATTTCTGAGTAGTGTGATTATCACTGGCTTTTATTTTTGTAAGTTTTTAAAATTTTCCAAATTAATGAGCATGGGTTAATTATAAAGTCCTGAAATTATGGAGAAGTTACAGTGCCTCTTTCAGTTAGAATGAACATGTAAATTTATATTGTATTTATGAATAATGGCTTATCTGTCCACAAAGAAGCTCCTAGCTTCAATATCTTTACTGCAGACACTCCCTTAGCACATGAGTTGAATGGTTGTTCAGAAAAGTTTGGTATCATGGTTTGAATGATCTTTTCATTGTTCCTGTTCTCTAGCAGTATCTGGCAAATCTCAATGTATTCCCGTTAAAAAGACAGGCCATGTGCGAACTGGATTTAGTTAGGCACTCTACATACAAAAACCATTTTTGAATGGCACTTTTAGGACAAATAACTCTTAATTTCTAAACCTTTGAAATATTTTAAAATAAATACATAAATATCACTGCCAAAGAGTTAGCAGCGTTGAACACAACCTACTTTGTGTCAATGCAACTTCTAAAGTGCCGCAATAAAGGTCTACTCTGGATCAGATTTAGTTTTTACTACAATTATGGCTCCTAAATTGCACCGTGGGTCTAGATTTGCTGCCACATGTTTTTTTGGGAGGCACCTGAAATCAGTTATCAGGCAATGAGAAATGGTTAGGCAAATTTTCCTGAGACATTCGGTGTTTCTCCAGATTGTAATGATGTTTGAGCTTCTGATTTACATGTGTGGGGGCAGAAATGCAGATGACAATTAGGAACAAAACAAGAACTCATTTTGGTGGAATTGTGACTTCCAAGTCTTTCTCAAGCACCTGCAGGGTGAGGACTGGTAGGTAGACTGTATCAACAATCCAGCCCAGCCTCCGAGCTACCAGCCCATGGAGGAGGACAGGTGAGTTGTCTATAGGTAGATTTTTGTTCTCTTCCTTGCTTCCTCACTTTTGTTCTCTCTCCTACCCCTAGAACATGACTCCAGCTTAATAGATAGGATTCCTGACTACTGGTTTTTGGAATGAAGATAGCATTTTTGAGAACAAGTTCTGTATTGTGGCAATGAATACATGATTAATATCACTATTGATTTCATCAGTGCCAGGAGCCTCTTCTTAAAGGCTAGGCTTTTGATTAGGTAGCTGCTCAGGTACTGTGCTTTAAGGAGCCCTAGGAAAATCCTTGATGCAAAATATGTTCCCTATTGATGCTTGAGGGGCCATCATTTGTAATTTATTCATGCAGATATCTTGTGCTCTTTTCTTGAGGTCCTCTTAAAAATAAGATACGGCATTTTTATAAAGATGCAAAACATGAAGTCACCAACACTTCACTGAGAGTCAGTTTATCAGTTGCTTTCTCCCTAACAGAAGAAGCAATATGATACCATACATGGTTTGGGGGAGTGGGTGTTTTTGATCTCTTTGGAAGGGAATAACTCATCCTTGGTAAACATGACAGAATCTTCATCAGTAAAGATATTTCAACAATCAGGTTGCATAGTAATATCAAATCATAATAAGTAAATCTCCCAAATCCTGAAAAAAGGTGAACAATAGGTAAAACATTGAATTTGTCTTTTAACCATTCAACTTTGTGCAGCCAGATACACAAATTTGAACACTATCCACCTGCCAATTTTGCTTAGTAAGCCAAATTATCCCTCAGGTCCTCTCTGGGTAAAAGTTGGTTGAGGGATCTTGAAATATTTGACTTGGAGTTCAACATTTTTGGGAGAAGGAAGTTGAAGAAGTAGACCTGCTTGGTAAAGAGAAGTTTAACCTGCTTAAGTGGCTGAGGGAGTTTTTGAGGGCAGTCAGGTCTCATTCCTCAGAGCCTGGCTAAACATGGTGTCTGAACCATAATGGAAGAATAATCAGTGTTGGTTGAAAAAATGAATGGCTTTCATACTGAGTGTTAGCTGAACAAGTTGAATTCTGTTTGTTCTTGGTGTTAATCCTTGTTTCAGGCAAACAAGTGTCACATCTCAACATCAAAAAATTAAGGTGTAGTTTAAACTTTTAGACAACTGATTAGAGACTATGCATTTATGTGCTAAGTGTGCTGATTTTTTTCTCTCTGCGTTTTCTCTGCTTTAATGTAGAAAGGGTCTACTATAGGTAGGGCCCACTCCTATTTTCTGGCCCAAGGCAAGAGCAGGAATGGAGGCCCACACATCACATGTCTAAATAAACTATAAGTAAAACTATAAACCAAGCTAACAAAGTGTTGAATAAAATATGTGTTAGCCTCCTACCTTGACAATCCTTCCTAATTGCCTGGCAGGCTCAAATTGAATTTAGAATTCTTGGACTCTAAGTTTTGTGCTGAACTATGGAGGCATGGGGAGAACTGTCCATGCCCACAGCCCCCACGTGGAAGGGCCTCATGTATGCAAGTAAAGACATCCGGAAGACACAAGCAATTCTGCCACTCTTCCCTAGCCTCACTAATGAGCCCTCTCAGGCCCAGAGCTACTCACACTGGGCGTGTTGCCTGGTGCTGTCACCCTTTTGAGGATGGACTCAGGCAACAGGCCCACACAGGTTCTTGAAGTGGGCTGAGGCCTTTGTGCAGGCCATTCTGGGATCCTTGCTACACTACAGAGCCTAGATCATTGCTTCTTTAATGTGCATATAACCCACCTGGAAATCTTACCAAAATGCTGTAAATCTGGGTCAGGGCATTTCCAGCAAACTCCGGGTGATACTGATGCTGCTTGTTCGTGGACCTCACTTTTGGCAGCAAGTGCCTAGAAGGAATGGTCTCTAGCTGGATATATTCTCCAGGCGCTCAGATACTTCACCCCATGGGGACCAAAAGGTTCGGGGAGAGCTAGAAGGGCGTCCTCTACCCTGTGGGTCCCAGGGCAGAGGCCTCTTGCCACTCCTTTGCTCACATCCCCATTGCATCAATGCACTCTGTTCCCACACTGCTGTGCCCTGGTCCTCCCCATCACTTTGCCACCGCCAAGCTTTGATCTCCCACTCACTCTCCCCAAGTCAAGTTTCTCTTGGCTCCTTTCTCCGCCTTCTCCCCCCTCCTTCCCCCGCTTTTCTCTTACGCCAGAAATCAAATGTACAATAGCATTTCAAAAATATTAAAAGTGAATGCTGATGAAACCATGTTTGTGTTTTCTTGGACCGTCAGCAAGCAGTAACAATACTTGCAGACACAGCCTCTCCAGGGCCTTGCTGTTGTTTGTGGACAAAATCATATCTGCTCACCCATGGCTCAAAATCAGGATTTCCAAACACAAATATTTGCTGGATTTGAGCGGACTGGGTTTTGCTCCCATATTTTTATTTTGACAAGGCTATTATGAAAGCTGCTATTTCATTATCTGAAGGAATCAAACCAGCTGCTAAAAATAAACCCTACAAGTTTTTATTACCAGCGGGAAACGCCTCTCCCCTCCCTGCCTGTTTCTGTGATGAAGCTTAATCCTTCAACTTGTGTTCAAGTATTTGCACTGCTTTTGAGTTCTTTTCTTCTTTCCAAGGCTGTTTTTCACTATTGGCCTGAGTTATTTGAACAGGTGGCTTTGCACAACCTATGCTAATGTGAGGCTTTTGTCTGCTTTCAGATTGCACAGGGAGCCATTTAAGGGACAAATGTGTCTTTCTTGCTAAACTGTTCACACCTGTCTTGATAACCACCCTTTGCTGAACTAAAATACCATGCCAGAGAGGTCTTCCACTCCAAGGGGGCGCATGCTCCGCAAGGAAAAGATACCACACATGTCTTTTTTTTCTTGGGCATATGACGAGCAGCCCCAAGGGGATTGTTCTGTGGCATGCGGCCCAGTGCCCCCTGGTTCCGTGGGAAGCGAGTGGTCATTGAAGCTCCCCGCTGGGAAGGTCAGGGGCTGGGTGCAGGTGGACGCGCGAGGCTTCCGGGGGGACTTCGCCGGGCCACAGTCACCGGGCTGAGCCCGGTTCCCCGATCCTCTGCCCCGGGCCGCTTTCCGCGGGAGCGTCGGGCCCCGGGCCGGGCGGGAGGCCGAGTGTACGGCCTCTGCCACAGAGCTGGGCCTGGCGGGGGATCACAGGAGGGCGCCCCCAGATGCTCGGCGCGCACGCGCTCCCTGGCCACGGATCACAGGCGCCCGCCCTCTGCCGCCGGCCCGGGAGCTCGCCTGCCCCCTGGAAAGCGATCACAGGCCGGGGCCCGGGGGCAAGGAGGGGTGCGGGCGCCACCCGTGGGGAGAGGGCTCGCTGGCTGGCTCGTTCCCACTGGGAGGAAGGGGGCGAGGAGAGTGCAGCTGGGGCCAAGGCGCTTCGGAGGGGCCGTGTGGACACAGCTAGCCATGGCCACGTGGTAGCCACCGGGTCTAAAGTCCTGACCAGGGACGTGCCTGGGTGGGATTTTCTAGAATTTTTTTTTCTTTTTCTTTTTTTTTTTTTTTTTTTTTTTTTTTTTTTTTTTTTTTTTTTTGCATCTGCACCCTGTTAGTTCACCGATCGCAAGAAAAGAAAATGAAGCGCGCAGGGAATAGGTGGCAAGGCAGGCCTGGATAGAGTTTAAAGGGATCCAGTCCTCCCACAAAAGTGGGCCTGATGCTGCCTGGTTCCCTCCTGGCCGCCACTCCCCACTCGTGCGGTTCGTGGGCTCCTGAGCGCCTTCCCTCGTGTTAGCCGCAGGCACCCAGGGCAGCCCTGTGTGTGTACATGTGTGTGTGTGCACACATAAAATCACAGGTAACCTTCTGGGACTCTGGGCGCTGCAAGGAAGGTGGACTGATCACTCATTTACCTACTATGATGGTCCATCCCTTATCTCTACAGGAGGCCAAGGGAGATTGGCAGTTGGTTCCCATCTAGTGGACAAAAGCCGCAAAGAACTGTGGAGACGGAAGCATCCCCTCGATAAATATGCTCACCAGGCATCACCTGTAGACTAAACCAAATGGAATGTCTAGAAAACATGTAGTGTTGTTTTTCAAATTCACATAGGAAATGGGATTCATAGACTACAATTTCACTTTAAAATATTAACGAATTCAGGGCGGCTCTCCTCCAGGGGCATTTGCCCTATTAATAAAGCCCAGTGGTACAGGCATCCTGGTACTAGTGGAGGGAACTGTGTCTGCCTTTCCAACATCCATCCACCCCTTGCTCTCCCAACCAGTGGCTGCAACTTGTCTTGAATGGGCTGAGGCCAGTGGTTCACAAACCTGGCTGCACATTAGAATCAGCTGGGAACTTCAAGAAATTCTCTCACGTGCAGCCACTCCTGTATCTATTGACTTGGGATCTCTGGAATAAGGGGTGATTCTGATCAGAGTTGAGAACTACTGACCCAAACCATCAGAGGAATCTCATCCCCTTGCTCAGAGAGGAGCAGTAGGGGCCCAAGCCAGACAGCACATGGGAAGGAAGGGAATGGCAGGGAGGGCATATTGGAAAGGAGGAAGAACACGGCAAAAACCTAGAAACAGGCAATGCACTGTTAAGGAACAGAGGGTCCATGATGGAAGGCGGCAGATGAGGCTAGAAGACAGAATTAAGAATTTTTGTTAAGAATTCTAACTGGCACAACACACAACTTTATCTTTAACAGTGGGGGAAATCAAGCAAAAGGTTTAACTTTTAAACCTAAAATTGACATGATCAGACTTGGTTTTTAGAAAGGTAATGTTGGCATGTATGGAGAATGGATCTAAATGGGGAGAGATGGGGGCCAGACACTAGTTAAGAGATGGAGGCAATGGGCATGGGGACAAAATTCTGTAGGACTAGGGAGTTACAGACTTTCCAAAACCAGGACTGCCATGTCAGTTGGACAAATATGGTCTTGGTGTAGAATTATTATTTTAGCCTTTCATAGTGGCTGATGACAAATTCTAAGGAGGAGAGACAAAAAAAGGGGAGAAAATGGCCGGGCACCAGTGGCTGCTATCTGTAATCCCAGCACTTTGGGAGGCCGAGGCGGGTGGATCACCTGAGGTTGGGAGTTCGAGACCAGCCTGACCAACACGGAGAAACCCCATCTCTACTAAAAATACAAAATTAGCTGGGCGTGGTGGCGCATGCCTGCAATCCCAGCTACTCGGGATTATTAAGGCATGTGTTATATAAAATGAAATTCACCAACTTTCAATGTTCAGGCTAGAGTGCAATGGCACGATCTCGGCTCACTGCAACCTCTGCATCCCGGGTTCAAGTGATTCTTCTGCCTCAGCCTCTTGAGTAGCTGGGACTACAGGCGTGCGCCACCACGCCCGGCTAACTTTTGTCTTTTTAGTAGAGACGGGGTTTTGCCAGGTTGGCTAGGCTGATCTCGAACTTCTGACCTCAGGTAATTCACCCTCCTCAGCCTCCCAAAGTACTGGGATTAAAGGCGTGAGCCACCGTGACTGGCCAGGGATTTATTTTTGATACATTATATTTGCACATATTTATGGAGTACATGTAAAATTTCATCACATGCATAGAATGTGTAATGATCAAATCAGGAATTTGTATTTAGGGTATTTGTCACCCCAGTTATTTGCCATTTCTATGTGTTGGGCATATTTCAAGTCCTTTTTTCTAGCTTTTTTAAAAGTATAATACATTGTTGTTAACTATAGTACTCTTCCATGATTAGAACTTAGTTTTCTATCTGTTTGTACCCAATAGCTGACTTCTCTTCATCCGTCTCTTCCACTCACACGCCTTTCCTAGTCCCCGGTGTCTGTCGCTTCACTCTTTACCTCCAGGTGATCAATTTTTTTAGCTCCCACATATGAGTGGGAACATGTGATAGCTGTGCCTGGCCTTGTAGATTCTTTTTTAGTGAAAGGTCTGTTCAAACCTTTTGCTTAATTTGTGAGTTGTATGTTTATTATTGATAATTTATATGCTTTTAATACACATTATAGTGGAAAATTAATAACAGATTTGATTTGATTTGATTGAGAATGAACTATATCAAAGATAAAATAATCTTTTGGTTTATGCTTTTTATTAGGAAACACAAACATATTGAATAGGTATTTAGTGAACTCTATCTTACATCTCTATCATGTATTAATGTCTGGAACAATGGGACTGAGTCAGAACTTCATATCAGCTGCAACATCAAGTCTATTCATTTTGTTTTTGTTGGCGCACAGAGGGTGTTGTAGCAAAGGGAAGGAGAACACAAATGGCGTGTTTTGCAATATTTGGGTACCCTTGCAATGGGGTGCTCCAAAAATCATTAATTATTTCATCTTGGATAGCTCACCTTCCAGTTTTTCAGGATCTGGGGCTGAAATTATTCTTCTTCATTCTGAACTGTTCAACTTTGTGCTTGTTCAGAGCCACAAAGTTGGCTTTTGATTTTAAACTGCCATCTTTCAGAAAGCTCCATGTGGAAAGTTGAGTAGAATACATGTTTTAACATATAATGAATATTGAATACTACTACAAATATGTGCTGAAATGACAGGCTGGTAGTTATCTAATAGACAGCATACCACCATGAACTGACAAATGTTGCTGGCATATCCACAGGCACCATGCAGTCACGCATCAGGTGACCGCCTGGCTTCCCCAGGTGTACACTACCATTTTTAAAAGGGACCTAATTATATTTTAATAGTATTCTCTGTATTAATATATTTAATATTGATCTGTATTACATATGTAATTTAAAAATACATTTTAGAAGAAGATACAGTCGCCCCTCAGTATCCAATGGAGGGATTGGTTTTAGGACCCCTCGTAGATAGCAAAATATATGGATGCTCAAGTCCCTGATATAAAATGATATAGTATTTGCATATAATCTATACAGTCCTCTCATACTTTAAATCATCTCTAGATTACTTACAAGACCCAATATAATACAATGTAAATGTTATGTAAATAGTTGTTATACTGAATTTTTTGAATTTTATTATTTTTATTGTATTTGTTATTTTATAGTATCATTATACTGTATTTTTATTAAATTGTATAGTATTGTTATTGTTGTATTATTTTTATTGTATTTTAAAATATTTTCTATCCAAGGTGGGTTGAAACTGGATGTGGAATGCGTGGATACAAAGGGCCCCACTGTATATCCTTGCATACAAATTAAGAAAAAATAGCTACCTATGAAGGTGACAGTCTGAGAATCCTTTTGTCAGGCAGATTCACATTCTTTAGGAACATTAAAAAACCCACTATTCACAAAGTTGGAAAATCTGCAGACAAGATGAATGTAAGGGTATTTCAATTTTTAAATTTGATTTTTAATTTAATTTAGGGTTTTGTTTGTTTGTTTGAGACAGGGTCTCACTCTGTTGCCCAGGATGGAGTGCAGTGGCACAATCATGGCCCGCTGCAGCCTCAGCCTCCTGGGCTCAAGCAATCCTCTCACCTCAGCCTCCCAAGTAGCTGGGACCAGAGGCATGAACCACTACACCTGGCTAATTTTTTAGTTTTTTGTAGAGATGTGATTCCACTATATTGCCCATGCTGATATTGAACTCCTGGCTTCAAGCAATCCTTCATCCTTGGCCTCTCAAAGTGCTAGGATTACAGGTGTGAGCCACTGTGCCTGGCCAGTATTTTAATGTTATAATTCAATTTTACTACAATGTAAAACCCATGCACATAATTTTTGTTAGGGGAGAGATTGGGAGAAAGAAATATAGAAGTAGAAATAAAGCCAGAGCAAACAGAGAGACAAACACAAAATGATGCTGCTTCATGATATTCATTCTCTCTCTCAACACACCCACTCCTTCCTCTCTCTCTCTCTCTGTTAGACAGAATTTAAGATGTTCTCACATTCCTGGCTCTGATATGCACATACCTTTCATAGTTATTCAATCATACGCTAACTAGGTGTTGCTGTAAAAATATTTTACAGATGTAATTAAGGTTCCAAATCAGTTGGCCTTAAGATGGGGAGATGCTTGTATGCTCGATCTCTGGGTCTAGAAGTGAGAAACCTGGAAGCCAGAGAAACGTGAAGTATGAGACAGGCTGAATGTGAGGAAAATGGCAGGAGCCATGCGGCCTTTGATGTGGGTGGCCTCTAGGAGTTGAGAGCAGCCTCACTGACAGCCAACAAGGAAAGAGGGGCCTTGGTCTGCAAACAGCAAGAAACTGGATTCTGCCAACCACCTGAAAGAACTTGGAAACAGACTCTTTCCTAGAGCCTCCTGTGATCTTCTTCTCAAAACATAGAACCCCAGTCCAACCAGAGAGTATCAGACAAACCAACACTGAGGAATGTTCTACAAAATACCTGACCAGTGTTTCTCAAAACCCTCAAAGTCAGCAAAAACAAGGACAACCTGAGAATCTATTGCAGTTAGGGAAAGATGATGGCTAAATTTAATAGGTTAAACTGGATGGATCCTGGAACAGAAAAGGGGAATTAGCAACAAACTACTGACATCCAAATAAACAATAGAGTTCAGTTAATAGTGTGCAAACATTGGTCCCTTGGTTATAATAAATGTACGGTAGTAAGGTAAGATGTTAACAATGGAGGGAACTGGGTCTATGCAACTTTCTGTAAATCTAAAACTATTCTAAAATAAAAGATTTATTTAAAAAACTGGTCATGAAAATGAGTGTTTATTGTGTAATGCTTGAGGCTGTAAGAAATTATAGCTACCATGAAAAAAAAAATCAGGCAATGGCCAATTAAATTTTAACATCAATTAGATATAAAGACTTTTCATTGTTGTCTCATTAAACACTCCACCTTTTAGAAAAACACAATGCACTGGTTGCTTTTTATTTTACAGAAATTAAATTTATCAGTGTAAGTATTTACCAACTTCTAACAATATGCATTACCCAATTTCTGGACTTCATCACTGTTTCTTGCCTCATTTCTTTATCCTGGATTTGGCTTTCTTCCTGTAAAGTACTTATGTTACTTTATTGAGGACATAGGGTAGTGTTAAGGACTGAAGGTTTGTGTCCTCCAAGGTTCATATGTTGAAGACTTAACCCCCAGTATGATGGTATGAGGAAGTAGGGACTTTGGGAGGGTTAGATGAGGTCATCAGGATGGGGTTGTCATCACAGTGGGATTAGTGCCCTTATAAAAAAAAATACCAGAATGCCCTCTCCCTCTCCCTCTCCACCTCCCTCTCCACCTCCACCTCCCTCTCCACCTTCACCTCCACCTCCACCCCCACCCCCACCCCCGCCTCTAGGAGAGGACACATCCAGAAGATGTCTGTTTACAAGCCAGGAAAAGGACCCACACCAGGAATCAAATCAGCCAGCACCTTGATCTTAGACTTCTCAGCTTCCAGAACTCTGACTGACTTATTCCCAGTTTCAAGCAGTTAGATTGGCCCCATCCATTGTCTCACATGGGCCCATCTCTGCCCACTTTTGAACCAAAGCTGAACACCTCTGGATTGCCTCAGACAATAAGAAGTCACATGGAGTTAAATCCCAGTGAGTAGTCTTTAAAATGGACCAAGCACATCTTAAGATGTGTTAATGACCTTAACATCTGTGGTGGTTATTCCCTCATTTGACCCATCCCGATCCATTGTCTGTTTTCTCTCCTGCTAGGAGAGAAACCTGCTGGAACTGCTTTGAGGGCTGACTTCCACAACAGAAGACATCAGCAGGAGATTGGTGGGCTGGAAAAGTGGGAAGTGGAGGCATGGCTTCCTTTTCCTTCCCTGCTTCAGGGAAGCATCTTTGGCAGCAACTGTGTGCCCCTCCAGACCCCTTGTGGCTACACCTCTTCCTTCTCACTCTAGCTTTCACCAGGCAACAGACACCATCTCTCCTCTTTGTCACTTCAGTCTAATGCTTGTGACAACTTTCCATTGTTGCTAGTTTCTAGGTTTCACTCTTAGAGATTAAAGATGCTGGTTTCACTCCAGTATCTTTGTAGTATCTGCCTTTTTATGATGAAAATGTAGGTGGCTCAGTAGCAAAGGTTTTCTCCACTCCCCACTTCCAGAGCTCTAGGAACCTAAGATGTATTTTCATTTACGCATTTACTCACGAATTCATTCATATACACAACACTGTGCAAGATACTGCTACAGACCCTGTGATAAACACAAAACATGTGACACATAGGCCCACACATCATGGCATAATCTGTTTCTCTAGCTCCTCACTCCATTCTAACACCCTGATAACATGGCGTCCACTGCCTTCTTATCTTAATATTTCTTACCTTGCTTTAATACCTAACATTCCTTATCTCAATAACTTTTCCACTTCCTTCATCTTACTCCAATTTTTATTTATCCTCCAGAATTTATTAAAGTAATATTTCCTCCAGGAAGCTACCTCTAATTCAGTGGTCTGATTGACATGTCCCTATTCTGTGATTCTTCTCAGAGTATTTGGTATAGAATATACCAGATATTATGCTAAGCACTTAATGTGGTTTTTTTTTTTGTTTGTGTGTTTGAGATGGAGTCTTGCTCTGTTGCCCAGGCTGGAGTGCAGTGGTGCGATCTCTGCTCACTGCAAGCTCCGCCTCCCAGGTTCATGCCATTCTCCTGCCTCAGCCTCCCCAGTAGCTGGGACTACAGGCGCATGCCACCACACCAGGCTAATTTTTGTATTTTTAGTAGAGACGGGATTTCACCATATTGGCTAGGCTGGTCTTGAACTCCTGACCTCGTGATCTGCCTGCCTTGGCTTCCCAAAGTACTGGGATTACAGACATGAGCCACTGCTCCTGGTAGGGTCATTTTAATAATCCTCACAACAGCTATATGAAGGAGATATTTTTATGTCCCCTTATCACAGATTAGGAAACTGAGCCTCAGTGTGTTTCAGTGGTGGAGCTGAAGCTGGGATTTAGTTTTTTCTTTTTTTTTGGACAGGGTCTCATTTTGTCACCCAGGCTGAGTGCAGTGGCAGCCTCAACCTCCTGGCTCAAGTGATCCTCCCACCTCAGCCTCCCAAGTTAGAGCTGGGATTCTAACCCAAGCAATGCAACTTCAAAGACCATCATGCAAAACTCCTTTATATTTAGCAAATAATAACAACTTATTACAATTCTTGGGGTTTTTTGTACCTGTTTCCTCCACATAATTATAGTCTAAGGACATTATTTGACTCATCTATGCTTCTCCAGTGACTACTACAATGTTATTAGGGGAGGAATAAAATCATTCTCAATGTCAAAAGCAGCAAAAAGACTAGTGCAGTATTCCCCAGTGCTTATACTTGCTATGGAGGAATTCACAATTAGGTGAGGGGTGGGAGTGGCTGACATTCCAGAATCAACTTTTACAAAATATTAAAAGTGAGTCTTAATCACTCCTAAAATATGTCCAAAAACATTTTACCTTTCTAGTAAAAAATTTCTTTGAGTTTTTGCAGCAAAGTTTAGGTTGTAATCTAAATGATACAAGAAAAGATCCATGCTTATACCATTGCTTTTATGTCTTATTGTTCTCAGGAGCAAATATTGAATATGTTAGACACTCCATTAGCATTTGAGGGAATAGTAATTATGGTAATGGAGTGAGTGACGCGAAGGTGGCGGTTTGAAATCCTGGGCATCTTTGTGAGTTCTGTCTTACCAATAAAAGTCACTCTGGAAGCACTGAGGCCACAGCAGTCTTCAGGAAAGCCTCCTGTTTTTCATTCAAGGGCAAGACATGGGTATGCAAAAACACATTAAAATAAATGGGGGAAATGTCTGAATCAATTTTTTTTTTTTGTATGGCATGGACTTTAGAATGAGACAGAACTAGCGTTGACTTTATTTCCACAGTTTACTAATGTGGCCTTGAGCAAGTTATACTCTGTGAGATAAAGTTTCCTCATTTGTAGACTGGAGATAGTCCTTAATTCTATGGCTATCATACAGCTGATATGCATGAGCATGGCTCTCCCAGCCATTAGAAAATGCTAAATTACTTCTGAAAGAGTTCACACAGCTCTCTTGCCTTGAGCCCCCCCATGTGCTTTTTCACCATTCAACTTCCCTGGCCTCTCCCATAAGAACTCTTTTCCCCCCAAAGTGCCCATGATCCAGGAAATAAAGGGTTAATGCTTGGTGCATTCTGGGCCTCCAGGATCCTGCCAGGTGCACAGGGATTCTCCAACATATGTTCTGATACATAGATGCCTATGTTAATATTTTGAATATCATTCCACTTTCATAGGATGTTTGGACAGATGAAATGGTTTACCGTTTATAAAGTTTTTTGCACACTTCCTAACACATAGTAAATACAGAATGCATCATATTTTTAGTGAAGATTTTTTTTTTTTATTCTGGCTTTGGATCCATTGCCTCATCTTCTGGCCACAGATGGTATTTTTCATGCATAACCACCCTGGGTATGGGGTGGGGGATAGCATGTCATCAATCCCGACCAGTCAAAATATTTCACCTCTCCCACTCACCATTCTTGGCACCGGAATGGAGACATGACCCAAAGTTGATCCAATGAGCCATGTTTAGCTTACACTTTTTAGGGGAAACAGATGAAGAGGAATTTGGAGTGGTTGCCAAGTAATCTCTACAGTCTCTTTCAACTCTTAAGAGTCTGCATCACAGAACACCCAACACGGGCTACTCAAAGTCATATTCAACTTTAAAGGATGAAAGACAGCAACCTGAGTCTATCATGTGAATACCTGTATACAGCAAAGCGTGCATGTAATTCTGAGCTTTTTAGGAATATTAATGAATTTCCTACCTCCCCTCTTTTTTTGTTTAAATATGTTTAAGTGGGGGTTTTGACAGTGAAAGAGTCATACTACATGGCTTGATGTTATGATTATCTGGCAAACATGTAGATAGTACTTTCCATATGCCATAATCCTACCTCCTGCTTTGAAACTCTGTGTGTCTCTGATCCCTCCATCCATCCATGACATCCAACTGATGGCTTTCTGGAGGCTGGGAACACGGAGGCTTGCTCTCCAATTGCTTCCTTTTGGGACCCCCAAAGGAAGATCTTCCTGCCTTACATTTTCTTCTTTATTTGAACACCGCCAGTGAGCCAATAACGTTTCCCTCATGGAGGCTGTGAAATCCCCTAGGGCAAAGACCACATTTTTCAAATAGTCATTGCTCCCTGGAAGCAATGTATTTCACCAAAATGGGTGTCAATAGCTGTTGGCTGACACTCTCAAAAGTCAAATAAAGTGGAAAAAATATCCATAGTTTGTGATCAATTAAGGCTGTAACTGTACTAATATTCCCGGTTGATCAGCAACTTCTGGGCATTAGAAAGTCTGGTGTCCTAATGGTCACTCGGAATCCTTCATAGACATCTGAATCAGTGATAAATATGGCCTGAATCACTGGTCTCTAAAATGTCAGTGGCTTTCCCTTGCATTTGGACTTCATAACAACCAGATCAGGTCAAGTGCCTGGCATTTCAGTCAGTTCTGCAATGGCCCAAACAACAAACAACCCCAGTCAACCGACTGTGGGAACTGCACTTACTATGATGACTGAATGGAAAATGAATATGTGCAGACTTTTTTCCAGGCCACACCCTCTACCTGGTGGGCATTTGAGGACAGAGTTACAGTGCGGAATCTCCTGGCAAGCCTCCATTCAAAGTTTCTGGGACTCAATCATTCAGACAGGAGAGGACTGCCCTCTCTCAGCACATCTAGAGGAGAAATTTTAAAAATTTCCCTGCTGAGTCCTTTGTGGAAAATAGAAGTTGCACAATTCTTTCGGATAATAGCTCCCCCAGGGAGCTATTGTTCTCGGAAACCCACTCACATTTTTTGGAGCTGCGTGAGGGAATAAGGTTGTATGATGCCACATGAGACAACTCAGCTCATTTTGCTGTGAGGTCAAGAACAGAATTAATCCAGGACACATTCTTAAACTCGGGGCTTTTTATTCTGCAGAGGGACACTCCCCAAAACCCTTTCTTCCATTTGGCAGGACCCAAAACTCAGGCATTTGATTTGATTACAACTTATTACTTTTAGTTGAGTATTCTGAGAAAGAGACTTTGGGAAGCGTCTTAGAGATTACTTGGCAGTCGGGCCAAATATCTCTTCCTATGTTTTCTTAAAGAGTGTAGATCGCACAGATAAAAATTGAATTCCAAGAACAGCTTTGAGTAGCTCCTAGTTCTCTATGGAAAATGTGCAAACAGACTCTAATATAATACAAGAAAGCAAAACAATAAACATTGTACATAATACACTTTTCACAGAAAGACCTGAAAACTGGGAATTTCTCAACCAAATGAGTCAGGTAAGAGAAATCATAATGAAACATCAAATACAAAGAAACACAATAGATTTGATAGCACAACAGGGTGATTATAGTCAATAATTTAATTGTACATTTAAAAATAAGAGAAAGTATAATTGGATTATAACACAAAAGATGAATACTTGTGGGGATCTATACCCCATTTATCATGATGTGATTATTTACTCATTACATGCCTCTATCAAAACATCTAATGTACCCCATAAATATATTCACCTACTATGTACCCACAAAAATTGAAAAAAAAAGGAAACATCATAGACATATTCAATAGCACATGGCTTGTTAGAATGTGCTGAAAAACACAGAACACTAAGATATTTTAAGTGAACATTGAAGTATATGAACATAGGTATCTAAATTCCTTAATTATTGCATTCAAGGGAACAAAGATTAAGGTGCCATAACTGTCTCCCAAATATTTACTTTGGGGATAAATCTTTCCATGTTTGCTTTTAATACTTAGGCAATTTTTAGAGAAAGAAAATCAGATGAAATCCATTCAGCCACTTCTAATTATGCAAAGGAAGGAAACAATATGCTCTGCTTAATATAAAAAAGAAAAATTACAATTGACTGCATATCCCTTTGATGGAAACAATGTCCTTCACTATGTCTCTGTGTGTGAAGTTTTTGGTGATGTATTTTTGAGATGTTACTTTCCACAGATAAGGGTCTGGAAGATCGATTTCTTCAGGAAGCACCTGGATGGTGACTGACAAAAAGAACCAGAGACTGGGCAGCACCATAAAATAATCTCATTCATTTCTTCAGACCTATAGAATTTAACTTGATGAACAAATGGGCTGATAGAATCTAAATCAGACATCTTGCAATTTCCAGAGACTTGGTGGGTAGGTCTAGAACAGGGGTTGGGCTTTGACAATGGAAGATATTGAAGGTCATTTCTGATCATTGAATGGAATTAACCTACCTCAGAGTACTTCCAGGGACGTCTGAGGGAAATGGTCGGCAGCATGGAAACCACAGGTTGAGTAGAGAATCCCAGAGTTTCCCAATCCTGGCTGCACAAAAGGTTTACTTGAGGAGTTTTGTAAAAATCTGAGACCCCCAAAATATTGGCAAGGAGTGAACTGAGCATTTTTTTTAAAGCTCTCTAAGTGATCTGATAAAAACCAGTGTTAATTAACAATCACTGACCCAAAGACCACTTTAGAGCTTCCAATAATGAAGCAAAACTGATAGCTCTAATGCTATGAATCCACTCAATAAACATGTTTCATGTGGAATTTTCTGCATTCTGGAAGTTTAAAAATCTCAGTGACAGAGAAGCAAACAGCACCATAGGAAGCTGGAAAAACTGGGTTTGATTACTGATTTCACCCCCAACTGGCACTAGACTTTGAAAGGATATTTCTTTAAGCCTGGATTACATGAAAAATAGGAATAATGACACAGGGTTTTTATGAGGAAATCAGATAGTCAACTACCATGTCTAGCATCATACCTAGTTCTTAGCAAGCGTAGTAGGTTGAAAATGACCCTCCAAAAGATATCCGTGTCAAATTCCTGGAATCTGTGAATGTTACCTTATCTGGAAAAAGGGTCTTTGCAGATGTGATTAAAGATCTTGAGAAAACGAGGTAATCCTGGATTATATGGTAGACCCTAAATCCAATGACTCTTATAAGTGTCCTTATAAGAGAGGCAGAGAGAGATTTGACACAGACACACAGAAGAAGCCTCTGAGAAGACAGAGGCAAGATTGGAGTGATGTATCCACAAGCCATGGAACACCAGAATCTAGAAAAGGCATGGCAGATTCTCCTCCAGAAGGAACCAACCCTACTGACCCCTTGATCTCATACTTTTGAAATCCAGAAATGTGAGAGAATACATTTCCATTGTTTCAAGCCATCAGATTCATGATCAATTGTTACAGCAGCCTTAGGAAACTCAAAGTGTTCCATGACTGCTAGCGTGCTTCATGATCAAGACAGAAGAGGAAGCCCAGAAAGGAAGCTTAGGGATCATTTTCAGGCAGAAGCAGAGCCCTTTTGTGGTGGGTCTAAAGATGTGTCTGCAGCGGAATGAACACTCAAACACAGAGAAGAGCAAACCGTCCACTCAAGAAGTTGGAGTGGGGGTGCTAGAAGGCTTCCTCTGGGCTTTCTGTTATAGAGAGACTGGGATGGGATGTAGAAGTGTGATCCACAATAAAATATCCATAGGTACCCCCCCAGAGTGGCTAAAGACTGAATATACCCAGTGATGGCAGGGATGTGGAGCAACCGGAACTCTCAACCACTGCTGTGCCTATGTAAAATGGAAAACAGTTTGGTATTTAGTTAAAAAGTTAAACATACACCTAACAGGTATGGAACTCAGCTATTCCACTCCTAGCTATTTACCCAAGATAAATAAAAACATTTGTCCACACAAAGACTTGTAATGAATTGTTACAGCAGCTTAATTTGTAATACCTTCAAAATATTATAGATCATTAATTAATGGATCAATGGAATACTGATCAACGGAATGCTGATGATCAATCAGAAGAAACCACCAACTGATACCCTTAACAACTTGAATGAATATCAAAGCCATTATTCTGAGTTAAAGAAACCAGACATAGAATACATACTATGTAATTCCACTTGTATACATATTTAGAAAATGAAAAAGAATCTATAGTGACAGAAAGCAGATGAATGGTTGCCTGGGGGTGGTGGAAGGGTTTAGACAGAGTTGAAGGGAAAGGGCACAAGGAAACTTGGAATGACGAAAATGTTGGTATCTTAATAGTGGCTGTGGTTTCATGGGTGTATAAACAAATCAAAACTTCAAAATGCATGTTTCAAAATGCATATTTTAAATATGTGCAGTTTATTTCATTTATGCCTCAACATAGTTGTTAAGGTAGATTCTAGTGGGAATATGCTGTATTTACTGAAAGGGGTGATCCAGGAAAGGTGTTCTAGATCAGCATTTGCAGAGAAATAGAGTTCATACATATTTCATAATAGTGATTTAAATGAGTAGCTGAGTGGTGCAGTGAAGCATAGGGTTTCCCCATTTTAATTAGGCTCTTTCATTTCTTAGGGTCAGGAGCCTTCTTGTACTGTGCACGCACAAGTGAGCTTGTTGCTCAAGTCTGCTCCCTGGTGCTGGGAGAGGATCTTTGTTGGTTGGTGTTAGGGAGAGCTTCTCTCTGTTGTGCCTTTTAATCACTCTTCTTTTCCATGGCTCAGACTGAACACTGGGTGGAGAAAGCCCTCCTGCCTCCAATGACCCGACTACTTCATACCCTCCCAGTCTCCCTGCAAAAGAAAGCTCAGGAGAGCACCACTCGTGCCCTCACTCCAACTCCTCCAGTGGATGGTTTGCTTGTCTCTGGTTTTGAGTGTTTATTCTGCTCTAGAAACATCTTCAGACCCACAGCAAAAGGGCTTTGGCTTAACTATCTTTGAATATGGCAGAAGAGTTGTTTTCACTTTTCCACCTTAAAAGTGTGTATATCTCTAAAGGTTTTAAAATATTGGAGAGTAGGAATAGGGGAAACAATTTTTGCTAGCCTCACCATTCAAATATAAGTGCAAATAACTTTCTAATTTTTTTCCACTTTTTGTTTCTATGTAAAGGCTTTTAATAGCATTGCCATTAAGCTATACATGCAGCTTTATTTCCTGCTTCTTCCCGTATTGTTACTCCCTGGCCACTCTTCTATGTTATTACACAAGCTTCATAAATATTATCTTTAATGGCTGCGTAATACTCCATTGAGTGGATATGTCATTGTTAATCATGGCCCTATTAGCAGAGAGTTTAAAACACAGTTAGAAGGGTGACTTCACACAAGACAGATTTTACTCAAGATATAAAAGGAGGACTGACCTATGGAAAGATCCCTGGACTTGGTGTGGGCCTGAGATTTTGGTTCAAGCTGACTTACTAGCTGTTGACTTTTAACATGTGTCATTGCTTAACTATGGCCTCTGCTTACTCACCTATAAATCACAGATCTAGTTAGCTGTTTACTGTTCCTTCCAGCTTTTAAAGTCTGGGATTCTATGATCTACTAAACTGAAGTGCCTGATTTGGCCATCTAGGCTTTTAATGAATCCATTCATTCCTCAAACACCTGAAAAATAGTATGTACCTAAAAAGTTATTTATTTATTTATTTATTTGAGACAGAGTTTCACCCTTGTTGCCCAGGCTGGAGTGCTATGGCGCGATCTCGGCTTGCTGCAACCTCCACCTCCCAGGTTCAAGCAATTCTCCTGTCTCAGCTTCCCAAGTAGCTGCGATTACAGGCATGCACCACCACACCTGGCTAATTTTGTATTTTAGCAGAGATGGGGTTTCGCCATGTTGGCCAGAAATGTGAGAGAATAAATTTCCGTTGTTTCAAGCCATCAGATTCATGATCAATTGTTACAGTACCCTTAGGAAACTCATAAAGTGTTCCAGGACTGCTAGCTTGCTTCATGATCAGGACAGAAGGGGAAGACCAGAAAGGAAGCTTAGGGATCATTTTCAGGCAGAAGCAGAACCCTTTTGCAGTGGCCCAAACAACCCTAATCAACCAACTGTGGGAACTGTACTTATTATGATGACTGAATGGAAAATGATTATGTGCAAACGTTTTTCCAGGCCACACCCTCTACCTGGTGGGCATTTGAGGACAGAGTTACAGTGCGGAATGGACAGAGTTACAGTGCGGAATCTCTTGGCAAGCCTCCATTCAAAGTTTCTGGGACTCAATCATTCATACAGGAGAGGACTGCCCTCTCTCAGCACATCTACCTGCCTTGGCCTCCCAGAGTGCTGAGATTACAGGCATAAGCCACTGCGCCCGGCCAAAAGTTATTTTATATTGATTTGAATAGAAATAATCTGAATTAAATTGAGCCTCTTTCAGTAGACCTCTTCAGGAGGAAAACAATTTAATTCCTGTATTTATAGAAGTAAGTGTTTAGAAAGATCTGACTTGTTTCCTGCACATTCACCCAAGATAGTTTTAATTCATTCCATGTCACACCGTTGAAAACGGCCAAAGTCAAGACAGCAAGTTCTGTGAAAAGATCAAGCAACATCAAAGACCAGGTTGGCCAGGTGTGGTGGCTCTTGCTTATAATCTCAGCACTTTGGGAGGCTGAGGCGGGCAGATTGCTTGAGGCTAGGAGTTTGAGACCAGCCTGAACAACATAGCAAGACCCTGTCTCTAAAAAAAATAAAAATAAAAAAAAAAAAGCTGGATGTAGTGCATGCACCTGTAGTCCCAGCTGTTTGTTTTGGGAGGCTAAGGTGAGAGGATTGCTGGAGCCCAGGAGATTGAGGCTGCAGTGAGCTGTGATCACACCACTGCACTCCAGCCCTCCTGTCTGGGTGACAGAGCCCGACACTGGCAAAATATACATCTTATTAACATCTTCAATTAAACTGAATCTTTAGGCTTAGGAGGGCTCCTATGAATTACGTGGAGATCACTGGGTTCATTCCACACTTAACACTAAATTTGCAAGATAGTACGCCTCCAAAAAGAATAGAAGAGACTCCTGCCTGGATATTGGAAGCCTGATAAACAACTCCATTAATTAAAAGGTGTAGGTAATTAGCATGCATTATTACTATTACTTCCTATTCTATCTTTTTAAAATTTTTATTTATTTATTTATTTGCGACAGGGTCTCACTCTCTCACCCAGGCTGGAGTGCAGTGCCCCATCTCGGCTCACTGCAACCTCTGCCTCCCGGGTTCAAGTGATTCTCCTGCCTCAGCCTCCCAGGTAGCTGGGATTACAGGCCCCCACCACCATGTCCAGCTAATTTTTGTAGTTTTAGTAGAGACAGGGTTTTACCACGTTGGCCAGGCTGGTCTCGAACCCCTGACCTCAGGTTATCCACCCATCTTGGCCTCCCAAAGTGCTAGGATTACAGGTGTGAGCCACCATGCCCAGCCCTATCTTTTTATTTTTAATTTTTTAACAAATATTGTATATATTTGAGGTTTAGAACATGATGTTAAAATATACTTATTTAACAAAAATCCCTAACACAATATAATTGTATAACCTGGCTTCATCTTGCCAGGTTATACTTTCTGCTTCATCTGAGCTTTTTGTTTATTTTTTTAAACAGTAGTTTCTATTTGATATTTATTGAATAGTGTTATTAGAGAATAAGGGTAATCTCTATATAAGAACAAATCCAATCTTAATAGCATAATCACAACTTATAGAAATTTAAGATCCAGGGTAAATAATGCTTCAAAAGCAAAAACGTTAGTGTTAGAAATATAATACAATATAACTGTATTAACTTTAGTGCTGATGTGGTACATTAGGCTTCTAAACTTGTTTATCTTACATATCTGCTATTTTGTATCCTTTAAACTAGATCTCTCATTTCCTTCCTGTCCCTACCTGACACCCCTCTCATGATAACAACTCTCTCTCTCTCTGTGCATTTGAGTGCTTTAAAAAATATATATATTCCACATATAAGTGAGATAATGCAATATTTTTCTTTCTGTGTCTGATTTATTTCACTTAACATAATGTCCTCCAGATCCATCCATGTGGTGGCAAATGGCAGACTCTCCTTTTTTGAAGCTGAATAATATTCCATTGTGCATATATACCACATTTAAAAATCTTCGCATCTATACAGATGGCTATTCTCAAAAAGACAAGAGATAACAAATGGTGAGGGTCTGGAGAAAAGGGAACCCTAATACACTGTTGAGGGGAACATAGATTGCTGCATCCGTTATGGGAAACAGTATGGATGTTCCTAAGGAAATGAAAAACAGAACTGCCATACCACCCAGTGAGCCTTCTGGGCACATACCGAATGGAGAGGAAATCACCACCTCATAAACATATCTGCATTTCCATGCTCATTGCAGCGTGTTTCATAATAGCCAAGACATGGAAACAACTTAAATATTCATGGAAGTATGAGTGGATACTCTTTGTATTCTCTTTTATTTCTCTTTAATTATCTCTTTAACTTACATTTGCTTCATCTTGCCAGGTTATACTTTCTGCTTCATCTGAGCTTTTTATTTATTTTTTAAACAGCAGTTTCTATTTGATATTTATTAAATAGTGTTATTAGAGAATAAGGGTAATCTCTATATAAGAACAAATCCAATCTTAGTAGCATAATCACTACTTACAGAAATTTAAGATCCAGGGTAAATAATGCTTCAAAAGCAAAAACATTAGTGTTAGGAATATAAATCAATATATGCAAATGGCTATTTAACCAATACCCCATGTGATACTACCTAATGGTTAGAAATTTCATGTAGAATATCACAGCATGGTTAAAACAACAATGACAAAACAGAATAAGAAAATATACCAAATGATGGCATGTCTTTGGTGGTCCTCAACAGAAATTAAGAGGTGGTGGGAAAAAATCAAAGTAAAAATACATTTTTTCCCAATTGTTTTATCATTTTAGTAAAGCATTTTAGTAAACTGAAATGGAATTAAATTTAGTGTAAAAATACAACAATCTCATTCTCTTTTAGTTTTTAGTTTACTCTTTATGAAAGATAGAAGCTTTGGAAAATTGAACTTATTAAATCACTATGAAAGTCAACACATTCTTTCAATCTAGGAAAAGATTTTTAAGTTAGCAGAATCTTAAGAAGACCTCCATTTATACTTTATATAAGTTCACTAACTTTAAACCGGATCCCTTTTAACTTTGCCAAATGAGTTCAAATTTATAAAGAAAATTACATTTGAGTTGATTTAAATGGCCAGAAACAATATAAACCTATTGATTTTTCAAGATGTTGAAAAAAAAGTCAAATATTCCTGCTGTTCTATGGACTTGGAAATGTCTCTATTTGCCACAAAAATGCATGGCATGTCTCCTCATTCAATTACTGAAGTTACCTTACGGTAGAAATTCATTCACTCAGGAGAGCTATCAATCAATAAGAAAGCAGGGAAGCCCATTCATTCAGTCTATCCATTCAACACATTTATAGAGTGCTTCCTATGTGCCAAGTACACAAGAGAAAAATACTTAATTATGAATTGTTAGAGCACCGTCATAAAAGTCACCATAAAGCCTTCTTTGATATACCCCCAACTAATTTTAATTCTCAGAAATAATTCTAGCAATTGCTTTCATACATGTAACATATCCCTCCATATATATCATCAGTAATTGTGTACAAAAAGCTGTGGATGAGTCTTAGAAAATGAAGATAAAATCCCTACCATTAAAGAGTTCACCACTTGGTGGGAAAGAGACAATGCCCACAAACAATAATAGTAACAGGGTTAGAACGTGTTGGGTGTGTCAGACTGCCTGCCAAAGCTCAGGGAAGAAAGAAATTACTTCTTGGGGCCTGAATTAGAATTACTTGTTAGATTTTCCTTCTTCCCTGCTGCAGTGTAAGCTCTGTGAAATCGGCATAAGTCTGTGTGTCTTAGTTGAATTCTTAAGAATGAATGCATACCTGACACATACTAGATGTGCAAAAATATTTGCTGAATGAATGAATGAATAAATGAATGAATGACTTGGCATTTGCCTTAGGTCCTAAAAGATTAGGATTCAGTTACATGAACAAGGGAGGAGGTGGAGGGCATTCCTAATGAGGGATGTGTGAACTGGAAGGTAAGCACAAATGTGCAGCACTGCATCTCACTTCCAGGTTGAATTAGCCAAGGTAATTAACACCAGGTGCTGCAATAGACAGATCCCCACATCTCACAGATTTAATACAATAATGTTTCATCCTAGGTGGGTTGGGCAGCTCAGGGGAGGGCATTTTGCAAATATACCACATGTAATATGTGGCCTCCAAAGCTACCAAAGCACAGGGAAAGGGAGATAGAGAAGCCACCCTGTATCTCAGCTGCCTTGGTCCGTGCCCACAGCTACTCAGAATCAATCACGTGGCCAGTGTAACTGCAAGGAATCCTGGAGAATGTGGGAAGGACATTGTATTAGTCAGGGTTCTCTAGAGGGACAGCACTGATAGGATAGATGTATATATAAAGGGGAGTTTATTAAGGAATATTGACTCACATGATCACAAGATGAAGTCCCACAATAGGCCATCTGCAAGCTGAGGAGAAGGAAGCCCGTCAAAGTCCCCAAATCTCAAAAGTAGGAAAATTGACAGTGCAGCCTTCTGTCAGTGGCTGAAGGCCTGAAAGCCCCTGGCAAACCGCTGGTGTAGGCCCAAGAGTCCAAAACCTAAAGAACTTGGAGCCTGATGTTCAAGAGCAGGAATTATCCAGTATGGGAGAAAGATGAAGGCAGGAAGACTCAGCAAGCCTGCTCTTCCATTTTCTCCTGCCTGCTTTATTTCAGACGAGCTGGCAGCTGATTAGATGGTGCCCACCCAGACTGAGGGTGGGTCTGCCTCTTCCCGTCCACTGACTCAAATGTTGATCTCCTTTGGCAACACCCTCACAGATGCACCCAGGAACAATACTTTGCATCCTTCAGTCCAATCAAGTTGACACTCAATATTAACCATCACAGAAATAGAATATTGGTGAGCACTGTCTCTCTCTGCCACTCAAGTCTATGCATCTATGCTTATTTGCATTATCACTTGTGTGTATACAGGTCGCATGTATATTTTATATATAGATTTCATTTACATTTGCCCCCATTTCCTCTAGACTCTTCAGACCACAGATCAAAACTTTTGCTTCTTTCGTCACTCCCATAAACTAAAGGTCAGTGTTTTGTCCTGTCTAGCTGCTTAATAAATACTGATAAGTAATAATGATTACATTCAAATCTCAAACCATGCACATGAATAATCTGAAGTTTTTCATAAACATTAGAGATAGAGTCTCTTATAATTTATCTGATGTACACATGTACATGAGTTAGAAATATGGCTTAAAGGGATTTTCATTTGGAGTTAACCAAGGGAGAATTTTGGCTAATGTTTATGTCCAAAGAACCTTAGAGTGCCTTAATTTTTCTCATCTAGGAAATGGGATTACTGATCTCATTGATGAGGTTCTGTGTTTCTTCAAATAACCTCTCATCGAGACTGAGCTGTATAATAACTAAATGTTTGGTTTTGTACGTTACACATAAACATGTAAAACTGACAGGATGATGAGAAATTCCATGAAAGATCCTAGATAAATTTTTCTGATTCTTAGACTGTTAGTATATAATATGTATGTGGTCTGTGACATTTTTCTGCCATTTATTTCTTTAATTAAATTTTGTTTTTTAAATTTCCTTTGAGGATGGAAAATGAGTTGGCTTAGTCACAGAATTAATGGGTGAATGTTTAACTATCTGTGAAGAAAAAACAATGGGTTAGGTCAACATTTCTCTGGAAAGTGTTTAAAGTCTAGAAATGGGAATTGGCCAAGATGAATTCATTATAAATTTGAATTGGGTACAATAAGCTGCGTATTAAGAAAACACGTAGAAGTGGACAAAATCTCACGTGAATTTTTTTTAATCCTAGGGTCTTAGCTTTTGGACACAGGGTTAGTTTGCTATTAAAAAGAAATCTTAGTGACAAAATACTCCCTAACAAGAGAAGCCATTAGAAAAGGTCCAAACGAGGAACAGATTTACTTCTAGCACCTTATGGGGAAATATTCCTCTAAATCAGTAGTTTGACTTCAGTGTGAACCAGAATCACACAGAGGCTGTGGAGCCCCAATCCCAGGGGCTCTGTAGTCTGTAGATCCAGGATGGGACATGCATCTTGCATTTCTAACGTGGTTCTGATGCTGCTGGTTTGAGCACCACACTTTGAGAACCAGTTTGTTTTAAATCTTTTGCAAGGAGGACTTAACAATTGTGCACTAAATAAATGGCTCTGGACTTCAAACCCAGGTTGTATCTGTTCCTAGTCACCCCACTGGCTGTGGTAGTGTCCACTCAGCATTACTTGTGCATTTAGTTTTTGCAAAGGTGATGAGATTGGAAGGATGGCAATGCTGATTGCTTGTGAATCGTGTCAAATGAAGAGATCACTCTAGATTCCAGTTATTTTACCAGGTTCAGTATTTGAGAGGAATAGTAAACGTTATTTGATGGAACATGAAGCTTTAAGAGGTTTGCACAGACTGGGTGCAGTGGCTCATGCCTGTAATCCCAGCACTGTTGGAGGCCGAGGCGGGCGGATCACGAGGTCAGGAGATCGAGACCACGGTGAAACCCCATCTCTACTAAAAATACAAAAAATTAGCCAGGCGTGGTGGCGAGCACCTGTAGTCCCAGCTACTCGGGACGCTGAGGCAGGAGAATGGCGTGAACCCAGGAGGCGAAGCTTGCAGTGAGCCGATATCACGCCACTGCACTCCAGCCTGGGCGACACAGCGAGACTCCATCTCAAATAAATAAATAAATAAATAAATAAATAAATAAATAAATAAAATAAAATAAAGAGACATGCACAGAGAGACAACTGGGGCTCAGCTTAATCCACTTGTTTTATCAAAGGGGTGAGAGATATAGCTGCAATACAGTCGTCACTGTCAACACGGTGCTTGCATTGACCAGATCAACATTCTATAGGACAGTGATTTGAAAACCTATCTTAACATAGGTTTTACAAAACTTATATAGAGACTTATGTGTCCAAATCAAAAATACCTGAGTTGGGGCAGTGGAGGACAGATTACTAATTGAGAGAGGTTTGCCCAGTGAATTTGGTAGAAATCAGTCACTCAGATACCTAAACAAGAAAAACTAACCTCTAAATTGCTAATTAAGTCATTATGCACAGAGGAATCTTCCGTCTTGCTTATAAGCTGGTTTCCTTTTACTATAAACAAACAAATAGCACTACTTAGTAATTTTTATTAATAGAGTTTCTATATATACAATACCACTTTTAAGTTTGATCTCATATTACTCAAGTGCCTTGTAAAGTATGGAATAAACGCCCAAATTATAAGGAATGTAGAGATGCCAGAGCAGCCTTGCAAATGGCTATGAAAATAAATTAGACCATAGAAAGTTTTAATCACTCTGCCACCCACCAGGACATTCACATGTAATAAAATAGTGAAAACAATATTGTTTTCAACCTGCCTGGCCTAAGTTATTACTCTCCAAGGGCTTAGTGGGCACATGTTCAGAAGCCGAGCAAGAGTACCTCACCACAAATTATTTTTTAGGGAGAAACTCAAGAGATGAGCATATCTCATTCTTCACCCAGAGCCATTCTGGATATTAACTGTCCTATTAACCAAGCCAATAAATTCCTTCTCTAGGCTGTAAGAGAAACCCGCTGTCAAGGAGGATATTTCAATCGAATCCTGAAAAATATTCAGGGCAAGGTTCCAAACTCCGTACATGCTTGGGCTTTTTCGAGTCTTGCTTATTGGTGAAGGTTCTTAGGAGCAGTCCTTACACCTTCTGTTTTTGCTCTGATCATCCGTGTGTAATTAGAATAACCATAAACACACACACTCCTTCAGTTGAGGCATATATTTGGGTTAGACAAAACTTTTACCCTTAGTTTAAGGGAATCACAGTACATGATTAATGCAAGTGCTTCTTTTCACGAAAATTCTGTGAGATTCTTAGCACTGGTGCCCTCAACAACACTTTCAGTCCACTGACTTCTTTCCTCAGATCTTCCTCCAGTATCCACCGTCTCTAACAGTCTTACATATTTGTCTTGAACTACCGAGTCTTGGCACACCTTACTTTTAGCCGCATAACTCTACAAGTCTTATAAAAAGTTTGGCAGTCATATCCTACTTCTCAGCAAGACTTAACAATGATCTTCAGTAAGGTCTCATCATACTAGGTCATCATTATTTAGATAATATATGCTATTAAGAACTATCACAAACAGTTAAAACTAAACTGCATTTGTAAGAATAAAGGAACAAAGTACATATTGTAGTGTGGCCCTCCAGAATGATTCACCAAGACACCGGTTGAATTAGGCAAGGGTCAAATGAGTATAATGAGAAACAGCAGTCAAGCACAGTTTCACTTGCCTGTTGTGAGTGGTTTTGGCTTGTTGAAGTTTGGTTTTTATTTGCTAATACCTAAATACACTATTGTGACATTTTAAATAGATGTCATCTTAATAATCTGTACCTATATGCCTAATATTCTTGCTAAGAGACATTATCTGATTTCCTGAGAATAACAGAATTAAAGTCAATTTCAGTAGTACAAGAAGGTAAGATGAGTAATCATGAGAAAAGAAAACAGATTACTGGACTATACTCCAAGGAGCATCGAAACACTGTCATGGAATGTCCGGTTTCACCAATAATATTGGTCATTCCCACCATTCATCGAGTGCTACCCAAGTGCTGTTTTGTTGTTGGGAAAAAAGGGGTGTAGAATACATGACTTGTCTGAGGTCACCATGGTGGAGCTGTGATTTGAACACAGGTAGGGCTGAATCTGGAAACTTGTTGCTCACCAATAGCATTGTACCTTCCCTCAGTAAGAAAGTGAAAATTCAATCTCTGGAAGAGAAAATTCAATCTCTGTACAGTGGTCAGGCAGCTGTTTCTCTCTTCTGCTTCAGGTCTCAGGCCAGTACCCTGGTACCCCCAGAGCTGATGACTCAAGATTCTGGGAGGTTTTCTCTGGTGATCTCACTGCTGCTAGGATGCCAGTTTGAGAGACCTGTTCTTCTACGGCCACTTCATTAGGGACAGCCCTTGATTAAGGATTAGAGAAAGGAGAGAGATGCCACTTCAGGCCACCACTGCCCATTAGCTCAAGGTGAAAACGGGCTAATGCTCTGGTGACATTCCAAGGCTCAGGACAGGGATTTAATGAAGTGATCACTACCCTCATCAACCAAAGAAAGAACAGAAAGTGGTTTCACTTTGTCCCGCAAGCCATTATTTCAAAAATATTTTCATGGGGAACTAGGACTGGCCCTGCCAAGATACTGGGAGAGAGACACAAGGGCTGATCAAACCAGATTTCTGGGGAGAGGCCAGAGGAGAAGATTAAATGAGAATCAGCCTCCAACTCACCATGTTCCCTGCTCACTGCAGGGATGATTGCACACACAGTAGATGCCCAGGTGCTAGGCTCATTAGGACAGTGGGGTCGGGGAAGCAGCATATTGCAGTAGACCTGGACATTTTCTTTCTTCTTTTACAATAGTGCAGAAAGTTAGGTAAATCACTAAACGCTCTCAGGAGTAGTTTTGGCCTACCCAACGTTACCTGGTCATGACACCATGGTTCACTCTGGCTCAGGAAGCATCAAGAAATAGTCAATGTCCCCCAAGATTGATTTTAGGAAGGCCCTGCCTGCCAACACTCTGCTGACTCTCCTTCATTTCTCAGATTCCAGAACATCTCATGGGTGCTTTACCAGGTTGAGCAAATTCTAACTCAAGGGGTATTCTTTGTATTTTCCCACAAAATCCTCAGCATTTTCCACCTGTCTAGTCACCACCAGGCACCATTCTTCTTGCACAAATTGTCATTGGGCTACAAGAATAATCCTTTCCTCCTTTTATGAACTAACTCATTCTTCTCCAGTTCCACCTGTCCTCAAGTACCTTGTACTAGTTGCCAGGGTTCTCTCATCCATTTTACCTAATGTGCCCGTATTTGACCATCCCTTTGATTGTGTTCTTGCATGCTCAGAAACTGTTAAAAGGTTTTCATTTTCTACTCTCAGAAATAACACTTTTGATCCCAGGCCCATCTTCTCTCTCTCTCTCTCTCTCTCTCTCTCTCTCATTTTCTACTCTCAGAAATAACTCTTCTGATCCCAGGCCCAGCTTCTTTCTCTCTCTCTCTCTCGCTTCTTTTTTTTTTTTTTTTTTTTTTTTTGAGATTGAGTCTTGCTCTGTTGCTCAGGCTGGAGTGCAGTGGTGTGATCTTGGCTCACTGCAACCTTCACCTCTTGGGTTCAAGCAATTCTCCTTCCTCAGCCTCCCCTGTAGCTGGGACTACAGGCGCGCGCCACCACATTTGGCTAATTTTTGTATTTTTAGTAGAGACAGGGTTTCACCGATGTTGTTGGCCAGGCTGGTCTTGAACTCCTGACCTGGTGATCTGCCCGCCTCGGCCTCCCAAAGTGCTGAGATTACAGGTGTGAGCCACTATGCCCAGCCCTGTCTCTTTTCTTTGTTGCACCCAAACAACCTTGTCATCATGACTCTCATGGTGCTCACTCTCTCCTCCCCATGCACCGTGCCTTCATAAATCCCACTCTTTAAAAATCATTCAATAAATGGGGTGAGAGAAAGCTTTTTTTTTTTTACAGCAGAATTCTGATTAATGAATGTGGGAGGAAATAGAAAATTACCATTGACAAACACCATAATAATTGTTGCATTCAAGAATCATATAGGTGGATGATAAATTAGTGGGTGAAAGTAAAATAGGAAACAGGATATTTGAATAGTCTCAAAGAATATCCCCATAGGAAACTTACTAATTACAAGGGAAAAATAGTAACTTTTTAGTGGAGAAACCTGGCAGATACCACTGTACCTTGTTATGAGACATAGTGATATCATGTGCCTCCTGATATGATGTACTGAGAAGGGTACAACATCACTTCTGTGGCATTCTTGCCAAAAAAGACACACACTTATTTAAAAGGATACATCAGACAAATCTAAATTGAGGGGCATTCTACAAAATAGCAGGCCAGTCCTCAAAGTATCAAGGACAAGAAAGAAAAGGAAAGCCTGAACCAGACTGCAAAGGGGTAAGAAAGTGTGACAGTGTGACTACTAACTGACTAATTGCCACGTGTGATCCTGAATTGTATCTTATTCATGGGACAACTGGTAGAATTTGAAAAAGATCTGTGGATAGGTTAATAGTATTGTAACAATGTTCATTTCCTCACTTTGATAATAGTTCTGTGGTTATGTAAGATATTAACATCTGAAGATGACAGATATATAGGAATTGTCTTAGTGTATTTGCAACTTTTTTGAATCTCAGAAATTATTTGAAAATTAAAGGTAAAAAAAGTGTTTAAAACTTACTCTAAAAGTCAGTTTTACCTCTCCTTAAAACCTGCCTATATAAACTTTAGGCAATCAAATCAAACACAAAAATACCTTGGCAGAGTTTAATTTCAAGCTTGGTAGTGAGTGAATAACTATTAATTCAGGGAACATTTATTGAGCATCTACTATGCCCCAGTAATTACACTCAGCAGTGGGGCTTCATGGTTGGGTGCTATACACTTATTTGGTTATGCTTATATGCCTTGTTTTCCCACTTATGTGGAAAGCTCCTAGAAGACCAATTTAATATTTTTTTTGCACTTCTCCACAAGATGCCTAGTTCAATGCCATTTACATAGCAGTCATTTGGTAAAACATATATTGAATAATTCAGTGAATATTCTGTTATTTCCTTTCTCTGAGTCACTGCCCACTTAAAAGCAGGTTGTATGTGGACCTCTTTTTTCTGGTATCAAGCTGCCCTGGCTATTTTATCTCTGGTCTTAGCAATGTGTCCACCAGTCTCTTCCTTTTACCCTCTCCTCCTTCTCCTAGCTCTGTGGGAACACATCATTGTTCCTGCAGTTCCAGGTGCTGTGAAAACACGGATGAAAAGATATACTTCATCCATGACCTTAGGCAAATCGCTTGACCTTTTGGTGCCTCCTTTACTCTGCCTCTAACATGGGAATCCTGAAAATGACTTGTCAAAGGCTTTGACATGCCTCTTCCCAAGCCTACGTACAAATTATCCCTAATTAAGAGAATAAGCTGAGCTCCTTGCAGGAATCTGCTGCTGGGGAAGGCAACCCTGTTCCCTGTTTGGAGTGTTTAGTCAGAGAAAGCTTCCTGTGCTTCAGATATTTTTTGTCCTGCCTTCTCCTGGGTAGATCACAGCTGGCAAAAGCCCCACTTGTTCCTAAGAAACTTTAGCTAGAAAGTCAACAAAATCATATCTCAGCTCTCTACCTCATCAACTCCTCTCTTTCAAAGGAGCCTAATCAACAGGGTGAATAGAGTCGAGCCTGCATGGGCCTACAACAATTTTACAGGGGTCTGAAAAACACAAATAGGAATAGAGAATAGTTATTTTTAAACAACACTGGAATAAGTTTGTAATCTTACAGATTCCATTGGAAAGAAAAGATGTATTGCACCATTTTGGGGGTATTTTGGGCTAAGAGGAGGTACCCCCAGTTCCTGCCTGTCTTTCTTAATCCTGAGTTTGCCCCTGTAATGAGACACACTGTTTATACAAAAGCCAATCTGTTTACTGCACATCTGCCACATCCAAGCCATAATTCTCGATGGCATTTTAGCTCCTCTGTTATTGTCTATACTAAAGGATTCAGCGTTCAAATATAAATCTGCCACTTCATAGAAGATGGTTTACAGAACTGTCCTGATTATTGGCAGCTGAGGAATTGTTAACTATTGGCTTCACCAAAGGATTGCTCTAAAAATGCACATCCGAAGTGAACAGGGCAAGATTTGGAATGAAGAAGGGTGCACATTTTAGAACAGCTTGTGAGCCGCTGTGCTTATGGAAACTGCAGCAAGAGATGCACTGAGACTAAAAGCAGCCAGGAGACACAAGGCAAGCATGCATAAAATAATTGCATTGTTGTGTGCCAGAATTCAAAGCAGGCAGGGGCATGTTACTGTTGTGGGAAAGCTTTCTGTAACCATTCTGAATATACATTCAAAGATGAGTATTTCAGGAGATGTAACAGAAAAGGGAAAACCCAAATATTGTGTTACTCAAGGAAGAGCACAGAGGATTCCCTAAGGAATGGAAACTAAATAAACATATGCATGCTGTGGCTGCCGATAATAGAGACTCAGGCTGTGAGAGTGGGCTAGCCAGTTGAGAGATACAGTATTCAGCATATTCAGTGTGGGCAAGAGTGATAGAAAAATAATCTGGTTAACACCCCGGGTGGAGGCCGAGATGCTACAGATGCAGCTGGATACAGGATCAGCAGTGTCTATCATCTTATGGCAGGGATATGGGATATTCCTCAAAAGTGTTAAATTGATGGAGACAGACCAGCTAAAGTTGCATATTTAAGAAAAGGAAAAAGGAGAATCTCTTTAAGTAACTGTAAAAAAAAAAAATCAACATCCAACATCAGATACATATGCCCAGTGGAATCCAGGCTTTAAATATTTTTGTTCCTGTGAATAATTCCTTAACATTCTGCTAAGCTGGCACTATTTTAGCATAATTCACTGACCCCCACTGACCAATAGACCAACAGCTGGACAGCTAAGCAGCTTTTGGGCATGAACCTGAAATATCCCAGAGAGTAAAAGGAGGCGTTTAAGCTGACTGAAAATAAACACGGCTTCTTCAGGCACTGATTGTATATTACGCTATCTGGCCAGAAATAAAAGATGACTTGAAGAACTAAAGGTCACTTTAAAAGGTCTCAGGGGAAATGGAGAGTTGAACTTTTCTCTTTCTGTTAGTAAAGCTTGATAATGCCACCATTTATATGTTCGGGCAGATCTTGGAACTTTTAAATGGAAATGTTGACAGCTCAATGTAGAACTGCAACTGATTTCCTTGCAGAGGTAGGGTGGTTAGTGGAGAGATGACTGGAATTGGGAGGAGATGTACTGGCTCCAGCACTCCCTAGCTGTCTTACTACAAAATAGTCATGGCATCTCTCTGAATTTTAGGTGCTTTCTGTCTCCACTTGCAAATGGAAGAAAACACCAGCAGCCCTTCAAACTTCGTAGTAGGTATAGTAAGGACCAAAACAAGAGAATGTTTGTGGATGTGCTTTGTAAATTGCAACACACTGTACAAACTAAAGGCTTTCATGAGAACATATTGTTGGGTTGACAGAAAACTCCTAGCTTCAGATGGCTGTTGGAAAGGATTAATGTGGTTTTGGAAGCAGACTGACTTGTTAGACTAAGGCTCAACTACACTGATTAAGAACCAACCTGCAGCCAGGTGCGGTCGCTCACGCCTGTAATTCCAGCACTTTGGGAGGCCGAGGCGGGTGGATCCCCTGAGGTCAGGAGTTCAAGACCAGCCTGACCAATATGGTGAAACCCCGTTTCTACTAAAAATACAAAAATTAGCCAGGCGTGGTGGCACACGCCTGTAGTCCCAGCTACTCAGGAGGGTGAGACAGGGGAATTGCTTGAACCAGGAGGCAGAGGTTGCAGTGAGCCGAGATCGTGCCACTACACTCCAGCCTGGGCAACAGAGCGAGACTCCATCTCAAGAAAAAAAAAAAGAAAAAAGGATCAACCTGCAAAGTAACTTTTACTATGGACACTTCATACCGCAAGTACATGTGGAGGAATGTAATCAGCAAGAAAACTTCAAAAAAGAAAAATATTTTAAAATTAATTTTCATGCCTTTAACACCTTATAAATGTATGTGAATCATTCAAGATTACATCTGCCTTCCTTTCAAACTAGCTATGAGATATTTGATTCTCCTCGACAAACTTCATTTTACAAAACTGGCAATGTCCATAGTTGATTCTTTCAATTGGGTTGATTCCAACCTCCTCAGAAAAGGGTATCAATGGAATAAGTTTGAAGAAGCTCAGCGTTTGTTCACTCAAGGAGCTCATCATTAATTTGCTCTAGGCAGTGACGTCACTGCATGCAAATTGACGTGCCCAGCAGAGAAACCATGCATCAATATCATTTGCTGGGTTCCAAAGATTTGTTTGTATTTTTCTAGAGTTTGGCAATTAAATAGCTAAAATCCTTTCTGTCCCAAGGTTGCTCTTTGATATTCAGGTAATGCTTAACTATTCTGAGAGTTGCAGAAAGTGATTATAAAGAAAATTTAGTTTGTAACTGTGGGGTTGTATAGAAGGTGCAATCTGTAAGTAGCTGGAAATGATTCAGATGATGTTCTCATTCAAACTGAGTTATTTTGAAAAGAATGTTTAATTGGAAGAAATCCTTTTTTTTTTTTTTTTTTTGAGATGAGGTCTTGCTCTGTTGTCTAGGGTGGGGTGCACTGGCATGATCACAGCTAACTGTAACCTGAAACTCCTGAGATCGAGCAATCCTCCTACCTCAGCCTTCCAAGTAGCTGGGACTACAGGCACTCACAACCGTACCCAGGTAATTTTTTATTTTTGTAGACACAAGCTCTCACTCTCTTGCTCAGACTGGTCTCCAACTCCTGGGGTCAAGCAATCCTCTCACCTCCACCTCCCAAAGTGCTGAGATTACAGGCATGAGCCACCGTCCCCAGCCCCAGTCTTTAACATAGTAGAATAACACGCACAGAGCCTGGATGAGAGATACTAGCTTGAAAACACAAATTCTTCCCACAGACCATCTGGAGACAGGAACCTATACCAGGACAGACATCTATAGATAGATAAATTATTATTATTTTGAACAATCTCTATAACATTAATTCACCTGAAAAAAAAGTAAGAGGAAGATGCTTAGAAATCATTTCATTGCCAATAATGAAATGAGGGTCATGTCTTGTCACTTCACCATTGTCAGAATTGATATTTAAAAATAAATTGAGTTAAAGTTTAACAGAGATACCTTACATTTACATAACAGCTTGCAGTTTGTAAGGTAACTTTACACATTAGCTGGATGGAGTCTCATGCTGGGAGAGCAGTTTCCTCATCTGTAATAAAGTAAGCATGACGGCCTCATGGGTATCATTTTGTGGATTAAGTGGACTAACATTTCAAATACCCCCAGCCTAGGGGTAGGTCCTTGAAAATATTAATTTTCCTCTCAACTATGTGAAAGTTGGTGAGTTTGGACCACCTTTGGGAACTGAATTTGAATGACTCAATGGACAAAATGCCATTTGGAATCTCTGATTCCATTGGCCAGAGGGACACTGCAGTCCTAAAGGAAAGCATTGAGTCAGCACCTAGTAAATTATGAATTACTCTTTCTCTTCTCTAGCAGTAGCAACCAATGAGAGGCATTAATTTTAATAAATGCAATGTAACTCCATTCAGGAACGGTCTTCATTCCCAAGGTTTGATCAGTGGCTAGAGCTAGTAGGTGCTCAATAAACATTTGCAGAACAAATGCATGAATAAATGACTCCCAATACCTGATCTCTTTTCTCTTCCCTACCCTTTATGTCCAGCATTTGTATAATTTATACCCATATCTTAAACATTTTTTTCATGTACTTCTCCTGGATTTTCCTATCTCCTTGTCAAAGGTCAAGAGAACTCCCTCATCTAAACTAACACTGAACAGATTCTTCATTTAATTTTCAGTACATGTTTCCAGTGCATAACCACTGCTCTCCTCAGCTCTTAGTAGCTTTGATACATGGGATTTCCTCCACAGAGCTCCTCAGCTTCTCCATATGGACTCCTTATATGCACCCCCCATCCCGTCACTACTTTTCCCATCAATGCTACCAACATAGTCCTTTCCCGAGGGAAACCCTAAGTGATTCCTGGTCCAAGTGGTTGACAGTCAGACTAGCTTTTGATTCAGAAGTGTTTCACCAGGAGAGCCATTTGGGCCCGTTCCTCTAAATGAACTCTAACAGTTACACTGGAAGGGACAGCTTCTTTAATGCCATTCTCTATTTCCCAATGTCAGATTTTAAAACTCAAGGGAAAGTGATATTTATGTCTTATATATGCTCCTGCCTATGATTGTTTTTAAAATGTAATTGAGGAACAGAGGGAAGAAAACACCCGCTATTAAAAGAATTAAGCCAGAGTAGCAACCTCTCCGTGGAAGGTTTTAGTATTCCTGATAACCTGCTCCTTGATTCCTGCCACCCAATTTCCCAATTTCCAAGCCAGAAGAAATGATCATTTAAACAACAAAAACATAATTTTTAAAAAATCAAGAAAATATAGGGGGTAATGGTAGGAAGCCTGTTTTAGTTTTTCTGTGCTAATAGTCTATCTTCAAAATTATAAGACTTCAATACAACTCACTGGACATAAGGGAAGACAGAGGGATAAACATAAACCTGTATTTTTGTCACATTTGACAGGTCAGACTGTTGGTTACTATTTTAAAGGGGCTTTGCATTTATTAAATATTCCATTTACATATACTGTCACAGGTCTGCATTTACAAATGCGCTGTTTTGCATGCATTTTCAGACTGAGAAAATGCAAACCTAATGGGCTCAGCTTCTTGACATTCCACCTCCTTCTCGGTGAAAGTGTTACTTTAAAAATCAACAGCTAAAAAATTAATTGGCCCAGGCGTTTTTAAAGCAAAGATCAGAACAAACGTTTACTGTTTCTTTTGAGGTCTGCACATAATTCAATATTTTAAAATTGAAAAATATGCTGCCTCATGGACCACACTGAGAATGTGGCCTTTGGAAATTTTGGAACAAGCAAATAAAAAAATTTTTAAAATGTAGGCAATATAGAAATGAAAGTAGTCAAAATATGCTCTTCATTGAATGCATCAACATTTCCAGCATTATGACCTATAAAGGTTATAGTTTTGAATGTATTTTAAAAGGTCAGAGCCCCAAGTTCTGGGCGGATGATCACCTTCTGGACAGTACCTAGTAGTTGATAATCTGTAGGATTCACGGTCTTTAAACCGTCATTGACAGGACAGCTCAGATGAGTTCTAGGGAAGCTATTATAGCCAGTTGGAGAAGTAATGCATGCATTTAAAATACATTAAGTATTGTTATGCAGCCATTCATTGCTTCCAACAAAATAAAATGTTTTATAAAACTGCCTGAACCGTGACCGGCTTCTGCCTAGCACGGTGTCTGGTGCTCAATAAATATTTAGTGAATGAAATAAGTATTTGCTAATGTTGATTTCTTTCTTTCTTTTTTAATGATAAAACCAAGCCTACAGAGCTGTTACACCTCTGAGCAAGTGGAAATCCATAGAGTAAATGAAAGGGTTTTGATTTGGGGGCTTACCATCCTGTAAGCTAAAATGGGTAGTCCTTAAGGTTGAAGAGTGGAAATGGATCAAGCAAGAAGTTTGCACCCTCCCCACTACCCCACGCCCTCCCAGAACTATTCTTAACCTGAAATAACACTCACTAGCTCAAGTTCAGAAATTCAAAACAAGAGCTGGGTGCAGGATAAGATTTCAACTTCAGTTTTTGCCCGGCACAACTGACTTTTGTACTTTCCACCCCAAGACTCCTCCCCGAGATCAGAGCTTTGTGCAGCCTCTTCTTAAGTTACAGGGAGTTAGAGCAAAAGGGCATCTCCCGTAATGGAGCTGCAAGGAATCCCTTGCTTAGGCGCTCACGGTTATCTCTCATTCTCCCTCTCCCTTTTTCCCCGGGAACGTGAAATGCTGAGATGGAAATCCTAGGGTGAAGATCTGGGGTCCATGAATGCAGACCGAGCAGAGCTGAGGTTTGAACGACGCCTGTCTGCGGGCAGCGGAGCAGGCGCTCCCGGGAGCTTGGAGGGCGGGGATGGGAAACCTAAGAAATGCCTGGAGCCGGGTTACAGAGCCGCCCCTCGGGCACACAGCGGCCGCAGCGGCAGCCAGGAGCTCGGTGCAGAGGAACAGGGGAGGATACGCGAAGCAAATAACCCAAGTCTCCATCGGACGCCTTAACATCACCGGGAGCTGCGCGCACCCCGCGCCTCCCCCATCCCATTCCCGAGGGCCCGGGAGTTGCAGGGCCTGGCACGGGGTATCCCCGCCGAAGTCGCCCTTTCCCCGGGGACGGCAGCAGCCTCGCTCCTCCCGGGTCTCCAGGATTCAATTCGTTGCCCGCTCCTAGCTTCCCTCTGCTCTGCGACGGCCCCCACTTTTTGTAGCCCCCAAAAGCACGCAGGACCCCACATCCCCAGGAGAGGCCCTGCGGTGTTAGGGCGAGGACAGAAGGGGGAGCTAGGGACGGCGCCTACGTCCTGCGGGGAACTGGGGTGGAGGGGAGGATGGGGGAAACGGGGCCTGCAGAGTCGCCCCTGCCTCTGTGCAGCGTGGAGGCGCCAAAAGCCGAGAAGGAAATGCTCTCTGCCTTCGCCCCCAAACTTCTACTGGCCCGGCTTGCAGTGGCGAACCCCTGCAGGTAGCCGAGCGTGTGGAGAACGCCCTGGCCGGGACCCCTCGGAGGCTGCGGGTGGGCGGGACTGCGGCGAAGGGGACCCCGGCCCGACCCCAGGCGCCACCCTCCGCGGCTGCCCCGTGCGTCCCAGGCCGGGTAATTAGGAGCCCAGCCAGGTGCGCCCCGCAGCCCTACACTTTGTGGGGCTCGACCATGGAAAGCGCCGTGTCATCAGTCTGCAGGGAGTTGCCAAATGACAGAGCTCCCGGCCGCCCCGGCGCCGGCGCCCCGAGTCTCGGCCGCGCAGCCCTGCCGGGCGCCCGCAGAGGAGGCTAAGCTGCAGCCCACGCGGCGGCCGCCGGGTGCCTGCTCCGGGTCTGCGGCGGCGCCCGTGCGGGCGAGAGAAGGAGGCCGAGCGGTCCCACCCGCCCTGCTCCGAGGGACCCCCGGGGTCCCGGCTGGCAGGGAAGGAGACCTGTTGAAAACTCTTAACGCCAACTTGAAAGACAATCAAGTCGCCCGAGCAAAACCCACTCTCCAATCTGTTTTCAAGTGTCATAAACGCTGCACTGCAGTAAGATTGCTGCTCCCTTAAATGGGCCAATAATTTCCAGCTCTCGCCCACAAATTCCCCCAACAGGGGATTTCAATGTAACGCAATTCAAATAAGTAAAAACCACTTTATTGCTTTTCGAAAATTCGCATGCATTTATTCCGCTTAAAATTTGATATAGGGCATTTTTTTTTGTATTACCATTTATCGCTTGCCAAGAAATAATTAAGAATAGGAGCTCGAAGATTAATTTTAAATAAAAAATCTTCTCAAATGAAAATGTCAGGTCATAAAAATTCCTTTTAAATAACAGCATATAAATCTTTGAAATTAACCATGTAATTACAATGTCTATCAACTTTTACCTTGAGCTTTGAGCCTCTCTTTTTAATCTCCCATTCTTTTTTAATGAATAGCTATTTTGAAATTAAAAAGTACTGTTCATTACACATGCCCCACTATAATAGGGTTTTTATCATATTTGCTGTATGTAAAAATACTTGCTACTTTGTAATTATTCACACGCCGATCCTTTCCTATATTGAGTGGAAAATAAAAAATGAAATAGAAGTCAAAGGTGCTTTAGAGCTGAATGATTTACACAATTCATTAAGGACGGTGATTTTTCAGTTAGCATCAGATTAAATGGTTACTTACTCTCAAATAGCCCTTGGGGACTTGAATTGCTGGGTAGCAAACAGATTAAAGTTTGCATTGAAAGAAAAATTGAATTCAGAGGTAATCAATAGCATAATAGGGGCAGTGAGTGGTGCCTGCTGCCTGAAATGAAATTACCATATTTTTAATCTTAATTTTCCACTCTGTTTATCTGACAGTGTGGATGTGCAATCCAAACAGATAATGAGAGAGTGGGATATTGACACCGCTGTCCTCTGGAGTGCTTGTTTTCAGTGATTAAATGCTGTGATCTGTGATTACTTTGTGCAGGGATGTCAGGGCTGCTGGCCAGAACCATGGGAGGGGCACTAGCTCAGCAGCTGTAGCTCCCGACTCTCCCAGGTCCTAATGTCTGAAATTCATTTTCCACCAGTAATATAGAAAAATAAAGATTACCTATTTATGTATATACTTTGGCTGCACAAATTACAATAGTTAATCCCATTATTATTGTTGTCCTGACTCAAAAACGTTTTAATTAGATCGATATGTAGTGAACCCTCTCTGTAAGTTCTGTATTAATGAGCTAACAAACTTGCTTCTTACAGGAAGAGGTAAGTTATAGAAAGCAATAGGTTGGGAAACTTTGAAGGGAAAGTGTATTGTCATTAGAGAAGCAGTAGAGAGGAGACTGGGGCATTGTTAAAGAAATCTAGCCCCAGAGGCTGTAATTATATAACAAGCTGTGATAATTTTAAAAAATGCAAATAGTTTTCTTTGGGTATTGGGAGAAAGTCTTCGTGTGCATTTAATCAAATTAATACCTCTAGCCAAGTAAAAATACCGAATCACAAAATTTTAAAGTTATATAAATCCTATATGCTCAAAATACAGTATCTTTGGATATCTAAATGCACCATGGTGATTAGTATAATCGGGATGAATACCTTATATCGAAGGCATTATTGCATTCTGCAGTGAGGAAATTTACAATGCTTCACGTTAGAGAACATATTATGGGTGCATCATTTGAATTTGAATTCACTTGACCCTGCTGTGTGAATAGATTTACATTAGATGATGGCTATCTACCATCTATACCAACAACCTGCACTGTCCAGCAAAGACACTGTGTAAAGTCTGCGTGTGTTTAGAGAATTTGGTAATTATGCATAGTTAATTAATTTATCCTCCCTTGATACATCTGTGTACCCAAATAAAAAGGACTGAAGAAAGGGTGATGGGCAGCACTGGCTATCTGATAATAGATTATTACACAGTATTTATTTCTCCAAATTGGAGAGTAGTCATAATACACAAGTAATGGTACCATACCTCATTCAATCTTTCCTTAACCTTGGCTGCAGGCATTGTCTTCAGTTCCTAGTGCACATAATAACTTTATTTTTTTCTCAATCATTTCTGATATGCAAAACTCTCTGGTAAGGGAAAGGGAGCCCTAGGCTAAGTACACAGAAATAAAGAGTGAAAACTCACTTTGTGAAAAAGGTGACTGAGCTCCACCACTGGGTGTGAATTCAAGTTTATCAATTCCGTAATTGGCAGCGTCCCACAAAAAAAAAAAAAAAAATCCCCAACTTCCTCAAATTCCCTAACTTCTCCAGTTCGACCCAACTGGTTGAAATTGGAAAGTTTTAATAAATTAATATGTTAACCATTGAGTGGCCACAGGCTACTCTGATCTTATCGCATGTATTACTGATAAAGAAACTGGAGAGGAAATCTATGCTCATAAAAATATTGACCAATGACTTTTGCTCAGTTTCATATTTTAAGCATAGACTAAGGAGATTCCTATGTGTTATATAAACCCACAATGAGAGTGGCACATCTCCATTTTACCACCTGCTTTAGATGTGCTCTGTATGCTGTGTTATTTTGTAAATTGTACATTGTAAAATGTAAAGACAGGTTACATGGGATCCACACAATAAATGAATATAATCGAGTCCCAAGGAATCTTTATCATGGTGCTGGAATAAGCTTAAAATTTTTGCTTAGAGTCTTTTTATTTTTTATTTTTATTTTTTAAATTTATTTATTTTTATTTTATTATTATTATACTTTAAGTTTTAGGGTACATGTGCACAATGTGCAGGTTAGTTACATATGTATACATGTGCCATGCTGGTGTGCTGTACCCCTTAACTCGTCATTTAGCATTAGGTATATCTCCTAAAGCTATCCCTCCCCACTCCCGAATCTTTTTTTAAAATCACAGAAAGATGTATCAGCCAGATTAACAGAATTTAGGCTGAGCCTTTCACATAGAGTTTCAGTACCATTTTGACAATTTATTCAGTATTCAGAAGAATCCATAAACTTGAATATAAACTACATACAGTCCTGTCTTTATTACAACAAACTCATCCAATTTTTTGATAACTTGTATTGTGTTCCCTAAAATTTTTTTTATCAATACTTAAACATGCTGATTCTCATAGCAATGGAATACGGCTGATATATATCCTTTGACATGGAAAGTAGTCAAAATGCTATTGGAACTTTTTCCCTATCTTCTGACTACCTCTGTAATCCAACTGAAACGTAGGTTTTCTAAGGATATAAAAGCCTTCCTCTACCCTTATACCTGCAGTCACCATTCGAAGTTTATTGAGCTTTAGAGCAGACAAAGACTGAGAAAATCCAAACCAATCTCTTTCCTTTCACTTTCTAAATCCTGACATGGTCCATCACCTTTTAAAAATAGTGAGCTGGCCTTCTCCAAAAAGGAGAAAAGAAGCAAATCTAATGGAAAACAGTAGAGAAGGATAATCTAATCTTTAAATAAGGAGACATGTTTCTGAAAGCTTAAGAAGGGCAAGTTTCACACTGATGTCATCTTCTCCTGAAAAATGTGAGCCCTCCAGGAGGTGGAGAGGGAAATATTAATGCTATTAATCCATTGTCCTCGAATCCTTCCTAAATAGATGAGATTTGAGGGAAGGCTCTAGATCACAAGAAGTAGAAGTATTCATGGAAAACAAATGGTTTTCTCCTGATTGGCATTTAGCTTGTTCAGCCATTAACAAGCCAGTCCCTGGAAGAGCCTGAATGTTCCAGTGAACCACACACACAAATGACTGGCAGTTACTTCCTAGACGTGACCCAAGCTTTCCTTCCAAGCCAATCTGTCATGACCCGAAGAAGAAGGAAAATGTACTTATCTCTGACTCTGGAAGTGAAAGTTTATTCTGGGACATCGCTAAGTTGAGTCACATCTCAAGTACATTTTGCATTAAGGAAACAAATCCCAAAAGGGTTTCCTCAAGAAATGGTGGCTCTGTTGGACCCAGTGACAACAGTGCAAATACTTCCATCAATTTTTTCACCTCGAGAGGCCAGATTTTTTTGTTGTTGTTGTTAAGTTTTGAAGACTTTGCTTCCCTGTAGCCTTGGGGACAATTGTGGCAGTAAAAACTAAAAAATAAAGCCACCCATGATGCAAAGAGAGAAGTGACCATTTCTGCAGAGTGGACATAATGAATAGATAATGAGCTTCATAAAGCCTGCATGGAGACACATCTGAGTTACTGATTGCTCTATCACTCATGCCAGGCACAGTGCCTGGCACACAGCAGATAGTAACTATGTGCTTAAATGAATATACAGATACAGCAAACGTTTGAGAACTGCCAGGTCATTTTGATTTTTAAGTGTCATTAGTAAGTCCAGAACTTGAATATTTAAATTATGGTGAAAAGTCAATATTTTCAGGGCTTTCAGTATTTCCTACCTATACTCTATCTAAAAGTTCATTATTCTCCTAAACAACTTAAAAGACAGAGCCATAGATGAGTAATTTGCTCCCCATTTGATTAGATACTGAGTAAAGCACAAATGATCACCTTCCAGCACTGTTAGTTTCCACTGATACCCATCAGATGCTTGAGCTCCACTGACCACGTTGTCTTGACATTTTGCTTCGTATTTTTTTCGCTCTCCCTCCTCCCTTTGAGAAGATGTGCTCCTTGGAGACAGGAACTAAGTCTTGTCTTATTTTCCCTTTCCTGGGCACAGGAGGTACCTCCCAATGTGTTGAATGAATTAAAATATAAGCCTTGTATGGCAAAATCTTATCCTAAGCTGTCCCTGGATTTAAAAAAAAAAAAAAAAAAAAGCTAAGTGATATCCCTTTGGGAGTTCCATTCCCATCTCTCTTTCTGTCTCTCAGTGTCCCCAGGGTCCCCCTCCCTCATCTGTAACATGAAGGCATGGTTCTAGGTGGCTTCTACCTCCAAGATTTTATAAATTGAAGACATTCTTGAAAATTTGTCACCTGACTGGATTTGTTCACAAACTAAACATTTTGGAGACTGTAGTAACTAAGGGAAAAGTAGAGTTTCCCAAATCATCTCTTCTTTCATTCCTTGGGGAAAAGTCATAAGAGAAATGTTTTCTTTATAGAAACTTAACTATCACAAGTGGCTTCACATTTAAATATCTGCACCTAAGTCTTTCCATTTGATTTTTTGTTCTGAGACCCTTCCCACAACCATGAGGCATGAGGGTGTCTAATTATCTTTTTTTTTTTTTTTGAGACAAGGTCTCACTCTGCCACCCAGGCTAAAGTGCAGTGGCATGATCATGGCTCACTACAGCCTCCATCTCCTGGGCTCAAGTGATTCTGCCATCTCATCCTCCAGAATAGCAGGGACCACAGACACTTGCCACCATGCCAGGCTAATTTTTATTTTTTTGTAGAGATGGGTTCTCACTATGTGGCCCAGGCTGGTCTCCAACTCCTGGGCTCAAGCGATCCTCCTGCCTCGGCTTCCCAAATTGCTGGGATTACAGGCATGAGCCACCTCGTCTAGCCAAGACCTGTCTAATTCTTTCAGCCAGAAAACCCCCCACGGCACCCTATCAGTCTTATGGCAGAGAAGAGGCCCATTCTTCTGTTAACCACCATGGGGGTTGCGGTAGCTAGCCCCCAAGATGGCCCGCAACCATCCCCACCTCCTTGTCTTCACAACCTTGGTGTCCCCTCCCACACTGTACCAGATTTTCTTTATGATCAATAGAATACAGAGAAGTGGTGGCATGTCACCTCCTAGATTAGGTTATCCTAGACTGTGGCTACAGGCTCATATTGTCTGTCTTCATTTGCTGTAGGGGAAGCCAGTTGCCAGGTTGCAAACTGCCTTATGGAGAGACCCACATGGCAAAGAACAGAAGCCCTCAGTCCAATACTTCACGAGGAACTGGAGAAGCCAGCTGCCATGTCATGAAGGCATTCAGGCAACTTAGGAGAGGACCACAGAGCAGAAAATGGAAATCTCTGTTAACAGCCAATGGGCACCTGAGGCTGACCAACAACCACATGAATGAGCTTGGAAGCAGATCTCCCAGTCAAGCCTTCTGATGAAACTGTGGCCCAGGTCTGACTAAACCTCAAGAGAGACCTTGAGTCAGAATCACCTACCCAAGCTGCTCCTAGATTTCTGCCCACAGAAACAGAAATATTTGTTGTTTTAAGCTGCTAAATTTTGGTATGATGAGTTATATAGCAAGAACAGATATCAAAATATAATCATTGATCAAGAGTTTTTTTTCAATATTATGCAAACGCCAATTGTACATCTTTAGGAATCCTTTTTATTGTTATGAACCTTTTCTGCCTGCCATAGTAGGTGGTGGAGTCTAAGTGTTCTAAGATGTGGAATGTAAATTAACAATATTGTAAGATATGGAGTCTGCATGATCAAGATTATTTGTTTTTACAGTGTGTGGCAAAATGTCTTCTTCCCTTTATGCCTCTGATATTTAAGCCTTAGGACTACTTTATTCAAACCTATCTCTATAAAATCTTGTGGAGATGTGACCCAGATCAATAACTGCCTTTCTGGCCAATTAAAATACTCATGCATGTATCCAGTGAACTTACAAGTTGAATGAGAACAGGACAAACTACAAGATATTCATTGATACCAGTTCACTAGTTTCCTACCACATTTTGAAAATCAGGGCATTGGACCCATATGCAACAAGAGGCAGTGCTAAAAGGAAAACATGCTTGTAAGTGGAATGCTTGGTATTAGTCAAGACACTATTTTTCCTTTTAAATTCTCTAAAAATGACAACATGACAAATATTTACAAACAAATTAAAAACATACAACTGATTCGTGATTTTGATAGAATGTATATAACACATTTGTTCAGAATATTGAACTAGAAATCAATTCTAGTTTGAATATAGGGATTTTTCCTTATCATCTCACTGTGACTATGAAACAACAGCTACAAATTTATGACAATGTTAATAGTGACTGTTTACTGAGTACTTGTGTGATTTATACATACATTTTCACATTTAATTCAGACTTCCCTTTAAGTTGAATTTGAATAATCGTTATTATGATCCCATTTTATGGATGCAAAATTGAGGTGAGAGGGTTTCAATAATTTGCACACAGCTAGTAATAATGGACCCAGGATTCAAAGCCAAGCTTTTCTGAATCCAAGGTTCACACTGTTAGTTATATGCTATATTGTCATCCTATATTATTATTTATATTAATTGTTTTGATGGCAATATATTAGCAATTGCTGTATTCTTATAGCAAATCCATAACTACCACTAACAACAACAAAAAATTGTCACTTTCAAAAAGATTTTATGTTAAGCTCAAGGTGAGAAAAGGATCTTCCACTTACTGAGAAGACACTCAGAAAGGAACAGTGAAAGGATGATGGTGGTTTTGAGCTTCTAAACTCTCTCTACCCATCTGATGAGAAAGAAGATGGTGTCAGCATTTTATGGACACACTTCCTTCACAGGCCTGCATTTTGTAACTGTCACCATCTCCCAAGGTTTAGAGTTGGCCTTTTGTTTCAGAATATCATTTCCTTTTCAGTGTTCCTATTGAGGGTAAATATGATCTTAATATATTTCTGAGTATTCAATGCCAACCTTTAAAAAAATCTATAAACATATAATTAGATTTTTTTTTCCAGCAGAGAAGGCCATTTATGTTATTCATCTTCCCTTGGAGTCTGAGCTAGAGTCCTTTGGTTTTGCTAGTTAGGATTCAAATCAGGCAGCCTCATCAGAGAATTTCCGGGCAGCAGTCACACTGGCGCTGGGTAATGTTTGTTACTCAGACTTGAGGGGTAATGGGGAAAAGGAGGACGGCAAAGCTCACTAAACTCTTGAGCAGGTTAACATCTTCCGAATACTGCATTGTCTGCTGTTTCTGCCACTCTGTATACATCACAACTGTGAAAGACATCAAAGGAAAATAGAGAGAAATAATACATGGATTCAAACACACACACAAAGCTGCTGAACATTCATTAAAATGCATATCAAGGATGGGCAATTATTACCTCTTACTCCTCAGTTCCAGTAGTACCAATCTGTCTTTTAAAAATCAGAAAAAAACAAAACAAAACGGATTCAGTTCTTTGGTTTTTGTGTAATCTGTGTATGTGCGAGTGAATGTGTGTGATATTCTTTAAGTTAGAGGTGCTGCAAATTCACTGAATAGTTAAGTGATGTGATTCTGATGTGTTTCTTTTTCCTTCCTATTAAAGTGAACTGCCCCATTTTGAGGATGATTTGCTACAATATTACTGCCGCTGCGGTGTATAAATATCTTTGGCGAATTCAGAGTATACATGTTTTTCAAATAACTGTGCCTGACTAGTATCTCCATAGGGTCTCTATCTCAGACTTCTTAAGTTCATTCTCTTATTTCCTAAGTTGTTGTTTTTCATTGCTTTCTTCTTTTAAACCAGATGCTTCTTTGTACCTTCAGGCCACTACCCCCATTTTAAAGATGGAGAAAGATATAAAACATTAGCACTTTATTCAAGATCACAGATAAAAACCTCATAGCATAGGTTTATAATATCCCGATTTACTGAGCTATGTACCTAGATTAAAGCATCCTATATATGCTTTATGCACCATTGCTCCAGAAAGGATAAAAGTGATCCCTGAATAATCATTGACAGCAATCACTGGGGAAAAAATGTTATCTTGACTCAGACAACTGTTATAATAGCAATGACAGCACTAAAAGAGAAAAATTAAATCAATGATTTCTAATTAGATTAAATTGGTATTAGAATACACTTTTTATTTCTGTTTTATCAGATTAAGTAAACTTTGTTTCCATTTGTCTTATTTTTGGGAGATTTAGACAAACAACATCTATTTGAGTCATTAAAACAGTTAATGCAATTTAAAACACATTGAAATACATTCTTTATTTTTTTGCTGGCATAATCTCAGACTACTTTATGAAATATCTCTCTGTTTAAGGATACTAATGTTTTACTTTACTTTTAGAAATTTGCAACTTAGATGAGTGAGTTAATAGTTAATCAAAATAGTTTAAACCAGAGGGCTCCAGACATTTTTTGATAGTGTATACCTATAATTAAGGAAACCTGAACATACGCCCTAGCCTAGGCATGTTTATTTTTCATAAAGTATACACATGTACTACTTCATATCATAAATATTAATAAAGCTTAGTTTCTTTCTTACATTTTAGATTTAAAACTATCAGTAGAAGTTATACTTTTCTTCCTCCACCACAAAGGTTGATTTTGGACATATCCCATTTAGACAACTGATATAAACTATTGTGAAGTTTCTACTTTGCAAGTGAAGGTGCTTCTTTTTTTTAACTTTATTTAAAGTATTTATTCTTTATCATTCATGTGTAACTGTTATATTTGGTATTTGTGTAGTTTTATTGCAATGTTAGTGTGAAAATAAACACCATAACATTAAAAGACTAAAGCATAATTCAGTCTTCTGATCTAAAAGCCAAGTGTGTTAAGTGTATGTAAATCAGAGTATCTAGAAGTGTCAAGTATTTGAAGGTTTTCTATAAGAAAGTGGCTCCAGGCTGGGTGCAGTGGCTCACGCCTGTAATCCCAGCACTTTGGGAGGCTGAGGCGGGTGGATCACCTGAGGTCAGGAGTTTGAGACCATCCTGGCCAACATGGTGAAATCCTATCTCTATTAAAAATACAAAAATTAGCTGGGCATGGTGGTGCGGGCCTGTAGTCCCAGCTACTTGGGAGGCTAAAGCAGGAAAATTGTTTGAACCTGGGAGGCGGTGGTTGTAGTGAGCCGAGACCGTGCCATTGCACTCCAGCCTGGGCAACAAGAGTGAAACTCTGTCTTGAAAAAAAAAAAAAAGCTCCAGTTTGTTTTGTATCTTTCTAGAAAGACTATTTGGGACCCAGTGGAAGGTACTGGGAGGCAAACTGCTTTGCTCAAGGAAGAGCATTTTAATTTATAGATTTATTTAAAATATAGACTACCCTAGTGCAACCCGTCTTATCCCCCGATGCAGTCAATCCCCTAACTAAGTAGGGTTCGGAGCTGCTGGGGAATTGTAGCCAGATTCTTGCACAGGGAAGAAGTTGGAGCAGATAATCTCAGGTTCCTTTTCATTCTTAAGTTCTGTGATTTTATAATAATCAGATAACAATTATTCAGAAGCCCAGTAACGTGGAATCCCTTTGCCACAAAGAGGTGTATTGACTGTGTTCAAATGCGCAAAGGCCATGTAGGAGGTGGAGGTTGAAGAGAGGTTCCGCTAGTCCAGAACCACAAGAAATCCAACTTCAACTGGGCAGAAGAGACAGTAGGGAGCTTCAGTCACCACATTTTGGATTAAGTGAGTTTCAGAAGGTTCTCCCATAAAGAATCTTTGCAGAGGGAATAAAAAATTATCCATCTGAGAAGGTCTGAACTTAAAAGTCAGGAGTAAGCTGATTCACTCTTGGTTAATTAGCTAAAGCTATTTCCCCTGTCCCCACTCCAACCACCAAAGAAAAGAAGGGAAACTTCCAATAGAGTATAAAGTGTCATTTTAATGCTTCTTTGACTTGCTTCTTTTGTTTACGAGAAATTTACTCTGAGTCAGTGGGCAGGGGCAGGCTAATCATGCATTATCTTATATTAAAACAAAAGAAATATGTTGTATGATTCCTCACAGATCCAGAGCCAGAGGCTGGGTGTGGGTTTCTTGTCTGTGCAGTATCTTATAAAAATAAATGAACCAGAGAATAAAGATAAGATGAAAGTTCCATCACTTATAGGCATGAGAGGCAGAAAATGCTCAGACCCTTCTTCCCGGGTGATGTAAACAGGCAGCATCGTCAGTGAATAGTTCTACTTACTGAGGGTTTCTGGGAGCAGAAATCAATGCTGTTGCTTACGGGGCAGGTGCAGTGCAAATAAAGCCCCTCAGTGCTGTCCTTGGGCTCAAAGAGGCATGAGATCACACAGTTCACACAGGCCACAAGAAAGCTGCCAGCTCTGCCCATCTGGAGGCCGCTGTTGTGATCAACTCCCCATAGAAGTGGGCACCCTGCTCTTCTGCCTCTGCTATGCAGCTCACAGAGTCCTTCCTCAGCAGAGGCAGGGACAAAGCAAACATCCTCTTTTTCAGGCCATGTCCAGAGAGTTTTGCCTCTGGCTGGTACATAGACTCAAAGATGAAAGCATCAGTTTTACCAACTGGACAGTTAGTGTTTGCTGCATGATGCTCTGATGGTTTGTAACCAAAGTTGGGGTAATTTGGCTTACAAAATGGAAACCTGTATGTCTAAAGCAAGCCAGTGATGAGGATAAACTCAATGAAGACTCTGCACTCCATAATTATTTATATGCCAAGAACAAGTCAAGTAATGATTTAAAACATGGATTCCTTAAAATGTTGCCTGGAAGATTTTATAATTTGCTATAAATCATGAATATTGTCTAAATCTGTGCATATGTTTGCTCTTCAATTGTATTTCGAATAATCCTTTATGTCATGTGAATGTAATTATGTAAGTTCATTGAGTTGATTTCAAAGCTTATGAGTTTCAAATTATTTCTTTATTTAGAGTTTTAATGGGCTTTCATAATTAGAACAAAATATAGAAAGTAACAGTAAATTCTATTGTCATTAGCTGTAACTTTGACAATTTTTAAAATTCAGAGTATAATGATGTATTTAAGGTTTAATTGAGCTTTATTAGTTTTATCCCAATAATTGAGAAATTATAATGATGTAGGCAAGAACTGAGCCAAAGTTTACCTTTGTGCAGCCTATAAAAATATTCTTGGTAAACCAATGAATATTGCTAGGAGGCCCCAAGCTGGCCAAGTGAAGTAGGATTTATGAAAGACTGATGTACAAACTCCCAAATGATAAGGCTGTAGCTTCAGATGTAGATACATTCATGCCTCTGAGTTATGTCCTTACATTTGACTGTCTCTCATGCTCCTTGGACAAGCCCATCACAAGCAGATTCTTCTGTCTTCACTCTCAAAGCATAAAATTGTGTCCAATTTCTGGGGATATCTTATTTTAGATAGTGAGTGATTCCATGAACAGTGAAGCAAATTGTGAGCAAAATAGAGAAGATGAAATATTATTGCAATAGTCATTTTTAGAAGCAGGTATAACTTACATATCATACAATTAACCCATTCTAAGTGTACAATGAGTGATTTTTGGTAAATTTTCAGAGTTGTGCAAATGTCACCATAATCCAGTTGTAGAACACATTTATATTACTCCAAAAAGGTCCCTTGGGTCTGTTTGCAGTCAACTCCTTCTCCCATTCCCCAAACCCCATGCAACTGCTAACCTGCATTTTGTCTCTGTGGATTTTTCTTTTTGGGGCATTTCATATAAAAGTAGTCCTAAAATGTGCACGTAGTCTTTTTTATCTTGCTTCTTTCACTTAGCATAATGTTCTTGAGATTCATTAATATTGTAGCATGTATCAGTACTTCTTTTAATTGTTGAATAATATTCCATTTTATGAATATGTCACATTTTGTTTATCCATTCATCATCAGTTTGTTTCCATTTTGATTATTATGCACTACCTGCTAAGAACATTTACGTACAATTCTTTGTGTGGATAGGCTTTCATTTCTCTTTGGTAGATAACTAGGAGTGCAATTGCTGGGCCAGATGATAAATTTATGTATAACTTCTTAAATGAAACTATCAAACTGTTTTCCAAAATGGCTGTTCTATTTTGCATTCCCGCAAACAATGTATAAGCATCCCAGTTTCTCTTTATCTTTGCCAAAACTTGTTATTTTTTCCCCACTGCTGAAATCTATCATGCATTTATTTATTTATTATTTATTTTTAAATAATTTCAACTTTTATTTTAGATATGGGGGTACATATGCGGGTTTGTTATGTGGGTATATCATGTGATGCCAAGGCTTAGAGTACAAATGTTCCCATCATTCAGGTAGTGAGCATAGTACCCAATACGTAGTTTTTCAACACTACCCCCAACCCTGCTCCTCCCTCTAGTAGTCTTCAATGTCTATTGTTGCCACCTTTATGTCTGTGAGTATGCAAGGTTTAGCTCCCACTTGTAAGTGAGAACATGTATACCTTACTTTCTGTTCCTGTGTTAATTCGCTTAGGATAATAGCTTCCAGATGCATCCATGTTGCTGCAAAGGACATGATTTAATTCTTTTTTATGGCTGTGTAGTATTCCATGATGTGTAAGCCCCATATTTTCTTTAGCCAGTCTGCTGTTGATGGGCACCTAGGTGGATTCCATGTCTTTGCTACTGTGAATAATGCTGTGGTGAACATATGAGTGCACATGTCTTTTTGGTAGAACAATTTATTTTCCTCTGGGTATATACCCAGTAATGGGATTGCTGGGTCAAATGGTAGTTGTATTTTTAATTTTTTGAGAAGTGTCCAAACGGCTTTCCACAGTAGCTGAAATAATTTACCTTCCTACCAACAGTGTATAAATGTTCCCATTTCTCTGCAGTCTCCAGCATCTGTTGGTTTTTGACTTTTTAATAATAGCCATTCTGACTGGTATGAGGTGGTATGTTACTGTGGTTTTTTGATTTGCATTTCTCTGATGATTAGTGATGAGCATTTTTTCATGTTTGTTGGATGTTTGTTATGTCTTCTTTTGAAAAGTATCTGTTCCTGCCTTTTGCTCACTTTTTAATAGGGTTATTTGTTTTTTGCTTGTTGATTTAAGTTCCTTATAGATTCTAGATATTAGAACTTTGTTGGATGCATAGTTTCCAAATATTTTTTCCCATTCTGTAGGTTGTCTGCTTACTTTATTGATAGTTTATTTTGCTGTGCAGAAGCTCTTTAATCCAATTAGGTCCCACTTGTCAATTTTTATTTTTGTTGCATCTTTTTGAAGACTGAGTCATAAATTCTTTCCCAGGGTTGATGTCCAGGATGATATTTCTTAGGCTTTTTTTCTAGGATTTTTATAGTTTGAGGTCTTACATTTAAATCTTTAATTCCATCTTGAGTTAATTTATGTTTATGGTGAAAAGCAGGGTTCCAATTTCATTCTTCTGCATATGGCTAGGCAGTTATCCCAGTACCACTTATTGAATAGGGAGGGCTTTCCCCACTGCTTATTTTTGTCAACTTTGTGAAAGATTAGATGGCTGTGGGAGTGAAACTTTATTTCTGGGTTGTCTATTCTGTTCCATTGGTTTATGTGTCTGTTTTTGTGCCAGTACCATGCTGTTTTGGTTACTGTAGCCTTGTAATACAGTTTGAAGTTGGGTAATGTGATTTCTCCAGGTTTATTACTTTGGTGAGGACTGCTTTGGCTATTCAGGCTCTTTTTTCTTTTTTTGGTTTCACATGAATTTTAGAATAGTTTTCTTCTAATTTTGTGAAAAAATGATGTTGGTAGTTTGATAGCAATAGTGTTGAATCTGCAGATTGCTTTGAGCAGTATGGTCATTCTAATGATATTAAGTCTTCTAATCCATGAGCATGGGATGTTTTTCCACTTTTTGTATTATCTATTTTTTTCAGTAGTGCTGTCTTTTTTGGTTATGGCCATTCTATCTCTAACAGTCATTTAATACACATTAACTTCATTAATATGTGAGCTGATTGGAGTGGTAAGCACCATGGCCAGGGCCAGAGAGACACAGATGATGGAGTCAGTGCTCAGTCTATTCCATGGCATTTCACAGCTGGAGGCACTGCTGTGATCTCCCTATGGAGGTAAGGAACTGGAAAGACAATGAGATAAAAGACAGGGCAAGAACTATACATTGTATTTGGGTGTGTATAAGATAGATAGTAAATGGAGGTATGGGGTTTCCAAGAGAAAATAATGAAGAAATAGATAAGAAGGGTCAGGGTGACCTCTTGGGGGATCCCATTTTTGGGACCCTTGCTGAGTTCAAAAAGGGGTTATGAGTGAATCATGAGAGTCAGTAGGATGGAAACCCAGGAAAATCAGCATTTCAAGGAAAATGATAAAGTTAACAGTGTGAAACACTGCAAATTAGTTGCAGAAGATAGAGCTTGAAGAAGGCCATTGGATTTAAGTGCTAAGATCAACAATATCCTTAGAAAATTCAGTCTCAGTAATGTGATGAGGAAAAAACATTGTGAGAAGCTACGGGAATTGGAAACAAGGATTATAGATGATGCTTTGGAGAAACTTGTAGAGAAAGGAAGAAGAAAGCATAGTAGAGGAGGCAGCAAGCTTGAGCAAAGGCAGATGTCCCCTTTCCCATGAACCCCTATGGTCACAAGAAAGGGGGGAACTTGACTTTTTTTGCAGATACATTTGTAGATCTAATTTCTAGAACTGTGAAGATAGGGCCTGAGTATCATACCCACCAGATCCATAGTTGGTTGGACAAAAGAATACAGAGGCCAATGTGAGACCCATCCTGAGTAACCAGCATTCCTGCTCTAACCATGTTTCTTCTCTTTCACTTCAACACTTCCCAGTTCTGCAGACTCTAAACAGACTCTAAACCAGGCCCTGGGCCTTGATTTCTCCCTTTTCTTCATCCCACTAAAGTAGACAATGAGAGTCTATTCCACTTCCTCCATATCATCTGCATCCTCTCCCTGTTTGCTCTGACAAATCCTGCCTTCTGGGTTCTCTAACTTTAGGGGAATGAGTCTAATGAGTGCAGACCTCATTAGACTGGTCTCTTTACTGCCAGTCCCCTCCCCACTCTGACTCTGGCCTGTGCCTCTTCCCTCCTGAGCAGAAGGCACCTAGGCTTGTCTGTCAGGCTTATTGCCTCCTTCCCTTCCCATGCACTCCCTCTGCTCACATCCTGCAAAACACCTGCTGTTCGCTGAGCATCTTCTCTCGTGTTCTCTTCCTGATTCACTCTCCTCTCTCAAGATGGAAAATTTTCACTCACCCTTCCAAGCTCAACTCAAAGTATCACCTTCTTTGGAATCATTCTGACCCTCTGCCACTCCCTCCCCAGTTAATGCTGCTTCCACTCAGTTCCTTCATCATAGGGTTTCTCAGCCTCAACCCCACTGACACTTTGGGCAGGCTAATTCTTTGCTGTGGGAGCTCCCCTGTGTGCTGCTGGATACATCACAGCATCCCTGGCCTCGACTCGGAGGATGCCCGTACACTCCCTTCTCCTACAGTTTGACAACCAAAAATGTCTCCAGCCATTGATAAATACTCCCGGTGAGTGGAGCCTCACAATTGCCTCCGCGGGAGAAGCACTGCCTTACAATCAATGTGTTAGCATTCCGGAACTCCTTACACGGTGTGAACATAACCTCTGTCTAGCACTGGGCCTGGCATATAGTGAGTGCACAGAAAATAGAAATTCAAATATGCAGAGAAGTTAAGAATGTGATCTTTAGAATCAGACAGGATTTTCATCTTTTTTCTAACACCAGCTGTGTGAAGCTGGAAAATTATTTGACTTCCCCAAGCCTCAGTGTTTTCATCATAAAACGAAGGTAATAATGCTGTCAGGGTTACGGTGGAGATTAAATGACACCATTATTTGTAAAGGTCTAATGCACACTTTGGGGCAGAGAGAAAATACTAATGAATGATGCTATAAAGAGTATCCTTGGCTGAGCACGGTGGCTCACACCTGTAATCCCAGCACTTTGAGAGGCCGAGGCGGGTGGATCACCTGAGGTCAGGAGTTCGAGACCAGCCTGGCCAACATGGTAAAACCCCATCTCTACTAAAAATACGAAAAAATTAGCCAGGCATGGTGGCGGTCGCCTGTAATCCCAGCTACATGGGAAGCTGAGGAAGGAGAATTGTTTGAACCTGGGAGGCGGAGGTTGCAGTGAGCCGAGATCGCGTCATTGCACTCCAGCCTGGGTGACAAGAGCGGAGTCTTGGCGGGGGAAAAAAAAGAATATTCTCTGCCTGTTTGACTGCCCAGGCCCCATTCTATTCCTTTCCCATTGTTGGGAGGTTCCCAAAGCATGGCACAGAACAATTGCTCAGTACACTTTTTTTGGATGGGGCTAAAGCGATATAGTGAAGATATTTGTGTGCAAAGTTTTCAGGATGTGCGGAGGAGTCAAGCAAACACAAATAGGGCAGGCGAAGTGGACAGGAAGAAAGCTGCCAGTAGATGGCCTCTTCCTGCTTTATCTTTTTCGCTCTGGCGTCCCTTCCATTATCTGATCCCTGTGTTACTTTAAGCGACTTGAGGAGAAAGAAAATACAAATCAGCAGCTGAACTAGTTGCAGAACAACTCGGGTGGTATACTATGCCTTTTATTCAAAGATAAGTGTGTGTATGTTTTACTTGTCCTACTAGGTTATAACCCGCCTGAGGGCTGAAGGTATTATGGCTTGTTTCGTTTAAATCTCTCTTTTCCAGAACCGTAGTTCTTGGCAAAGATGATTGGTAGATGAATAAATGAATGTCTGACATTGATAAATCTACCATTCAGTAGAGCAGTGTTTCTCGGAGCTTTTCCTATTGTGATAAGGTATCAGTGATGACCTGTTATGTTCTCTGTCACAAATCCATTATTTTTACATGGGCAAGATGATTGACTGGAGTTAGAGTGATAATTTGGGGCTTTGAGACAGCAAGATGGGTTCAGCTTTAGCAGAACTAGCTTTTTTTTTCTAGTTAATTTTTTACTAGTATAAAAGAATCCTTTTGTTGATTATCATCATTGCCAGCAAACCAACTTAGATGGCAACTGTTGACACAGAGTACAAATAAGAAAACTGGAATCTATTCTTTCAGGGAATTTTCCTTAAAGTGTAGCGTTTGGACAACCTATCAGAATCACTGACGAGAGGTGCTTTTTAAAAACATGGTTTCCTGGGCCCTCTGTGAGACCCACGGAATTATAATATGTTGGGGAAGGACCTCCCTAAACTTCTTTTCTTTTCTAATGCACACTAAAATTTGAAAACTGCTTTAAAGAAAAGAGCATTTAGTGTATATAGTCAGCTTCTACTGGGAGCTTTATTCAACATGCTTGGTTACAGTAGGCAGTTTCACTGTTCTTACAGAGTATATTTTAAGGTCTTGAGAGACATCATCATAGAGTTAGAAAAAGAGCTCTGGTTTGCAGTGAGAAGACCTGAGAATGGTCTGTCAATGTCTGTGTCTCGGGTCAATCAGAACTTCTTTGGTCTTCAGACCTCTTACCTGCTGTAAGAGCTGTTGGTCTTCCTGAGTGATCCAGATGTTCCCTGATAGCCCAGACTTCAGTGGAACCATCATCTTCAAAATCCTCACTGCTGTTTTATAAACAATAATAGTAGCAAACATTTATATACACTTACTCATTTAGTCCTTCTCAACATTTCTTTAGGGTAGGTTAACCCCATTGTACAGAGAGTACTACTGAGGCACAGGGATGTTAAACAACCAGGAGAGGTTAAACAGCTAAATAAACAACCAAAAAGATTATGTTATATATGAAATAATGATGTCTATATTAAAAAATCAAAATATTTCTATATTCAAAATAGTAGAAAGCACAGTGGACAGGGAGTCAGGAGACCTGGGTCTCACGTGAGTTGCTATCACTAGTTATATGACTATAGCTGGTCACTTAACACCCTGGTTCTTATTTTTCCCTCAGTAAAATGTCATTCCAGAACATTCCAGGGTTCCTTCTAGCTTGTAAAAAATCTCCTTGTGCGATCCTCAGTAGCATTCCTTAATGTATTTTGTGTACTGATTACGCTTTTTTTTTTAACAAAATGCTCAGTATACATCAAAGAATGATTATCATTAAAGATTTGCTTCAAAAGTATTTTCTTTAAATCCCTACGTCATATTCCTATAAATGAGTATCTATTAGACAGAGGTATAAATATTTTAAAGATAAGCATTATATTTCCAAAGATTTATTTAACTTTCCTTTTCTTCATGAACCTGTTGAAAAATGAGGATGTCTTGCCACGGATACCTCGTGTACCCAGAAGGGGCTGCCAGAAATGGCGAAATAGCTTGACTAATCCAGCTGAAGTTAGTTCTTCCTGTCTTAAAACAAGGTGAAAGCTCATACAATTATTCATTTTGCTGTGAAAATTTCATCTGTTTTTATAGAAGAGTCTTCCCAATGGGTCATATAGACTCCTATAAGCAAGCACACCCCAACTGTTTCCTTTTCATAATTATCTAAAGCACAGACGAGCCTTGAAAAGACAATTGTATAGCTTCTTGTGTTGCTTCATGGGCTTTAAGTGCCCACAAAGAGGATTCCTTATGCTTTAATTTCTCTTTATTTTTCTCACCGTAAAGACCCTTGGGGTAAATGCCAGCCCCACAATCCCGCCGTTATATGGTTACTGTCAGCCTGCTCAAATGATGCTTCCTGTTCATTAGGCCTCTTTTCATCTGACTACAATGTCTTGGCGTTGCAGCAATTCTTAGTCAACGCCCATCTCTTCAATAGCCTGTGAATAGTATTAAATGGTGTTTATGCTAGCTATTGTTGCCTTTTGTGTGGTTTGTCTAATTCACAGAGAAAAGTCTGCTTTTGTGGTCGAAGACCAGCTACGTCATGGCACACCATGTGCCTTCTGATGGGACCCAGTCCTGCTGAGTGATAACATTACAGGCCTGAGCTTCTTTGCAACACAATCCCGCATTCTTAACCACAGTCAATACTCTCACAGGCAGACTGGTTTACTCTTTTTATTAAGAGGTAGGGGAAGATAAAGCACAAACAAATACCAGACCCTGAAACAAAACAGAAAAGAAGGGTAAGTTCAACTGATTTGCAGCTTACTCAGGCAAGAAGTGAGAATGCAAGTGAAAAGAAAATCACGGATTTATTCTATTAGCAACCAGACGTGCCAGGTGTACCCACGGTGGCAGCAAATACTTCACATTTCAGGAGTAAGATTGCATTATGGTTTCGAGGTATTGTTTAAAACGACACTTAATACCGAGTCACCACTCTGCTGGGCTTTTTCTAAAGTGCTCACAAAAGAGAAAGGATAGTGTATTGATGATTACATTATCCTCTGGTTCAAGAGTCTTTGCAGGGCAGGTATGTTGCTATGTCTTGAAAGGGCTTTTGATGTAAGAGGATCATTATGGGCTCAGTGGTCATTGATCCCTGGCAGCCCTGGGTTTTGGTGCTGTGGGTTATTTCATCCTGTTGCGTTGCATAATCCGTTTTTCAGCTATCTACAGTCTTTTTTATATTCCTAATGGTGGCTTATATTTTATTTTATTTTGTTTTTTCCCTTGAGACCAGAAGTGCTTCCCAGACAAAGTCAGATGCAGAGAAAGGGAAAAACTTTACTGTTAGCTGATGATACACATCCTTTGGTATTGAAAGCATCTTTCTGAATTATGGTTCGGGCTTATTTCCCTCATATCCTTCTACTTTCTGACATCAAAACCAACCCAAATGTAAAACTGAACCCAGGCACAGACAAGGAAAAAGAAACTAGGAACCACGGCTCAAACATGTTACAGACTCCATGTTTTCTAGAAGAGAGAGTATAAACAATATTATTACATCGACATACACTGACAAAATGGGATGCTTTGAATTTCTGTTTAAATTTCTGAAAGTTTAGTTTTCTTTAATGAGAAGTTTCAAGGAGAAAGAGGCAAATTCCCCATTTCACCTCCAATCCAAGAAAAGCATAAAGGTTGCTTTTCAAAGGATCAGGGAGTTATTTTTCCAGGATGAGTCATGTCAACCCAAGAAAAGCTGCCCCTCCAACTTGGGCGACAAATATGTATTGTGCCTGGTATGACTCTAGCATTGAGCTGGTTGCTGTAGTAGGTTATGAAGAAAATAGAATTTGCAATATCTTGAGGAAAAGTGACACTATAAAGAGATCAGGGCCAGGTGCAGTGGCTCAAGCCTGTAATCCCAGCACTTTGGGAGGCCAAGGCAGGTGGATCACTTGAGGTCAGGAGTTTGAGACCAGCCTGACCAACATGGTGAAACCTTGTCTCTACTAAAAACAGACTAAAAAATTAGCTGGGCATAGTGGTGTGTACCTGCAGTCCCAGCTACTCAGGGAGGATGAGCAGGAGAATTCCTTGAAACAGGGAGGCGGAGGTTGCAGTGAGCCGAGATCATGCCACTGCACTCCAGCCTGGGTGACACAGTGAGATTCCATCTCAAAAACAAACAAACAAACAAAAAAGAGTGAGAGAGATTGAGGATAATTAAGTACCAACGAGGCAGGGTGATGACAAGCCTAAACCGGGGCAGGGCAGCCAGGTAAGCTCAGGCCACTGGAGAGCAGGCCTGTGTTGCATTTGCCCTGGCGTCTTCAGACCTGAGCACAGGGGATGCCATATTACAGGGGCTGGGTGAGTGGCGGCTTCCTTTCAATAAGTCTCTTGCTGGAAGAACAACAACAAATTAAATAGAGAGGAGAAGGGTGGGGTCACTACAAGTGAGTAAGTAACAAAAGCAATTGCCAGGGGTTGCCAGGGGACAAGAATAAACTTTAGGGGATGGAACCTGAGCCTGGAGCAGGGAAGTCCTAAAGAACATGCTCTTTCCTTAATAGCAGTTCTCTGGTTGAGAAAACCAAGAGCAATGTGGGTGGTAAGAAGTGAGTGAGAAAGGGGAGCTACGAAAACATTCAGGCGAGTGAGTCGAACCTGGTGATCAGTGAGACGGGGGACAGAGAGAGATGGGCATTTCAACCATTTCAACCTGTCTGACCAGACCGAATCACCCACCTATCTGAGCAGACCAACCAGAGGAGGCTGATGTCTTAGGAAGCAGCAGGGTAAGGCTTATCAGTGGAGGCGGAGGGGGGTTGGTGGCAATTGTAGGCATTTCGACTCCAGAAAAACAGTCTGCACTTGATGAAATGGGTTTTCATTCATTTATTCATACATGTGTTCGCTCATTTGAGATGCATTTAGTGTGAATCATCATATTTATTTGGCAAAACACAGTGCCAGAGGCTCCTGTGGATATCAGGAAAATTTGAGATTCTTATAATGGCATGCCAGGCTCTTTATCCCCCAAATATTTGAATCTCTACAGTTTGGGTTACTTGGCCCACATGAGTGCTCACTCCTCTTCTTCATGGTTTACTAAAAAAAGAGAACATCTGGTTCCAGAGGATGGGCTCTGCTGTGCTGCTGTTCCTTGCCGCATTCACTCATTCATTTATTCATTCACCAAATATCCATTGAGCCAAAAAATGTATCTGAAACAATTTAAACTCTGATGATAGAAAAATCAAGGGAGCACTGGGCGTGGTGGCTCACGCCTGTAATCCCAGCACTTTGGGAGGCTGAGGCGGGCAGATCACCTGAGGTCGGGAGTTCGAGACCAGCCTGACCAACATGGAGAAACCCCATCTCTACTAAAAAAATTACAAAATTAGCTGACATAGTGGCACATGCCTGTAATCCCAGCTACTAGAGAGGCTGAGGCAGGAGAATCGCTTGAACCTGGGAGGCGGAGGTTGTGGTGAGCCGAGATCTCACAATTGCACTCCAGCCTGGGCAACAAGAGTGAAACTTCATCTCAAAAAAAAAAAAAAAAAGAAAGAAAGAAAGAAAAGAAAAATAAGGGAACATCGTTTCTAGCTTTGAGGGGCTCACAGCTAAGTGGCAGGATCAGACATACCAAGAATAATTATATGAATGCAATCCTTATGCCAGAGGGTGCTGTCAGAACACAGAGGACGAAATGCCTACCTCTGTCTAGAGAGGCTCAGGGAGACCACAGAAGAGCTGGTGTGTAAGTTACGTCTTGAGAAAGTCTGGTCAACCTTGATATACAAGGGAGGCAATGGTATTCTAGGCAGAAGGGCAGCGTGTGCAAAGGGAGTGCTCCTCGTGTTCAGGGAACCGTGAACAGCTGGGTACTGACAGGGTGAGGATGGGGGATGATGCTTGGAAAGGTAGGCGGGTGAAGACCAGGATAGGTCTTGGTTTCATTGAATTTCACCTCCAAAATTTAGTCTCCTGCTTTCTTCAATGTGGTCAAGCTTCACTTTTGTCTCTACCTTGGTTTGTTTGCTAACCGAGGCCCCACCTTCCCCGCTTGACAATTTGCATGTGGCCAAACCACTCCTCACCTCTGATGCCAGCTACTTCATTCCTAAACCTCTGCCATTGTCTACAACCAACTTCTCCTGACTGAAGCTGTGCCAGCTTTCCCACTTGCAGAATCTTGAGTCTCAGGAACTGAAGGGATTTTTAAGATCATCGGACTAGTGGCTTTTTGTCCTTTTTTTTTTTTCCTGCATGAACAGACATGATAGATGATCTTTTCCTGCAAGACACACTACCAATGTTGCACACATATATTTGACTGCAGCAAATAGGATGAGCAGAAACTCTGTTCCCCCCTTTCCAACTCAAGTGATGCTTAACGGAATGCCAGCAATTGAAAATGCCATTACTAGAGGACTAACACTGAAGCTGCCAGCATTGGCCCCCTTAAATCACAGGTAACAAATTCCCTGTGACTGATCTTATATCTGATCTCAGCCAGTGTTTAATTCCTTTTAAAACACCCTTGGACTTCAGCTTGAATGAGCCTGATGATGGAAATTTCACTCTCTCATAAGACAATCATTCAATTCTTGGGAAGCTTCAACGTTAGACAATTCTTTTTAAATGGAGTAGGAGTCTCCCTTCTATGACTTCAGTTCTCTTGTCCTAATTTCATCCTCTGTGGCTACATAGATAAATATAAGCATACCTCTACCTAACAGTCCTTTAAATATCTAACAATGATTATTCTCATAACAATTCCCCTTTTCTAGTTTAAATATCACAAGATATAGTTTCCATTCTTGGGAGAACTTTATTTTGTCAATATAGCCCTTACAATATGACACTCAGAACTAAAACAGTACTTCCAGTGTAGGCATACCAGCAAAGCATACATGTGGGACTCCTGCTGTTTTTATTCTGGATGAAATATTTCTATTAATGTAATTCAAGATCTCATTAGTTCTTCTGGCAATTCTGTCTATTGGCCAGTACTGCAATTTTCATTAAGTTAAACCCCTGAAATGATTTTATTTGAATTACCAGTGGTTTAGGTGTCTCTCACCCTCTAATGTTCAGGCATTTTTTAACCTCATTACAGAACTTCACATTTATCCTGATTAAATTCCACCTTATTAGTTTTGCTGATTGTTCCAAACTGTTAAAATCAATTTGAATCTGCGTCCAACATCTAGCATATCAACAATCCTTCCATCTTTGTACCATTACTAAATCTAGTAAGCATGCCTATTTTATTCTAGTCCAAATATTTAAGCAAAATATCAAACAGGTGGAACTAAATACAGAGACTAGTGGTATGCCACTAGTGACCATCTTCTCCTTTTACGTTGCATTGATGTTAATCAACATTAATATAATAAAATATTTTAAATAATTGTGAATCCACTAAATCCATCCTATTTGTCTGTTGATATATCATGAATGATATTATCAAAATAATATTATTTTGGCAGTCAAAATATGCAACTCATTTGCAATGAAATTCTTTTGGAAATGCAAATGAAAGTTACCATTTTAGTTCAATGCACTCTCATACATGGAAAAGAAGGTCTTTTAAATTCTCACTAAGAGAATGAGTAAGAACAGAAACTATAAAATGAAAACAACTAATTTGTCAAATGTTCATATAGAAAAAAAAAATCTCAAAGGCAAAAGACAAGCAAAAAACTGGAGAACTAACTGGAACATAGAAAGGGTTAATTTCATTAATATACAAAGAGTGCTCATATGAGTTTATTTTTTAAAAAAGGTGAACAACCCAAAGGAAAACGGGCAAAAGACATGAACAGGCAGTTTATACACCCACAAAAATGGCCAACTAACACCAAAAAAATGTTCAAAATTACTCACAATTAAATAGCTAGGAATTAAAATACAGATGAGATACCATTCTTCCTCTGTCAGCTTGGTGAAGATTTAACATCTGATTGCAAGCAATGTTGTTAGGAGCATGTGCAAAGAAACTTTCTCATATGATTTGTTGTAAATTGGTACCACCTCTGTGGAGGTCAACTTGAGATTATCTGTCAAAGTTTAAAATACATGTACTCTATGGTCTAGCAATTTTGTTTCAGGATTTTGTCCCACAAATATGTAGTGGTCCTATAAGGTATAAAGAAATAGAGAAGTTCTACAGGATGGACTGATCTATCCCATGTCAGCAATGTGACCTTTGGCAAGTTGCTTAGCCCCTTTAGGACTCAGTGTCCTCACCTGTAAACTTGGGATAGTGGTAGTCTCTGCCTATTGGGATCTTGTGAGAAATAGAAGAGTTCTTTAGAACTGTGCTGGGCACATAGTAAGTGCTATATGTATGTTCACTTTTTTACTACTGTTATTTAGAAAGGTGTCTATTTCAACCTTAAAAAAGTCCATCAATAAAAGATCAACTAATTAAATCATGGTGTATACATACAATGTGATATTATATGATCATTACAAAGAATTAGGTAGTTTTGTAAATGTTGATTTGAAACAATGTCTAAGTTATACATACACTTACGTAAGAGAAAAAAAGCAGAACGGTATATATATGATCTTAACTGGGTAAAAGATAGGCTATGTCACATATATGTGATATGTGCATTACGGTTTTTTGTGAGAATAGACTATTAGTAGTGGTTATAGCTGAACTGTGAAACTGGGGAGGGAGAGAAAGGCTTTTAATTTTCCTTCTTTTTTTTTTTTTTTTTTTTTTTTTTGAAACAGGGTCACATTGCGCTCTAGCCTGTTGCCCAGGCTGGACTGCAGTAGTGCAATCATGGCTCACTGCAGCCTCAACCTCCCAGGTTCAAGTGGTTCACCCACTTTGGCCTCCCAAGTAGTCGGGACTACAGGCACGCACCACCACACCCTCCTAATTTTTGTATTTTTTGTAGAGATGAGGTTTTCCCATGTTGCCCAGGCTGGTCTTGAACTCCTGAGCTCAAGCCATCCACCTGCCTTGGCCTTCCAAAGTGTGGGATTGCAGGCATGACCTACCATGCCTGGCCTCATTTTCATATTATGTCCTTCTGTACTGTTTGACTATTTTAAAAATCATATATATATAGTACTTTTATACTAAAAATATTTCTTGCAATCTATCCAAGGTAATTTTTTTCATGAAAGAGAGGTAAGCATCTCAATGTAACATGCTAGAAAGGGAAAATCAATGAGAAAGACTTTATCTGGGTATCTCCAATATTCTCCAAGAAGTAATGGGGTATTCTGGCACTTGGGAAGCAACAGACACCCTACATCTAATCCAACTGTAAGTCCCGTTGGCTCTACTTTCAAACTATATTCAGAATCCAACCACTTCTCATCACTGCAATGACCAGCACAGCAAAGTGAGCCTCTACTCTTGCTTACTTGGATTCCTGAAATAGTGCCTTTCTCTGCCCTCAAAAATCTATTCTCAACAGAGTAGCCGGAGAGGGATCCTTTAGATGAATGATCATGTCACTCCTGTGCTCAAAATCCTCCAAAGTTTTTCCATCTCACTCAGAGTGAAAGCCCCCATCTTCATAGCATCCTGGAAGGACCGAGTTCATAGCAGCCCGGAAGGAGCAAGCTCCCTCACTGTGCATCTGACATCGGCTCCTAAAGCTCTCCCTTCATTCTGCTCCAGACATGAGGGCCTCCTTGTTTGTTCCCTAACATGTCTGGCTAGCTTCCACCTAGGACTTTCGCATTTGCCATTCTTCAGCCCAGATACACACAAGGCCAATTCCATCACCTCCTTCAAGTCTTTACTCAAATCTCATTTTCTCCATGAAGCTTACTCTGACCACTCTTCTTACCATTGCAACCCACCTCTCCCTGCAGAGTTGCACCACAAGCTCCTTTATTCCACCCCCAACCCCAGTGTGTACCACGCTCTAAGGTATCTATTAGTTTCCTGGGGTTGACAGGACAAAGTATCAGAAAGAGGCGGCTTTAAACAACGGAAATTAATTCATGATTTTGGAGGGTAAAAGCCCAAAGTCAAGGTGCCAGAAGGGCCATGCTCACTCTGAGACTCTGGGTGGAATCTTTCTTTGCCTCTTCCTCGCTTTTGGTGGTGGCCACCAATCCTGGCCTTTCCTTGGCTTGCAGCTGCCTTGCTCTGCTCTCCGCCTCTGTCATCCCATGGCCTTCTCCTGCTGCTGTACCCCTCATATTGATCATACTCCTGTGTGATCACATTCTAACTTAACTACTTATATCTGCAAAGACCCCATTTCTAAATAAGCTCACGTTCTAAGGTACAGGGGGTTAGGACTTCAACATATCTTTCTGGTCTGGAGGACACAGTTCAACTCATGCCACATATTATATAATTTAATGTTTTATCAGAGTTACTGTTGTTATTGTCTTTCTCTCTGCATAGAATATAAACTCCATAAGAAATTTCTTTATTTTATTTTATTTCTTTGAGACAGGGTCTCACCCTGTTACCCAGGCTGGATTGCAGTGGTGTGATCACGGCTCACTGCAGCCTGGACCTCCTGAGCTCAAGTGATCCTCCTGCCTCAGTCTCCCAAGAAACTGGGACCACAGTCATGTGACATCATGTCTGGCTAATTAAAAAACTTTTTTCTTTTTGAGACGGAGTTTCTCTCTTGTTGCCCAGGCTGGAGTGCAATGGTGCAATCTCGGCTCACTGCAACCTCTGCCTCCCAGGTTTAAGCAATTCTGCCTCAGCTTCCCAAGCAGCTGAGATTACAGGTGCCTGCCACCATGCCCAGCTAATTTTTGTATTCCATGCCCAGCTAATTTTTGTATTTTTAGTAGAGACAAGGTTTCACCATGTTAGCCAGGCTGGTCTCGGACTCTGACCTCAGGTGATCCGCCCACCTCGGCCTCCCAAAGTGCTGGGATTACATGCATAAGCCACCATGCCCAGCCCAAAAATTATTTTTATTTGTAGAGATGAGGTCTCATTATGTTGCCAAGACTGGTCTCAAACTCTTGGACTCAAGTGATCCGCCAGCCTCAGCCTCCCAAAGTACTGGGATTACAAGCATGAGCCACACCGACCCCCGCCCAGAAGGAATTTCTTTTTGTCATTTTTGTTTACTGATGAAACCCAAGGGTCTGGAGCAGTAGCTTAACTGTTGGTAGACATGTAGTCAATATCTTCTGACTGATACTGGGTATCATCACATGAATATACTGGTCAGTAAGATCATTCCATCTGCTATGCTCTAATTAATTATCCTGCTACCAAATGTTCTTTGGTTTCTTTCTAAAGAAAACACTGAGCAGCTGGAGAGAGATTCTAGCTATCTAGTGGTAACATTTCTCGTTGAAAACTTATTCTGGACACCCAACCTTCAGTAACTTATCGAAGTTGCCATTTAAGTGTACCTACATGTTACGGCTCTAGCAGCTTCTCTCTAGCAAAACAGAGGGAGATCTGTTCTACCAAACTCATAAGACTGCCATGAAAGTGGTCTGCAGCTTTCTATAATGCCACAGCAGCAACCTGCGATCCTGCCACAGCTTTCTTCAGCCTCCTTCCCTGGGGGAGACAGAGGGCCTAACCCCAGTCCTGGATTCAAGGCATGAGCCTGTTACAGTGCCCCTTGCACACAAGCACTGTGAATCCCTTTCACTCTGAAAGGGACATATTTCTGTTTACTGCTTCCTACCTCTGGACTCAGAGCTCAATAGACCTATATTTTAGCCCTACTCACAATTTTATTTTCTGTCCTGTTTCTGATACAATGAAGCACTTACCTTGCATTTGAAACCAGGCTATGTTTCTGTTTTTTTTTTTCTTCTATGTTTTATCTGTCATTATTATACATTTGGAGCTGAGGGAATGAATCATGATCTCTCTGGGTCATCTTCAGTAGTTCTCAATTGTTCATAATCAAAGTTTATTACACAATATAATAAAATGTACTAAGTGAAAAAAAGATGGGTACACACATATCTAAGAGGATATTTCAAATATATGTTCCATAATGAAATAAACATAAGGCTTGTACTAAATGTTAGATCCATTTAATTGTAAAAAAATTTTTTTGAGAAAGAAATTGCCCTAAGATACTACAATGGATCTGCATGATGGTTTCATAGGTCTGTTTGCTGTTTAAAAAAAGAGAGAGAGAGAGAAAACTTATTCTGGCTTACAACTCAGCCTTTCATGCTTTTGGTTAGTGTGAATACAAGCTGGGTAAGCTGATACAACTGAATTTCTGAAAATGCAAAACTAAGGTCCCGACCCTCAACCTGTGCCCCGCAAGGAAAAAGGCGGTGGAGATGCAGAGAAGTAGACAGCTGACCATGGGTGTTTGCAAGGGAAGGGCAGGTGGTGGCTGTGTTTTAGGATGATGAATCTGGATGTGGTATGTGCTTTGGCTTATAAGAAGGGTGGGGACAGAGAGAGACAAGCACAGAGCCAATGAAATCCTTGTCTCAGGGCAATAGGAGTGTTGAAAGAATGGCAAAATTAAATGACATTGCAGATGGAAAAACATCAAGATAGAAGTTAGGGAGTGATTCCCACACCAAATCAAATCATTGCATAAGATGAAATTGGGCGTAAAGACAAGAGGAAGTTATGAAGGAAGGCCGTGTCTTTCATGAGTTAACATTGCTGCTGTTTTGTTGCCACATGGTTCTTTTGACTCCCCCTAAGCTGATGGCAAGCGTGCAGGGAGCATGACGGCATTTATACCCTGGTTTTGTCTAAAAGGAGCAAGCTGAGTTAACAAGTGATTTTATGTTCTTCTTGGGTAGCTCAAATTCCAAGAAACCCTCCACAGCTTTGGCAGCCCAGTTCAAACCAGAGACAAGGCTCTAAGATAACCCAGCAGCTCTGAGTCTACAAACATCACATCTTTACCCCCACCACCAGCCATGTTATCTGGCCGGGTACCTCCAGTCTTTCCAAGGACCCGACTGATGGATGACACATTAGGGTGGAACTTCAGTGGTATCTCACACTCCTTTAGCTCCCAATTATATATTTCATGGTTTAAAGAATCAGATTTTTTTCTGAAAGTGAGTTAATCTTGATTTCCAGAGTATTTGGACAATCACTAAAAGCTGTGGTGGACTATAATTTTAGGTTCTGCTGGGATTTCACAACATAAAAATCAGGTATTGAAGTCCACCCCACGTATCGCCTCCTTCCACGTACAAAAATTGATTTCCAATGGTTGAAATTTACACAATAAAGAAAACCTTCATTTTCAATTCTGCTGATAAAAGAGACAGTATCTGCAACCTCCTCATTAACTGACTTTTCTCTTTTCTTAGATTCACTTCTCGAGGGAATCATTAAACATAAGAGAAAATGATTTGTTCCTATTGATTAGATGACGTGCCCATCTGACAGCCATAGTTTTTTATTAAAATTATTAATTATGTCATTAATGTAATTTGCAGAATCAAGAATAAATTACTCAGGATCTGACTGTGCTGCTGGTTATGATTTTAAAAAATAAATAAAAGCGTCTTTAGAGGAAATAAATCTTGTGAAAACAATAATGGATGAAAAGGCCAACCGCTCACTTTATAAATCACCACAAAGTAAAGGAAACTTCCTCTGATTACTTAAGTGGTGAGCACAAAAAACGTAGGTTTCTCAAAATATCCATTTTCCTATTGTGAGATTCTAAGGGTCATTGCTACTTGCAAGCACTTAGAAAAGATGTCTCATTGTTCATTGAGATTCCTTTCTGATTCTCATAAACATTTCATTGCTTAAGGTTAATAAGTTGTACAGAGTGTGGTAAAGCCAGGCTTGATTTGGGTCTCCCCAAAGTCTCTCCTGAACTCTGTGTTCATATTGACTGGGGATACTGTGTGCTTGTGTAATTCTCAGTGACTTTTCTTTCCTGGTAATGATTGCCCATAAATTAATTATGACAAGCCAGAATTAACTGCTCTGTATCCTGGCTGTGGCTGACTGCAAAATTCTAGCCTCTAAGTGAATGTCTGGGTTTTGAAACCAAGTGAACCTTTGGAATTCTCTAGAAAGAAAACTGATTTCAACAGGTGCAATGTGTGGACTCTTTTCCCATTAGATTTTAAGGGCCTTAACTGTCATCCCTGCCAGTTATTTGGGAACACAGAGCTGCTTATGGGTATTTTTTTCTGACATTTGACAGGTGTCCAGCATGGGAAAAGAAGTTTTCATTTTACCATGTGGGAGAAAGTGTAGGTTGGGTTGGCTTCCTGGGCGCATGAGCTATGCAGTCACACAGGATCCTCTTACTTAGAAGCCTCAGCACTTGTTTTAATGTTCTGTGCTGCTGTCTAGAAATTCTTCATTTTGGAATAAGAGGCCCTGCATTTTCATGTTTCCCTGGGCCCAGCAAATTATGTAGCCTGTCTGGAGTGGAGGGCTAGCGTGAAGCATATATTCACATGCCAAAGTATCCTTCAGATTCAACAACCACAACCCATTTGCACAAATCAAAGTCTAAGTGTGGAATGACCGTGTCTCCCATAGTGTGAATTTCCTTTGTTTCCCTTCCTTTCCTTATTACAATCATGGGAAAATGCTCATGATAGCCCTGTTCATGTCTTTGAGGAGTGATGAGAGATTAAATGCTGAAGATTAATTTTGCTGATAGTGAATAGAAAATTCCTTGGACATAGGTTCTCTATTCTCGGAGAATGAATAGGAGTTTTTGAAGTTCTCTGTTAAGCAGCATGTGCAGCTTTGTTGTGTTGTTGTTTAACCAGTATTAAAAAGTGAAATTATTTTTGGATTTGGCTCCCCTGGGAACATATAATGAGACCCTACTCTTTTTTCAGTCATGTAAAATTAATGTAGTACCTACCCATTATATGGGTAAGAAAACATAGTCTATGAAAAGATGCTCAACATCATTAACCATCAGAGAAATGCAAATCAAAACCACAGTGAGTGATCTCTTCGTACTTGTTAGGATGGCCACTATAAAAAGATTGAAAACAAAAAACAAACAGAAAATAACAAGTGTGGGTGAGGATATGGGGAAGCTGGTATACTTGTACACTGTTGGTGGGAATGTAAATTAGTACAGCCATTATGGAAAATGGTATGGAGTTTCCACAAAAATTAAAAATGGAACTACCATAGGAGTCAACAATCCCTTTTTTTCAAATTTTTTATTTTTTTAGACAGTTTCGCTCTTGTCGCTCAGGCTGAAGTGCAATGGTACGGTCTCAGCTCACTGCAATCTCCACCTGCCGAGTTCAAGCAATTCTTCTGCCTCAGCCAATGATCCCATTTTTGTATCCAAAAAAAATTGAAATCAGAAGCTCAAGAAGTTATCTGCATTCCCATGTTCATTTCAGCATTATTCAAAATAGACAAGAGGTGGAAACAACCTAAATGCCCATCAATGGATGAATGCATAAAGAAAATCTGATACCTATACACAATGGAATACTATTCAGCCATGAAAGAAGGGAATCCTGTCACATGCTGCAACATGGATGGAAATCGAGGGCATTATGCTAAGTGAAATCAGCCAGACACAGAGAAGCAAATACTACATAATTCTACTTACATGAGGTGTCTTAAATAGTTAAACTCATAAAGGCAGAAAGTAGAATGGTGGTTGCCAGAGCCTAAAGCTAGGGGAAATGGAAGAATTGCTGTTCATCAGGTATAGGGTTTTAGTTATGCAAGCTGGAAAACTTCTAGAGAGCTGCTGTACAATTATGAGCTCATAGTTAACAATATTGTACTGCACTCTACACTGAAAATTTTGGTAAAGCCTAGAGCTCATGTTATGTATTCTTTACCACAATAAAAAAGCAAGCAAGCAAGCACAATCAATTCCTGTCTTTAAGGGCCACATAGGCCCTTGATGCCTGTATTCTCTCAACACCACCACATTCACACATACAGATAATTAGTCTGGATTACTTTAGTCTAGCCTGGGCACAGTGGCTGATGCCTGTAATCCCAGCATTTTGGGAGGCCAAGGCAGGAGGATCACTTGAGTTCACGAGTTCAAGACCAGCCTAGGCAACACAGCAAAACCCCATCTATTAAAAAAAAAAATTAGCTGGGCATGGTGACATGCACCTGTAGTCCCAGCTACTGGGGAGGCTGAGGTTGGAGGATCACTTGAGCCCTAAAAGGCAGAGGTTGTAATGAGCTGAGATTGCTTCACTGTGATCGAGCTTGGGTGATAGAGCCAGACCTCATCTCAAAAAAAAAAAAATAATTAGATTACTTTAGTACAGTTTTAGTTGCTCTAGGTTTACTTTATCCAGAGGATGGGAGGTTGTTTTTTTTTTTTTTTTTTTTTTTTTTTTTCAAGGTCTGGCTCAGTTGCCTCAGGTTGGAGTGCAGTGCAGCAATCTCAGCCAACTGCAACCTCTGCCTCCGGGGCTCAAGCCATCCTCCCACCTCAGCTTCCCATCTCAGCTTCCCAAGTAGCTGCGACTACAGGCAGGCACCACCATGCCCAGCTAGGTTTTGTATTTTTTTGTAGAGACAGGGTTTTGCTGTGTGGCTGAGGCTGATCTCAAATTCACGAGCTCAAGCAATCCTCCCGCCTTGGCATCTCAAAGTGCTGGGATTACTGGCATGAGCCACTGCACCCGGCCTCAGAGGATGGGAGTTCAGTGCAGTTGTTTCCATAAAGGGCTGGGGCTGGGGTATTGGTTACATTTACTGGGCATGCTTCAGTAGCTGAGAGAGGAAGTGCAGTATTTTTCTGCTGGTAGATTTAGTGTTGGCCTCTTTCTTTTAACTTAATTGGTGATTGGAGGTGTTTATATTTACCTTTGATCTACTTCTAACAGCTGAGGAGAAGTGACAAATTTTCTGCTGCTCTCTATGTCAAGTCCTGTAGTAATTGTCATCCTGGGACCCACGTTGGATTTCAAGAGGCCCCTGTCCTTCCTTGAGTGCCTCCTGAACTCAAGAGGTATTGTGAAAGGACTGAGCAGGGCTAAGTTCAGCAGATGGAGTTTATCACATTGGTAAAGTCTTCCACAGTGCAGGGTAATGTTTGGAAAGTGTTGCACAGTATGACTCTTGTACATTGGTTTAGGTATATTCCTACCTACACATGTTATAGTTTGCAAAAATGGCCCCAGTCCTTTACCTGTCCCCACTTCATATCGGTGGCCATGTCATTTTTATACCCTTCCATTCTAACACTGGCGTTAGCCATGCAACCTACTTTGGTCAACAGGATATTGAGCTGACATGATAGGAGTAGAAGCTTGAAAAGCACTTGCATCATTGGGTTGGCTCACTCTTGCTCTCTGTCACCTTCCTGAGAAGGACATGCCTGGGCTAGCCTGCTGGATAATGAGCTGGGCTGTCCTAGATCAGCCAGTGACAGCCAACTGGTCCCCCAGACTTGTGAACAAGCCGAGCCGAAACCAGCAAATCTGTCTACCAACTTGAAGCCTAGCCTTTGCTGTTGTAGCCAGATCAGTTTAACCTCATTGACTCATAAGCTGAATGTGGGTTGCTATAATCTATTGTAGTTTTGTGATTGTCCTGTAGCCTTATCGTGGCAATAGGCAACTGATCTATGTGATATCGTGTTGCAGAATGCACTTTCTATATATTTAGGAGACCAGGAAAGGTATGTGGGGTGATGTCTGAAAATTCTCCTGTGAATTTGGACAGTTAGTGGGTGGAAGTGATTGCATAACCAGGTGGGATAGAGTAATCAGAGGCGGAAAAAACCCCTCTGCAAGTAGAAAATATAGAAAGAGCGTGAGAACTGTAGTTGAGTATCTGAATAAATCCAGTAACTGTGCTCCTGTCATCTTCTTAGCTCCAGGATCTCATGGAGGGCTTGGCACTAAGAAGGAAGGAATCGATAAATGTTAGTAGAGCAGAATTGAACATTGACTCTCCTGCTTTATTTTCTATTCAGCACATCTCAATCCCAGTCTATAAAATTCAGAGCCACCTGGCTATATGTAGACATTTCCTGAAATGTGTCATTTCCTTTCGATGGTGGCTGAAAGACTGATTGTTAAAAAACGTATTTAAAAATCACTAAATTAGAATGTTGTGTAATTTAGCTTTAAATTTCTCTCTGCTGAACAAATCCATTTAATGGAGATTATGCAAAATAATAGGGTAACTGTTATTTGATAGCAAGTATTTAAAATATTTAAAAGAACAAATGGTTTCATTCACTCTGGCTTCCAAAACAGGCATACATATCTATCGCTAACATTTGGTGCCTTTGAGGCAACATTTAGCGAATTCTATATATTAAAACACAGTTTATACCTGAAAATAGTTAACTTTATTCCAAAAATGGTTTTATTTTTAAAATAAATGAATTAGATGGCTTTTATTTTCAGCAAGTGCAATTTAGTGAAGTTTCATTACATTTAGAAAAAACGTAATCATGCATTTTTTTGTTCATTTTGGAAGAGGTTTAAAAACTTTAAAAAATTTTGAATTTTATTTGGAAATCTTAAAATTTCCAGAAACACTATCCTGCCTCAAACTACCATCTGATAAGAATTTTTTTTTTTTTTCGACGGAGTCTCGCTCTATCGCCCAGGCTGGAGTGCAGTGGTGCGATCTCAGCTCACTGCAAACTCCGCCTCCCGGGTTCACGCCATTCTGCTGCCTCAGCCTCCCAAGTAGCTGGGACTACAGGCGCCCACCATCGCGCCCGGCTCATTTTTTCTATTTTTACTAGAGACGGGGTTTCACCGTATTAGCCAGGATGGTCTCGATCTCCTGACCTCGTGATCCACCTGCCTCGGCCTCCCAAAGTGCTGGGATTACAGGCGTGAGCCACTGCGCCCAGCCAAGAATGTTATTAGAATGATCTTCACAGGTTATTTTCTCCCATTTGAAAATGGGTTTGTTACAAAAATCGATTTTGTAAGGTTTGAAAACATTGTATGAAGTCACTTTTTCACTATTTTCTTCCCTACCCAACTTGTCATTTCTTAACCTTCTTGTAAGAAGGAGGCTGCCATTGAGGATTCTGGAATTGCAAAAGGTCCTGATTAGAAAGATGGATTAAAAACTTAAATGTAAAACCGAAAACTATAAAAACCTTTAAAGAAAACCTAGGGAATACCATTCTAGACAGAGGTCTTGGCAAAGACTTTATGATTAAGATGCCAAAAGCAACTGCAACAAAAACAAAAATTGACAAGTGGTACCTAATTAAACTAAAGAGCTTCTGCATAGCAAAAGAAACTATCAACAGAATCAACAGACAGCCCATAGAATGAGAGAAAATATTTGCAAATTATACATCTGACAAAGGTCTCATATCCAGAATCTATAAAGAACTTTAACAAATTAACAAGCAAAAAACAAGCAACCCCAGTAAAAAGCTGGCGAAGGAGATGAACAAACACTTTTCCAAAGAACACATACATGTGGCCAACAAACATATGAAAACATGCTTGGTTGGGCATGGTAGCTCACAGTTACAATCCCAGTACTTTGAGAGGCCGAGGTGGGTGGATTGCTTGAGACCAACATGGACAACATGGTGAAAACCCATCTCTACAAAGAATTAGCCAGGTATGGCGGTGCGTGCCTGTGGTCTCAGCTACTTGAGAGGCTGAAGTGGGAGAATCACCTGGCCTGGGAAGTTGAGGCTGCAGTGAGTCGTGATTGTGCCACTGCACTCCAGCCTGGGCAATGGAGTAGAATGCTGTATCAAAAAAAAAAAAAAGAAAAAGAAAAAGAAGAAATGGGGTCCACATCTCTAATCATCAGAGAAATGCAAATCAAAACCACAATAAGATACCATCTCACACCAGTCTCAGTGGCTATTACTAAAAAGTCAAAAAATAACAGATGCTGGTAAGGCTGCAGAGAAAAGGGAAGGCTTATACACTGCTGGTGGGATTGTAAATTAGTTCAGCCACTGTGGAATGTAGTGTAGCTTTAAAACTTAAAACAGAACTACCATTCAACTCAGTAATCACATTATTGGGTGTATACCCAAGGAATATAAATCATTCTACCAAAAAGACATATACATGCATATGTTCATTGCAGCACTATTCACAATAGCAAAGATATGGAATCAACCTAAATGCCCATCAACATAGACTGGATAAAGAAAATGTGATACATATACACCATAGAATACTAGGCAGCCATAGCAAAGAAAGAGATCATGTTCTTTGCAGCAAAATGGATGGAGCTGGAGACCATTATCCTAAGTGAACTGATGCAGAAACAGAAAACCAAACACTGCATGTTCTCACTCATAAGTGGGAGCTAAACATTGAGCACACATGGACACAAAGAAGGGAACAACCGACACCAGGGCCTACTTGAGGGTGGCGGGTGGGGGAAGTATGAGGATCTAAAAGCCACCCATTGAGTACTATGCTTACTATCTGGGTGATGAAATAATATGTACACCAAGCCCCCATGACACACAATTCATCTACAGAACCAAACTGCACATATACACCTGAAACTAAAAGTTAAGGAAAGAAGACTTTTATTTCAACCAGACTGTGCTTTATTCATGTTACATACCTAATATATTTCTATACACATGTGATTTGAGCTAGATCACTGATAAGGGACATTTGTTTAGAGGAAGAATTGTGTATTTGTCCAAATAAATCTTTGAAGATACTGTAAAATTCCATGAGAAAAAAAAGGAATGCCCCAGTTGATTGTATGTTTAGCTCTGTACAATTCACTCATGGATAAATGTATACCCAAATATGCTTTCTTGGTTCATAAAAAGTTTAGCCCAAAATAACAAACCAACCACCCCCTTGATATGGTTTGGTTGTGTTCCCATCCAAATCTCAACTTGAATTTTATCTCCCAGAATTCCCATGTGTTGTGGAGGAACCCATGGGGAGGTAATTGAATCATGGGGGCTGGTCTTTCCGGTGGTATTCTCGTGATAGTTGATAAGTCTCACAAGATCTGATGGGTTTATCAAGGGTTTCCACTTTTGCTTGTTCCTCATTTTCTCTTGCCGCCCCCGTGTAAGAAGAGCCTTTTGCCTCCCACCATGTTTCTGAGGCCTCCTGTGTGGAACTGTAAGTCCAATTAAACCTTTTTTTGTTCCCAGTTTCGGGTATGTCTTTATCAGTAGTGTGAAAATAAACTAATACACCCCTCTATCCAAAATAATGAAGCTTTAAAAATGTACACTCATAATTTAAACACTACTAATTTCATTTTGGTATTTTAATAAGAAGAAACACATGTAGAAAGTCTGCTGCCTTGATATAAATTCAGCACAAGAATGAGAAAATGTATGGAAGACATTTTAAGAGCCTCATTTAATACTTTTAGGGTCTTAGGTTTCACTCCATCAAAACAAGTCATCTAACTGCCTGGAAAGTTAGCAAAATCATTCCTTCTGGTGGGTATGTTTTCTGAATGCCGAAATACTGGATTATAAGATTAGATTTTATTAGTGTGGGCACTAATTCTATCTAAATCTTATTAAACTTCTACTATACCCATAAGGCTTGTTCAAGATAGGAAAACAATTTTAAAAAGAGAATTATAGCAATCACATAGCTATTTGAAAAGAAAGGACTAACTGTAACATACAGATAATTAAGGAAAAATTATTTTGTCCTTTCTAAATTGTCTGGGTAACTATCTTAATTGTCTACCTGGTGTGCCGAGTGACATCTGTCCTGAGGTGACTGTAAATCCCAGATTTTAGAGAAGATAATTCTAGGAGACTGACAGAAGGACTAGGGAGGGTAAGAAATTGGGGACAGAATTTGTGGGAACGGTGATTGCCTTCATCGTTGACTTCCTGGCCCAAGGGGAACGAATTCCACACCTTTATGGAGGAGGGAAGTATTGAGATTGTTTTGAGGGCAATCAACCTAATGTCTTTTCACATATAAAGTATCCTCTCACCTCTGAATGTGCAGTTACACCTCCAACTCCAAGATTAAGATGGAACATAGGTGATATTGTGCTGCCGGAAGCCATTTGTCAGATTCATACAATGAGAAATATCAATGCCAGTGAGATGGAGAACAGCAGATTTCAGCTGCCTAGATACTGCTAAGCCACTGGTTAGACTGATTCATTGATTAATTTTTTTTTATCCCATCTGGCCTTATTTTGGCTTAGCTCAGCTGGCAACATGTGAGCATGGATCTCTGTCGACAGAGTTACTGGAGGAAAAGAGTGAAGTTCTGGACACAGATAGGGATGGGCTCTTCTCCAGTTCTTCAAAGCACTTCAGCTACTTGCTTTGCTCTTTCACAAATCTCTCCCAAAAGGGAATTGCAGAGCACACACAAAAGAAAAAAGGAGCAGAAACAAACCGGTTCCTGTCATCTCTGTTGATTTTTCATTTAGTAGACTTCTTTATGGATTAAAAAACTTTTTTTTTCTGCTTCTTGTAAAGCAGTGTTCATTGGAGCTTGGCCAATAGATGGTATCATCCCTTTCCGAGTCTATGCTATGGGCGGCCTATGGAAGCATATCTGTTCAAGGCATTCATGCAAATTATTACTTACTGCCCTATACGCTCATAAATTAATAGCTTCTCTGTGGATGAAAAACAGAAATTAGACAACCATTAAGGTTGAACAATGTTTAAAGAATATTAAATATTAATATATGAAATGAAAAAATATTGCAAGTGATATCAGCAGATATGCCCAAAGCATAACAAGCCAAACCCAAGAATGCAAATAATAAAAACATGTTTTCAGCTAGATATTCTGGATGGTTTAGTATTCAAATTAAAGTCGATTTTTTTCTCTTTCAGTAAAAACAAAGCAAAGTGTTTACTGCCATTGTCATAGTATATGAGTGCTCATTTTCATACATAGTACAAAAACAAATTTAAGGTGAATAAACTAATAAGGTCTGGGTTATTTTGGTCATTGCGCTTGTGAAAAGAATTTTTTTGGCAATATTAAAAATGCATTGAAAAAGCAGTTTTCATCAGTCTGTGATTTTAAAATCCCAGCATTTTAATAAATAATTGTTGAGTTGACAAGTGCATCCTAGTGACTGCCAGACACTATAAAATTGTTATGAAAATAGGTGGAAGAGTCCTTGGGGTGATAGGGTGGAATAAACTGCTGCTCTTCGGATGAGTGGGCATGGTCACTGGTCTTTGGCAATAAGAAATTTAGGAGGAAAGTTTTCATGACTAGATGTCCATCCTTATGATCCACCATGCTCCCATTTGGCAGACTGGACATCAGGGGTGTTGATCCTGCACAAACGACAAGCTGAAAAGGGTTCCAGCTGAGGCACTGCTCCCGCTTTGAATTAGTTGTGAGGTCTTTGGCAAGGCAACATCTCTCGGCGTTCCCTTCTTCCAAGACCTGTTTCCTCTCTCAGTCCATTCCTTGTTTATTACATGAGGCCAATAAGGCAAACAGATAAAATCTAAACAAGCACAATAATATATTCAATCATTGAGTATTTTATTTATTGCACATTTACTGTCTGCCAAGCACTCCACTAGTCACTGGGAATACAAACTTGAATAATTAAAAAATGATAGCAAACGTTTATATCATACATACAGCAGGTATCAACTCATTTCATCTTCACAACAATGTCATGAAGTAGATATCTCAAATTACCTTTTTTTTTCTTTTACAGCTGATGAAATTTGGGCACAGAGAGGTTAAGTAACTTGCCCAAGTTTACAAACTAGGTAGCAGCAGAGCTGGGACATGAACCCAGACTGCTAGCTCCAGAGTCCACACTCACCACTATACCAGGCTGGCCCTAGACTGTAGTATTCTTTCAGGCCCTGTGTCAAAGATAGATCACTGCAAAATAATGTAAAGTGGTGTAAGAGCATTATGACCCCAGCATCCGTATGCGGACCCTTGAGGAGGGGTACCTAACCCAGCTTGGAGTATGTGTGTGTGTGTGTGCGCTGCTGATTAGGTGGAGACAGGCCATAATCAGCTTCCTAAATGGGACCTCAACTGGGTCTTAAAGGATGGGCAGGATGAGTAGGAAGGGCGTTCTAGGCTGAAATAACCAGAGCAAAGCCAGGATCAGCCTGAATCGTGCAGGGCTACGCAGCTGTAGTCAAGCTGGGAGTGATGGCAGTTGAGGCTGGTGCTGCAGGTGGGCTCAGATCTTAGAGTACCCTGCCTGCCAGGCTCAGGGGATCAGAATGATGAAGACAGAATGGAGATATCAGGCTGTGATGAGTTGTGTAGATTGCTGTGTAGAGAAGACAGGGCAGGAGCAGAGGCCAGGAGGCGGTCCATGATGCAGGCAACTGCTGCAGGAGTGATCTGTGAAGAGGGACATCATGTGTGCCAGTGCTTTTCAAACTTCAACATGCATAAGGTTCACCCCAAGGCATTTGTTTCTGATTCAGCCGGCCGGGCGTGGCGACTGAGATTGTTCATTTTTAACACACTCCCTGGTGATACCCTTGCTCCTGGTACCACACTGCAGGTTGAGTAGCACGGCTGTATGGAGTGTTCATAGGCTAGAAAGATAGCTCGTTTTTCCTCTGGGAAACTTGAGAGATAACCCTAGAGAACAGGTGTAAACTGGCACATCTCAGGGTTGCTGCATCTGATTGCAAGACACCTGCTGTGTCACTGACTGGCTCTAGTTGATCTAGACTCCTTATTCCTGAAAAAATCACATGTGATCCCCTCCTAGGCATTTGTGTTCTCATCCCCCAAGACTTATTTCCAGTCTCTTCCTTCATTTGCTAGGAAAATGGGGCTAAGGAATGAAGGAAGTCAGTACAAAGGAAAGAAAGCCTATGGCATTGATTCCAGGCCCCTTTGAAAAGTGTTATTTGTTTATCTATTAGGCCCCACATTTCCTAAATTGCTTTATTGCATATATGTATTTATAAAAATTCAAGGAAATAAAAATCACCTTAGCTTTGAAACATAACATAGCACCTTTTTGGGTAAATTGAGGCACATCCAGAGGGGTCACAGAAGGAGAGCTGGAAAACTCGACCTTAGAGCTTCACCAAACTTGAATTCAGCGAATTCAGAGATTTTTGGGAGATGTCCTTTTGGGTTTCTCAGGACGCCTTGGGAGTGCCACACTGGCATAGGATCTTTGAGAGTCACAACTCAGGACACTTGCTATGGAAACTGGACATCCTTGAACAACAAGGTGCCCTAGAGGGAGGGAGCCAGAGGCCTCAAAGATGTGAGCACCACATTGAATTCTGCCAGATGTTTACTCTTCATCCATCATCAACAAGAAAATGTGGGTGTGGCTGAAATTAGTTCCAGTCATCTCTGAACAAAAAGCTAGCTGAAACCAAGGAAGACGAGAGAAGAAACCCCAACCCAGGACTGATACTAAAGAAACTCTCATAAGACAGATGTGAAGGGTGGTGGCAGCTGGAATGGTATCAGTCACATCCTAAACATGCCATGGAAGCCATTACCCAGCTCCAAGGACAAATGCACTTCCGCGATTGTGCTGAGACCTGCTCTACTTCCCAAGGTAGTAATTCCATATTACCCCAGGCACAGGGGAGGCCCCAGTGGGCTAACTTCCGGTCATTCTTCAATGACTTATTTTCTCAATTTAAAACAGAAAATTTATTTTATACATATCTTTTCCATTGTGTAAGAACTGAATATGCATTCTAGAATCCATGGGGGAAAATATCCAAGTGGAAAGAGCATCAACTTTTAAATTTTATTTTTATTTCTAGGAAAGTTTTCTAGTCTTAAGTTGCTGGCATTATGGGGATGTGTAAAGTTGCAGAGGAAAAAAGAGGGGGGGAATCTGATGCCTAAAGGCAGTAGAGCTTATTTGAGGCAATTCACTCCACCGTTTTTCCCACTAGGAATTTATATGGCACCCATCATATTCTAAGTGCTTCCTAAGCAATAGTGAATGGGAGGCTAGGAGAGAATAGTTTAAAAATATGCTCAGGAAATCATCTCAGAACATTGAAACTGTGGCTAAAGTAAAGCAGTAGGTAGACTTTCTTCATGCAAATTTAGTGAAAAACCCACACAATGCTGATCAAATCCTTTTTTTTTTTTTTGAAGTTTCTGTTGAGTGTTTATATTTTCTTTCTCTGGGTAATGTGCTACTTTATAACAATTTCTCTTGTTGCTTTGTGCACTTAGGTGGAAGCTTTAAAAAGCAAAGATCCTATCTGTTACTTGAATTTTGTATCTCCTGGGTAGTACATGCTCAAGCTCAGAGCACAGAGAGGTACAAACTAGCCTAGCCCATCTGCTTGTCTGTAAATTTACCAATTACTCAGCTAAATGAATGCTTTAATTCTACTCAGACAAAAAATCTTGTAACTAATTGGACCTCTCCACACTGAAACCCCACATATCTTTCTGTGTTTATTTCAATCAATGAGACACTGGTTCCTACTGCTCCCAACTAACTTTCTATGATTACTAGAGATGAAAGATTCGTGGACATGGCTTGGATCGCAGGGGTTTAGAATTCCCTCAGCCCTGCCACACATACAGATCATTAAAAAGTAAATAATTTACTGCCCTTACACATGCCCTCGATTCTTCTATTCAACGAAAATTCATTCTACAAATATTAATTTACCCACCAGGTAGTAACGCAAAGACACCAAATATTATATCAGCTGGACTCTTCCTGAGTTATTCTGTCAACACAACCCAAACCCAAAGGAAGAGAAAGAGGAACTGAGAAAATTCACTTGAAGAAAGCAAGATGTGGAGCCATCTGAGACTGGGTTCCCTGGGAAGACAGAGACAGAGTGTCATGTACCAAGTTTTACTGGGGAGATACACCTGTAAAGGAGTGAAGAAGGTAGGATTTGACCGAGAAGAAGCTGACCCACAAGGCATTTGCAAATGAGGCCTCAGCCACTCCTTCAGGGAGCTCTAGAGCTGGAAGGCCCTTTCAATGCCCAACATTGAGGCAAGGGTTCTGGCCTTTACATCCTGGCATTAGCCACTCATTGGCTGTGAACTGCCCCCTCTGTACCCCCAGGAGAAAGGCATGTTCCAGTTATGTTTTGCCATGTAACAAACGACTCCAAAACTTAGTGGCAGTCTACCATATCTTGCAAATTTGTGGGTCAGGAATTCAGATGGGACTCAGCTGGTGGATGCTTCATTGGCAAGGGTTGCTTGGTGGTACTGAGCTGGTGGATGGGCTAGTCTGGTCTGGAGGATTAAAGGCAGCTTCACTTACATGTCTGGCCCCTTGGCAGGGGTGACTGGAAGGCTAGGTGCATCAGAGACTCTCAACCATATCATCTACCTGTGGCTTCTCCAGGATGGTGGTTGCAGTGTAGTTGGGATTCTTGCATAGCTCAGGGTTCACAGAGAATCCACCAAAAGACAAAGCCTGGAATTTTCTAGCCTCTTATGTCATGGGCCCCAAAACTGGAACAGTAACAATTCTGCTGAATTCTATTGATCAAGGCAGTCACAGAGCCTGCCTGAAATTCAAAGTGTGTGGGTGGGATTCAACCCCATCTCTCAATGAGAGGAGTAATAAAGAATTTGCTGCCATCTTTAATTCTCCCACAGGGCATAAACTTGGGTGAGGTGATTCCCTGTGGCACTGGGAAAGCCTAGTGAAGAGTGCAGCTGTAAGCCATCAGTAGCTGCTCTCCCCAGCAGCTGGGGGTTGCGTGTGTCAGTTCTGAAGAGGGGACTTGGTGACATGCCACCTATAGCGTCTGCTATAGGAGGAATGGTATTCTTCAGAATTAGCCCTAATGGACAGTTTTCACTGGATTATATCCTGGGGAGGAGAAAGGATTGACAAAAGGCTTGTCTAAGCAATCTCCTTAGTATTGTTCTAAAAGTGGACTTTAAAACCTAGGATGAAGAGAGGTTTGCAGACTTATCAATAAGAACACAGGGTCAGCCCTTCAAGTTTACTGATCTGTGATAAGCACATGTCTGTTGAATGAACCCCAATGGGAGCTGTGCTAAAATCTTTGATCTTTAAGATTCACAGTAAAAAAATGGAAAGAAATGGATTTGAGTGTCTCCAGTTCTTTGGAAAAGTTTATTCTACCTTTTAAAAGTCATAGATTTTTAAAGCTGAGAGACACTAGTGACCATTTAGCCCCATTTTCATTTTACAGAAGAGAGAATATCTCCAAGATCACAGAGCTAGTTAATGGCAGAGCAATGAGTACAACCTGGATCTCCTGTCTTCCATCCTACTCTCTGTTACTCTACATCATGATTTCTAAACTGGAGTTCCTTTGGATGGCATTGGTGTGGTCTCCAAGATGCCCAGGAACCTGGGGCAGAGTTGGTCCAAGTTACAGGATTTCTGACATCTAACTTTTGGTAGGAAGCAGAGACATTTTTATAAGGTTTCTACTGTGTTAAGAAAAGTTTTAAAATAATTTCTCTAGAGAACAGTACAAACTTTCTGTGTGTTTCTCTCTCTTTTTTTCTTTTATGTCTGCATATCCAAGTAACAGCACTTGATGAAAAGATTGGAATTTATTTTTCTTTTTACTTTGGATTTAATCCAGTTCAGGAGACTCTTCTGGACCTGTGAAGCACAAGCCACTTTGCCATTTCTGATAAAAAGCTGAACAAGACACACAGTCCCTGCCCTAAGAGAACTTACCATCTAATTACATCGTTACGTAAAGTCAGCACTGCAGAGGTCCTTGAAGGTCATTATAGCTGCTTACAGATAGTAGGGAGCTGCTGAAGATTCTAGCCCATGGGAGTGTTATGATTAGATCTCTACCTTTTCAGCAAGATAGGGAGGAGCTGCTTCAAGGGTCCAGATGAGCAGGAAAAGCCTGAACTCTGGGGCTAGGAAGGAGGGGCAGATTTATTAGGATATCAACGCTTTAATGGACAGATCCCCAGCTGTAGTTTTAGTTGAACCACATAGCAGGACTTGCAGAGCTGACTACACATAAGATTGTGAAGGCTGCCGGAGACAGTCATGTGACTCCTGCTGTCTCTAAGATCCCACCTTAGGTTAAGTAAAGTGGTCTCTGTTGTCTAGCAGATGCCTAATAAACAGGCTCACCTTTCGGTGGCAAACGAAATCACAGACACAAATTAATGGGCAAAGAAGAGCCCCATTTGTCTGTTTGTGTTGCTTTACAAATGGCTCAGCAAAAGCATCCCAGTGAGCTTCAATCATCCCATTTTCCCTTTTTCTTTTCTCTCATTACAGTCATTATTGGTCACAAAAGGCTGCTCACAAAACAGCTAGTGATTATAATTTAATGCATCCTTTCTGAAACCTGCAGGGAAATTAAAGCAAGGAGGTACCTGGGGGAATGGGGAAGAGAAATGAGGTTAGGTACATCTGAGAGGCAATAGCTTTAAGTGCTAATTCTCCAAAACCTCCCAGCTGGCTGACCAGGCTGACCTTTGACAGCTTGGGAAGGCTGAGGCCACTCCCTTGCAAACTGTGGTGGCTTCTGAACCAAGGGATCCCGGCTGGGGTCCCTTCTCCATCTGAGGAGTCTAGTGATGTTCCTGAACTCTGAATGAACTCCGCAAATGCCTGCCAATGACACGCCAGGATCCAAAGTCAGCTCTGGATCAGGCAAGCAAGTTTGTCTGTTGGTTTGAGCTCGTGGGATCACACAACATCAAGCTCAGAGCTTACCTGCTGGCATTAGCATGCAACCTCACAAAGCACTAAGAATTCAGTTTAGAATGAATTCTCTCTCTCCAGCGCTTTCTACTTTCTCCATCACTGTCCTCCCAAGTAACCTGAAATCAGATCCAAATGATCTGATAATAAAAACCTAAATAATTGACATGAAAGAGAAAGATTCATTTAGTAACTGAAATACATAAATGTTCTTCTAATAGCAGTCAGATCTGATAACAGTGATTAGTGATCAGTTCTGATAACAGTTTTTGCTTTTTACAAAAATCCCAAACCTGCACTGTCTGTTACAGTAGCCACTGGCCACTAGCCACATGTGGCTATTTACATGTAAATTAATCTAATTGAATTGAAAATTCAGTTCTGCAGTCACACTCGCTAATTGCAAGCGCTCAATGGTCACATGTGGTTACTGGCTACCATACTGGAGAGTGCAAACCACAGTGCATATATAATAGTAAAATGTAGTAAAATAATTAAGAAGTGATGAGTTTTGAGTATTTGCTACATCTGTCTTTTAGTACCATATTTAATAGTAAGTTTAAACAATTTAATTGTTCAATAATAATGGTGCTTAAAACCAGCTCACAGAATTCCTGAAAAGGTAGCAGTCAGCTCAGCTGAGCTAGTAGAAATAGTTCCAATGAACCCCTTGAACATTTTTATCATCAGAAAGTTCTATTGGACAGTGTTGCCTCAAACAATGCACCAGCTGACCAATGCGGCAATAGAAATATCCAGAATGAGAATGAGACCTCCTTTCTCCACGCCCCCAATTGGCAGCAAAGATAAAAGACTTTAAGAATCCTAATCTTCCCATCAGTCCTTGCCTTTCTCAGACCTAAACCAAATTCCTTGACCTTTCTTTGCAGAAGAGAATGCACACTTAATTGTTTTAGAGTGTTTCATCATCCTCTCAGATGCTTTGCAACAAATCTCTCCTCTAGTGCACGCCATAAACCTCTTCTTCCTTCATTTCCTCTCTTCCTCTGACTGTAAACCTATATCTTTTTTTTCTAACTTCATCACAGTAAGGCCCCAGGCCCATGATTATCAAAGTCACCTTCCAATTCACCAGCATCCTTGGTGTTTTACATAGAATTCAGGACAATGCTGCAGGCTGAAACCTCACCAGAAATTTATACAACACCATAATGTTCTTCTGATTCCCCAGGCATTCTTCCGTTGATTGGAGCCTGGGATCCATTTGCTTTCTCCAGATACCACAGCTTTTTTTCCTGGGCCAGAGAATTCAGAGTGAGGTTTGTTTCAGAATAGAATAAGAACACAGAGGACTCTTTCTTGTTGGCAAACCAGGACAGAATCTTCTTTTCTCTTCTCCAAGAAGAATATACTCAAGAGAATATTCGCAGGAGGTGATGTCATTGATTTTCATTCTTATTTTGACTCAAACTAGCAAATGACATTTTGGTACTGAAGAGGAGTGTTTCCAGGGAGTAGGGCCAGAGTGGGGATGTGTTGTTCTAGAGCAAACTCTGACGCTGTCTGTGCAACAGAAAATGCCAAGGAGCTTTTACAAAACAGCAAACCTCCAGCCCTAACCCTTATAGACTGATTCAATTAGTCTGGCCCTGGCATCAATATCAAGAAAAAAATTTTGAATTGTGATAAAGTATACGTAACATAAAATTTACCATCCTAGTCATTTTTAGGTGTACAGTTCAGTGGCATTAAGTACATTTACCTTGTTGTGCAATCACCAGCATCCAACTCCAGAACTCTTTTTTTCAATTATTATACTTTAAGTTCTGGGGTACATGTGCACAATGTGCAGGTTTGTTACATACGTATACATGTGCCATGTTGGTTTGCTGCACGATAACTCTTTTTATCTTGCAAAATTAAAACTGTACCCATTAAAAAATAACTCCCCATTCCTAGACCCTCTCCCCCGGCAACCACCTTTCCACTTTCTGACTCTGTGAGGCTGAGTATTCTAAATACCTCACATAATTGGAATCATACGGTGTTTGTCTCTTCATCACTGACTTACTTCAGTCAGCACGATGTCCTCGAGGTTCATCCGTATTGTAGCATGAGTCAGAATTTTCTTCCTTTTTAAGACTCAGTGGTATTCCATTGTATGTGTATATTGCATAATGCTACTATGAACATGGGTATATAACAGAGATGGGTGTACTGTAAAGTAGGTAGGGCAGATAGAATTCACCCTATTTTATTTTATTTGTTTTATTTTATTAATTTATTTATTTTGAGACACAGTCTTACTCTGTCACTCAGGCTGGAATGCAGTGGCGTGATCTCGGCTCACTGCAACCTCTGCCACTTGGGTTCAAGCGATTCTCCTGCCTCAGCCTCCTGAGTAGCTGGGGTTACAGGCACCTGCCACCGTGCCTGGCTAATTTTTGTATTTTTAGAGAGACGGGGTTTCACCATCTTGAACAGGCTGGTCTTGAACTCGTGATCTTGTGATCCACCTGCCTCCGCCTCCCAAAGTGCTGGGATTATAGGCGTGACCCACCCCGCCCGGCCCACCCTATTTTATACATGAGAGCCATGTAGTAGAGGAAATGGCGCCTTCACATGTGCAGGTAAAAAGATATTTTTGCTACCCTCAAAGGTGAGCAATTTCCTGTCTGAAGAGAAGCCTTAAGCTTGAGTAGAATTCTTGCCTTTTAAACAATTTTAACCTGCCCAATTATGTGTTTCAAAACCAAACTTTCTATTTCACTGCCTTATACAGAGCTTTTGGTCAAGGGTTGGTGGATGTATGTTTGTCATAATCCTCTTTGAGAGGTGAACCATATTACTTTTCTCTTACATTATATTAGATGCTAAACATTTCTCACTTATAATAAAATTTATTTTATAATAAGTAGGAAATTATAAGCCAAAATGAATATTTAATAATTATCAGAACCACCTAAGGATGTGATTAAAGGCACTGAGGGATTAGAAATGAAATGGAAGCAGGGCAAATCAGACACCTTCAAGGGTCGCACTTTCATGGACAAAAATTATCTGAAGGAGTTTGCTGAAGTGCCTTTTCCTTTGCTCTCAGAAGCCTTATCATATAACTAGTCTCAGGTATGTGTGAGAGGGCCCTGCAACATTTCTCAGCTCATTTGAATGTCACAGTCTTCCCAGAGCCACCACCCACCAACACGGGCACCTTGGACAGCTCTTCCCCAGGGCCTGGAGCAGGACCTCTCCTTACAGAAGCCCAGCCTGTTTTCTCTTGTTTGCTCTGACCATCCTGCATGAGGTAGCTCTGCCACCTCCCTGAGACTTTGCTCCACAAAGTAATAATCTCACCACCAAAGCTTTTCACTCAAATCACTCTCTTCCAAAGCTGTGCTTGGTTGGGAGCTCAAATGAATCACTTGTTACAGGGAAGAACCTGGAAACCAATGGGCCAACCTGCTAGTAGGTCTTCAGATTGTAGATTGGAGATCAACAACTTTTTTATTTGTAATAGTAATTTTAAAATTATTATAATGATGATGATGATGATGATTATATCTACCCGTAGGGTTGTTCAGAGGATTAAATAAGAAATGCTTATGAAGTATTTAATACCATGACTGGCATGGGATAAACTCTTAGTATTATTAATAAATATTGCTAGTGAAGTGTGTGCCACATCACCTTAATGAGGCTAAATTGTGTTAAGGCCAGGATTGGAATCTACACCTCTGTGCCCTACAGCACCCAGAAACAGAGTAAGTCTTCAATAAGTACTTCGACAGGAGCACATGTTGCCTCTTTCATTGTAAAGAGAAGGCAGAGCTTGGTATCGAAAATTGCTAGTGGTGCACCTACCCTAGACTAGCTGCAACATCTTTCTCTGTCTGTATCTACTCCACTGGGATAGTGGGAAACTAAAAAGAACTAATATTCATCCAAGTATGTGGACTATTTAAATCTTATAAACAAGCAAATGACAATAGCAACAAACCCACCATTCCCACTGACTGCCCCTTCTTACATCTGTTGAGCCCTCATAAGGTGCGTAGCATGGGAGCAAATGTATTTACCATGTATTGGCTCATTCAATTCTGCCCCCGATCCAATGGGGTAGGAAGTATCACGTTCCCCATTTGGCTGATAATAATAATAACAATAATAATAATAATAGTGATAGTTAATATTTACTGAGGGCTTTACTAGATGTCAGGCAATGTTTAAGATATTTTATTAGTATTTATTCATTTAACATTAGCAGCCTTTTGAGGTGACAATTCTCTTTCTTTTTTCCTTTTTTCCTTCCTTCCTTCCTTCCCTCCTTCCTTCCGTCTTTTTTCTTTTCTTTGTGCTTTATTGAGGTATAATTGACACATAATAAACGGCACGAAATAAAGTGTATAATTTGATAAGTTTGGGTGTATATATACATTTGTGAAACCATCACTACCATCAAGATAGTGAACATATTCATCACCTCCAAAAGTTGCCTTGAGCCTTTTGAAATCCTCATTCCTGTTCCTTTCTGCCCCCATCCATACACCCAATGAATGGCCTGCTTTCTGTCACTCTACATTAATTTGCATTTTCTACAATTTTCTACAAATGGAATCACACCTGTTGCACTTTTTATCTGGCTTCTTGTGTTCAGCGTAACTATTTTGGGATGTTGTTGTGTATGAATAGTTCATTCCTGTTGATTGCTGAGGATTAGTTTATCATATGGATGTTCCACAATTTGTTTATTCATCTATCGGTTCATGAACTTTTGAGTTTTTTCTAGTTTTTAATGATTACAAATAAAGATGCTATGACCATTTGTATGCAAGCCTTTCTATGGACATATGTTTTTATTTATCTTCGGTAAATGCTCTAGAATAACATGGCTGGATCATATGATGGTACATGTATAACTTTTTTTTTTTTTTTGAGACAGAGTCTCACTCTGTCACCTGGCTGGAATGCGGTGGCACAATCTCGGCTCACTGCAACCTCTGCCTCCTGGGTTCAAGCGATTCTCCTGCCTCAGCTGCCTGAGTAGCTAGGACTACAGGTGTTTGCCACCATCCCCAGCTATTTTTTGTATTTTTACTAGAGAAGAGGTTTCACCATGTTGGCCAGGATGGTCTTGAACTCCCAACCTCAGTTGATCTTCCCACTTTGCCCTCCCAAAGTTCTGGGATTACAGGCTTGAGCCACCGCACCCAGCCACATGTGTAACTTTTTAAGAAAATTCCTACACGTTTTCCAAAGTGGTTGCAGTATTTTACACTCTTACTAGCAGCGTTTGAGAGTTCCAGTTCCTCCACATTATTGCTGACACTGGTATGATTACTTAAAAAATATTTTAGCCATTCTAAGATGTGTGTAGTGGTATTTCTTTGTGATTCTAGTATGCATACATCTTCTTTAGTGAAATGTCTCTTTGAATAATCGATCTTTTTTTAAAAAAGGGTATTAATATTAGTAGTCTAATATAGCTACTGCCATGTGTAGTATGTCTTCAAGAACAGAAACAAGGCAAGAGTAAAAAGTGAAAAGAAAAATCTTCTTTAAATCAAATGAAAATGTTTTATAGACCTTCAGCCAGAATGTATTCAAGGAACTGGCTTTTTTAGTGCTCTGAATTGAGCGAGGGTAAGTTCTTTTTGAAGATGAGGCCTTAGAAATAAAGGGCTGATTTTTAATGGACATCAACGCTAGAACTCATTGTCTTAAAATGATAGAATATTATGACTGGAGGGGATCTCATTGATGACTAAATTCAGTAGTTATGCATATTTTTTGTTCATGGCACACTTTCAAATATAGGATTGTGGTTATTATATTTAAAGTAGTTAAATACCACTAAATAAGTCAGCAATAATTACAACTGCAATCCCAGCTACAGAATATCAGCATCTTATAGGGTATATACAGAGACCCACACAGAAGCTCACCCTTTGTTCTTGTGTTTTTGATTGAGAAGAGATGTTTACTGTCCTGAGATGTCTCATATACTTGTGAGAGAAAACTATCACAAATCCTAGAAACATGACTTTCTCTGATGGTGGCCTGATGTCATGGAATGCATTTACTCATCCCTGGCCACAAGTTGTGCATCAGTCTCCAATTTTTCACGTGACCCATTCAGCACTACATGCCATGTAAAAGATTCACTTGGAAAATATGAAATGTAAATTGTCACCAAAGTTAAAATTTAACATTACTTGAAATTTGGCAGCATGCCAGGGTGCCCCTGACAATAATTGAGAACCACTAAGTTAGTATAAATATTCCTTTAGTAGATATAATCTTGCCTGAGGTCTTACTGTCTGGTAAATCAGAACTAGAATTCGGATCAGATGCCCAGGCCAGTGTCCTTTCCATTGCATTAGCCTGTTTCTGCCTCAATTGAATTCAATAGTTATTTACAGAAAACACTGCGTATGTATATTGATAAGCATAATAAATCAATAGATTGAAACAACTTTATTTCACATGAACAGAGCAGAAGTTGAGTTATGATTATGCTCTTAGGATCTCACTAGCCTGTGATTGAAATTCTCAGATTTCTTTCTACTCATCTCTTTCATATTATACATTATGTCCTTTGTTATCATCCTTCTGTGTAAACAACTGTCTCTAAAATAATAAATGATCTACTTCTTGGCATTTGTCATTGTCTTTACTCAGTTCCAAGACTCTTCTCGTGCTCTGTGGCACTTGACACTTAGTTCACCTCATCTTAAAACTTTGTGCTCATTAGGCTTCTATGACATTTTATTTTTTATACCCTTAACTCTTTAACTCTTCTTGGCTGGGTTGTCTTCTTACCCTCTGCACCAATCATTGATGTTTCCTATTTCTCTGGCTTTCATTATCTTGTTATTCTTTTATCTCTGCATTTCTTTCAGAGAGTTTATTTCTTTTCACTGTTTCAAACTTCATGTTATTGGGATTACTTCTGAATCCACAGGGCGCTCTTCTGGTGAAAAGATTCATTGTTTTTTCCAATTCTAAAACTTTTTTCTCCTGGAACTCTTATTACACTGCATTGAAGCGTTTATTTATTTATTTATTATTGTTTTGTTTTTATAATTTCAACTTTTATTTTACATTTGGGGGTACATGTGCAGGTTTGTTACATGGGTATATTGCAGAATGCTGTGGTTTAGGGTATGGATCCCGTCATCAAGATAGTGAGCATAGTACCCAATAGGTAGTTTTTCAGCTCACATCCCCCTTTCTCCCCACTCTAGAAGTCCACAGTGTCTATTGTTCCCATCTTTATGTCCATACATAGTCAATGTTTAGCTCACTTTTAAGTGAGAGCGTGTAGTATTTGGTTTTCTGTCCCTGCGTTAATTCACTTAGGATTATGGCCTCCAGCTGCATTCATGTTGCTGCAAAGGACATGATCTTGTTCTTTTCTATAGCTGTACAGTATTCCATGGTATATAGGTACCACATCTTCTTCATCCAATCCACCATTGATGGCACCTTGGTTGATTTTACGTCTTTGCTATTGTGGATAGTGCTGTGATGAGCATGCAGGTGCATGTGTCTTTTTGGTAGAATGATGTATTTTCCTTTGGATATATACCCAGTAATGGGATTACTGGGTCAAATGGTAGTTCTGTTTTACATTCTTTGAGAAATCTCCAAACTGCTTTCCATAGTGGCTGAAATAATTTACATTTCCACCAACAGTGTATAAGCATTCTCTTTTCTCTGCAGCATCATCAGCATCTGTTATTTTTTGACGTTTTATTACCAGCCATTCTGACTGATATGAAAGGGTATCTCATTGTGGCTTTGATTTCCATTTCTCTGATGATTAGTGACATTGAACATTTTTTTCAAATGCTGCTGACCACTTGTATGTCTTCTTTTGGAAAGTGTCTGTTCATGTCCTTTGCCCATTTTTTAATGAACATATTCATTTTTTGCTTATAATTTGTTTAAGTTCCTTATAGATTCTGGACATTAGACCTTTCTCAGATACATAGTTTGCAAATATTTTCTCCAGTTCTATAAGTTATCTGTTTATTCTGTTGATAGTTTCTTTTGTTGTACAAAAGCGCTTTAGTTTAATTAGGTCCAATTTGTCAAATTTTGCTTTTGTTTTCGCAGTTGCTTTTGAAAGAAAGCCAAACATTCTTGAAAGAAAAACCAAAAATTATTTTCCAATGCCAATATTGAGAAGGGTATTTCCTAGGTTTTCTTCTATGATTTTTATAGTTTGAGATCTATCATTTAAATCTTTAATCCTTCTTGAGTTACTTTTTTATGTGGTGAAAAGTAGGGATCTAGTTTTATTCTTCTGCATATGACTAGCCATATGCAGCACCATTTATCAAATAGGGAGTGCTTTTCCCACTGCTTGTTTTTGTCAGCTTTGTCAAAGACCAAATGGTTGTAGGTGTGCAGCTTTAATTTGGGGTTCTCTGTTCTGTTCCATCGGTGTATATGTCTATTTTTAAAAAATCAATACTATGCTCTTTTGGCTACTATAGCCTTATAGTATAGTTTGAAGTCAGGTAGTGTGATGCCTCCAGCTTTGTTCTTTTTGCTGAAGATTGCTTTGGGTACTTGGGCTCTTTTTTGGTTCCATATGAATTTTAAAATAGTTTTTCTAATTCTCTGAAAACTGACTTGGTAGTTTCATAGGAATAACATTGAATCTGTATATTGCTTTGGACAGTGTGGCCATTTTAACAATATTGATTCTTCTAGTCTGTGAGCAGGGGATGCTTTTCCGTTTGTTTCTGTGATCTATGATTTCCTTCAGCAGTGTTTTGTAGTTCTCTTTGTAGAGATTTTTCACCTCCTTGGTTAGCTGTATTCCTACGTATTTTATTTTGTGTGTGTGTGATGATTGTAAATCGAATTGTGTTCTTGATTTAACTCGCAGCTTGAATGTTATTGTTATGTAGAAATGCTACTGATTTTTGTACATTTATTTTGTATCCTGAAACTTTACTGAAGTCATTTATCAGTTTTAGGAGCCTTTTGGCAGTGTCTTTACAGTTTTCTAGGTATAGAATCATATTGTCAGAAAAGACAAATAGTTGACTAATTTTCCTATGTGGATGTCTTTTATTTCTTTCTCTTGCCTGATTGCTCTGGCTAGGACTTCCAGTACTGTGTTGAATAGGAGTGGGCAGAGTGGGTATCCTTGTCTTGTTCCATTCTCAAGGGGAATGGTTCCAGCATTTAACTGTTCAGTATGATGTTGGCTGTGAGTTTGTCACAGATGGCACTTATTTTGAGCTATGTTCCTACAATGCCTAGTTTGTTGAGGGCTTTTATCATGAAGGAATGTTGGATTTTACCAAAACCTCTTTCCACGTCTATTGAGATGATCATATGATTTTACTTTTAATTCTGTCTACAGAATACTTCACCAGGTAATCACAGAATATATATTTTTCTCATCTGCACATGGAACATATTCTAAGATTGCCCACATGCTTGGTCATACAGCAAGTCTCAATAAGTTTTTAAAAAATCAAAATCATACCAAGCATACTCTTGAATCACAGTACAATAAAACTAGAAATGAGTATCAAGAAGAGCTCTCAAAATGATACAAATATATAGAAATTAGGCAACTTTATCCTGAATGACTTTTGGATGAACAATAAAATTAAGGCAGAATTTAAAAATCTTGGAAACGAATTAAAATAGGGACACAACTTACCACAATCTCTGGGATGTAGCTAAAGCAGTGGTAAGAGGAAAGTTTATAGTGCTAAACAGCCTCAATCAAGAAGTTACAAAGATCTCAAATTAACAGTTTAATTTTGAACTTACAGGAATAAGAAAAAAGAATAAACCAATACCAAAGCTAGCAGCAGAAAAAAAATAAAAATTTTAGAAGAACTGAATAAAGTTGAGATGCAAAAATCCACACCAAAGATCAATGAAGCCAAGAGTTGGCTGTTCAAAAGAACAAACAGGATTGATAGACTGCTAACTAGATTAATCAAAAGAGAGAGAGAGAAGAGCCAAATAAATACAATTAGAAATGACTAAGAAGACATTACAACCCATCCCACAGAAATACAAACGATCCTCAGAAACGATTATGAACAACTCTAGGCACACAAATTATAAAATCTAGAGGAAATGGATAAATATTTGGAAACACACAACCTCCCAGGATTGATCAAGGAAGAAAGTGAAAACTTGAACTGACCAGTAACAAGCTCCAACACTGAATCAGTAATACAGAAAACTACCAACCGAAGAAAGCCCTGGACCAGGTAGATTCACAGCCAAATTCTACCAGATGTACAAAGAAGAAGTGGTACTAATCCTACTGAAACTATCCCGAAAAATCAAGGAGGAGAGGCTCTTCCCTAGCTCATTCTATGAAGTCAGCATCAGCCTGGTACCAAAATCTGGCAAGACACAATGAAAAAATAAAACTTCGGGCCAATATCCCTCATGAACATAGACACAAAATCCTCAATAAGATGCTAGCTAACTGAATGTAGCAGCACATCAAAAAGTTAATACACCATGATCAAGTAGGCTTTATTCCTTGGAGGCAAGGCTGGTTCAACATATACTGGAGCTTTAAATCTACTCTCCTCATCCTTTAACTCCTCTTTCATATTCTTCATCTCCTTGGCTCTGCATATCTTATTATTTGGTGATTTCTTCAGTTCTTGCTTCTATTTTTCCTAACCATACCTTCAAAGTGTACAACCTAGAATTTTTTCTGCCTATTCAGCTCCAAAATTGAATCAGTAATAGAGAAGACTACATTTTTCTTTTTTAAGATTTCTATTTGATTCTTCTTTTTAAATGTTTGTTTTGTTTTCATTTATAACCATTTGTATTTCTTTGGAAGAGAGAGAAAAAGAGAGAGAGAGACAGACAGACAGAGAACTTTACTTAAAACCAGGCTGAAAACTGCATTCCAAAACACACAAGGAAAATATTCACACACATACACACACTCTTGAAATTCAACATGTTCAACATTTGGTAGATAAATTTACCCCCAATGAAATGAAAGTGATAGAATAATCCTAAAATGACCTAATAACAAAGAGGGTTAATATTTTCAGAACAGAGAAGAAAAGAATAACACCAATTGTAAAAGAATAAATTATGAACAAAAATGAGCAAATATGAATAAAAAAGATAGACATGCAAAAGAACTAACTATAAATCCTGAAAATGAAAAATATAGCTATTCATTTATTAACTCATTAATTATAATAAATAAATATTATAAACAATATATGTTTATTATATGTTAGGCATTGTTTTAGACAGTGGGAATAAAAAAATGTAAAAAAGAGTAAACATCCTTTGCCTTCAGAGAGATTTCATTCTTGTGAGAGACAAACAGCCAATAAGCAAGATAAACAAGATAAATTGGTGGCTCATGCTTGTAATCACAGCACTTTGGGAGGCTGAGACAGGAGGACTGCTTGAGCCCAAGAGTTTGAGACCCTGCCTCTACACAAACATTAAAAAATTAGCTGGGCATGGTGGTGTGCACCGGTAATCCTAGCTACTCGGGGAATGAGGTGGGAGGATTGCTTGAGCCTGGGAGGTAGAGGCTGTGGTAAGCCGTGATTGCACCACTGCACTCCAGCCTGGATGACAGTGAGATTCTGTCAAAAAAAAAGAAAAAAAAAAACAGATAAAGAAGGAAGATATATAGATGTTTGGTGGTGGCAAGTCCTAATGACAAAAGAAAGGCACAAAATAGGGATAGAGTTTTAAGTATGTCTATGATTAAGATTTTAAATAGGATGGTCAGGAATGCTCTTAATAACATGATGTTTGAATTAAGAAAGGGAAAGAATAAGCCATGTAAATCCCTTGAGGAAAGAATGATCCAGTTATAGGAAACAGCCAATGCAAATGCCGTAAGGCAGGAGCTTGTCTGAAAGATTTTGAGGAATAGCAAGGACAAAAACATGACTGAAATGGTAGGAGGAAGGAGAGATTGAGATGAGGGCCAGATAGTGTAAAGCCTTGTGTGCCATTGTAAGAACTTTGGCTTTTACTCTGCGAGAGATGGTAAGCCATTGGAGGGTTTTAGCAGAACAGTGACGCGACATGGCTTCTGTTTTATCAGGATCATTGTGTTGGGAATAGATGAAAGGGGGTTAAGGGTAGAAGCAGGGAGATCAGCTAGAAGTCTGTTGCCACAATCCAAGTAAAAAACAATGACAGCTCATACCAGGTTGGTAGCAGTGGAAGTCATGAGAATATTTTGGATTTTGATATTCATTCCAGATAGAGATGACAGGAATTGTTGATGAGTTTAAAGTGAGATGTGAAATAAAAAGAGGCAAGAGTAATTTACATCTTTTACCTGTGTATCTAGAAAATTAGCGTAGGTATTTACTGAGTTGGAAAGCATGTGGGAGACTCAGGCTTGTGGAGGAATATCAGGAGCACAGTTTTCTATTTCATTTATTAATTTACTTATATTTTTGAGACAGGATCTAGCTCTGTCACCCAGGCCGACACAGCTCACTGTAACTTTGAACTCCTGGGCTCAAGGGATTCTTCCACTTCAGCCTCTTAATTAGCTATGACCATAGACAAAAGCCACCATGCCTGGCTAACTTTTAAACTTCTTGGCAGATATGAGGTCTTTTTATTGCCCAGGGTGGTCTCCAACTCCTGGCCTCAGGCAATCCTCCTTCCTTGGCCTCCCAAAGTGCTGGGATTACAGGCATGAGCGGCTGTGTCTGGCCTCAGTTTTCAATTTGAGATACCTATTAAGCATTCCAGAGGAGATGCCCAAGATGGTAGTTTGATAAACAAATCTGGAATTCAGAAAAGAGGCCAGGATGGAGATACAAATTGTGGAGTAACCAGCATATAACTGTACTTAAAGCCATAAAAAACTGAAAAAAAACCTGTCACCAACCTACGATTCTATAACCAGAAATATAACCATTCAGAAATAAAAGAGAAATACAAATTTTCACAGGTCAACAAAAAATGGGGAGTTCATCAGCAGCAGCTCTGCCCTGTAAGAAATGTTAAAAGAAGTTCTTCAGGGAAAAGGACGTATATCAGAAATTCAGATCTACATCAAGCAATGAAGACTATAGTACAGCAGAAGGAAAAAAATAAAAGTAAAATAAAATCTTCATTCTTAATTGATCTAAAAGATAACTGTTTGTTTAAAGGAATAATAGTAATAATGTGTTGAGGGATAATACATACGATTAGGTGAAAGAAAGACAGCAGTGTCATATCAGGTAGGAGAGAGGAATTGGGAATAAGTTAAGCTACACTACATGTGAAATGGCATACAGTTGGCCCTTTGTATCCATGGATTGAATGAACTGCAGATTTAAAATATTCAGAAAAAGCAATTCCACAGAGTTCTCCAAACCAAAACCTGAATTTGCCACACATCAAGTTCTCCATTCAGTTCACATAAATGAATTGATGTGTAGCCATTGTATTAGGTATTATGGATAATCTAGAGATTATTTAAAGTATACAGGAGGATGTGCATAGATTATTTGCAAATATTATGCCATTTTATATCAGGGACTAAGCATCCATGGATTTTGGTATCCTTTGATCACCATGGAGAAACCAATCCTCCATAGTGATCAAGGTCAATATTCACAGTGCTAAATCGTATTGATAGTATGTACCTTGATATGATGTGACAAAAATGGCACTTTACCTGTGTTGAATTCCTCCCTCAAAACATATAACCCCAGACTACCTGTGCAAAAAACATCAGACAAATCCAAGTTGAGGGACACTTTACAAACTGCCTGACTAATAATCCTCAAAACTGTCAAGATCATCAAAAACAAGGAAAGTCTGAGAAATTGTCACAGCCAAGAGGAACCTAAGAACACAGAAGAACTAAGTCTACTACAGTATCCTCAATGGGATCCTATGGCAACAACAAAAAGACATTAGGTAAAAACTGAGGCAATCTGAATAAAGTATGGACTTTAGTTAATAAAATGTACTGATATTGTCTCATTAGTTGTGACAAATATCCCATACTAATGTCAGATGTTAATCATAGGGGAAGCTGGGTGTGGAGGTATATGCGAACTCTTTGTGTTTTCTTTGTAATATTTCTGCAAGTCTAAAACTATTCTAAAAGTAAAAGTTTTTTAGAAAGAATTAAAAGTTCAGTTACATAAAAAGCACAAAGAAAGGTAAATACAACAAATATAATCATTTATAGAGAATGTACAGAATTAATATAAAATTGCAATCCAGATGCATGCCGCATATAAGAGACACATCTAAAATAACAACAAAATATCAAAAGGCTAAAAATAAATAAAAATTCAAAAAGAAAGCTTCTGTAGCAATATTACTATCAGATAAAACACAGTTTAAGATAGGAAGCATTAATAGTGATATAATAATAAACAAAGATAGAATGAAAAACTTGCTGATGTAACAATTATAAATTTCTGTGAACCTAGGAAAACATAGAGCAAAAACTGAAAAACATAAGGAAAACAAACAAATCCATAAGTACATAAATCTATAATATCTATACATTATGTATGGATCAAATTACGTTATGTATGGATAACAAATTAGAAACATAAATGAGATTTGAACCCCATAATTAACAGTGTAATCAAAAAACAACTTGAGGTTATTAGATAATTTACTTTTTTTTTGCAAACGTACATATAACATTTAGCAAAGTTGACTAAGCACTAGATCACAAAGGAAGTATCAATAAATTTTTTTAAATTATCATCTTAAAGCTTATTTTTCCTGACCACAAAGAATTAAAATGGAAAACAATAAAATACTGTAAAATTAAAACCCGTGTGTTTAAAAACTAAAAACAAATTATTAAATAATTTATGGCTAAAGAGAAAATTACAGTTTAAATAAGAAAATATATAGAACTAAGTGACAATAAAAACTACTATGTTTCAAAATTTGTGGGATACAGCTAAATTGGTACTTAGAGGAAAATGTATAATCTTAACTAAAAAACATGACACTAAAAATAAGCAGGCATGTTCACCATCTGGGTGGCAGATTAATTCGTACTTCCAACCTCAGCACCATGCCATATACCTTTGTAACAAACCTGTATGTGTACCTCCTAATTCTAAAATAAAAGTGGGAAAAAAAAGCAAGTAAAAATTTCTGGCACAGTATACATTGTGAACACTTCATAAATGTTAGTGATTATTATTATTGGCTAAAAAAACAAGTAAAAATTCAGCTCAAGAATACAGAAAAGAGTAACTCCCTCAAAAAAGGAAACAAATAATAAGGATATGTGGAGAAATTGATTAAATAGAAAATAAAAGCATAGATGCTATCAAAAGAAAATATGTTTTGTTTGGAAGATCTGCAAAATAAAAACAAACCATTGGCCAAATTAATTGAGACAAAAAGAAAAAAAGAGAAAAGAAAAGACAGGCATAAATAAACAAATTATTCTAGGAACAAAGAGATGGTCCATAACTACAGTGAGTAGGGATTTTAAAAATTATAAGAGAATATTGTAAGTTGCTTCATGCCACTAAAGTTGAACACTTAGCTGAGATGGAAAATATTCTAGAAAAAAATTGACTAAAAGCGTAGAAAAACTGTACAAACCAACAGCAATTTTTAAAAAGAAATTAATCTGTGGTTAAAAAGAATACTCTCCTCTAAAAGGCACCTGGACCAGAAAACTTTATAGAAGAAAAGAACCAATATTTTAGATAAAAATATTCTTTACCTTAAAATCTGGACGAACAGAAAAAGAGCAGCATTTTATGAGACGGTTATAACCTAGATATCAAACCAGACAAAGGATTGTATAGTGTTAAAAACTATATACCTATTTTGCTTATAGATAAACATTCAATGTTTCTAAATAAGTTATAACCAATATAAAAATTCATATAAAGTATAAACAAACCAAATGCAACAAATGGCCATTCATGATGATCAAGTACAATTCATTTCAAAAATGTAAAATTGGTTCAACCTAAGAAAATCTAGCAATGTAATTTATACATAAATGTATTAGAATCATAATGATGTCTATACATATATAAAGAACATGATATAATTTAATATTTATGAAATATGAAATTATTGGCAAAGTAGGAAAAGAAAGAAACCTCCTTTATGTGAAATGGTATTTTCCAAAACATAGACCAAACATCTTAATTATAAAGTTGAGGAGTGGTCCCATTAAAGTCAGGAATTTGGCAATATTGTCCCACTATGTGCACAACTTTTATCATTGTTATAGAGGTCCAGTCAATGCCAAAAGAAAAGGAAAGAAAAGTAAATAAAAGGTGTAAAGATTGGAAAGGAAGAGACAAAAATCGTCTATATTTGCATATTGTATTGCTATCCTCATAGAAAATTTAAGGAAATCTTCAGAAAAAAATGATTAGAATTAGTTAGAATTTAAAAAATTGCTAGATACAGTCATCATACACAAAGTAAACGTTTCTGTAGAGCAGCAATAACCAATTATAAAACGTAATTAAAAAAACAGACCATTCTCAATAACTAAACTACTGAGTACCCAGAGATAATTTAATAAGATGTAAGAAATTTTACGGAGAAAATCACAAAATGTAATCGAAGGGCACAAAAAAATAGCTGAATAAATAAAGAGATTCGACATTCAGGTGAAAAGTTTCAATAGCATAAAGATAGTGATTCTTCTCAAATTAGTGTTTTAATTAAATGTAATTTCTGTCACAATCCTAATAGGATTTTTGTGAAAGTTGACAGAATAATTCCTATATTCACAGGTAAATATATAAGACGTTATGAGCACAGGGATTAGTAACTCTTTTATTCACTGATTTACCTCCAAGCACATGAAAAGAAGTGCATGACATACACTAGTTGCTCAATAAATATTTGTGAAATAAATGAATGGATACCCAAGAGTGCAAGGTAAATTCTGATGCAGAACCAGACTTATGCCACTAGTTATTAGGTCTTATTATAAAGCCATAGAAATTAAGAGGGTATAGTATTAGTGTAGAGATAGACAAATGAATCAGTGGAAAGGATGGAGAATTCACAAACAGAGGGAAATAAATGTAGAAATTTGCAATTCAAAGGTGCTGAGACAATTGGTTTTCCATATAAAAAATATAAAAGCTCATTCCTAATTCATACCTTACATTATGAACCTAGATATTTCATGACCTAATTGTGAAAAAATATTAAATATTAAATTATAGAGGAATAATTTTATGACCTCAAGGAAGAGAAAGATTTATTAAATAAGATATTTAAAAAACCCCAGAAATCAGGTGAAAAAATGGCAAAATTGACTATATAGAAGTTAGAACCTTCTGAATCACAAAAGAAAAAAGTTAAAAGAAAAGCCAGAAAAAGAGATAAATGATTTTCGAAATATGTATAAAGCAAATAATTAGTATCCTGCATATATAAAGAACTCATGCACATTGATAATAAACTCAATTTTTAAAACCAGGTCAACAATATGATCAGGCAATTTACTGAAAAGAAAGCCTGAATATCCAGTTGAAGTCTACTTCTTAATTTCCAAATATCTGAGGATCTCGTATTTAACTTCTTGTGAGTTTTAGCTTTATTTTTCTGTTGTCAGAGAACGTATTATGTGTGATTTCAGTTATTAGAAATGTACTGGGGTGTAATTTGCTCAGAATGAATGACTAATTGCACCGCTTAGATCAGGATATTCCTTATATTTTAGTAACTCAGTGAATATTTGTTGAGAGAATTAATGCAAACACTCAAAATCATTGATCTCCTTAACACCCTTTCTCAGGACATTGTTTTTTGATAAGACAAGAAATAAAATTTAAAAATCTGCTGCGAAGATGAAAAATTATTAACATTTGTTCATTTTAGGTGGTATTTGGTATTTGTTATCTTTAACTTTTTTGGCATTTTTTGGTATTTATATTTCTAGTACTTACTTTTTAAGTGAATTTGCTATTTAATGGATAAGTCAGATCAACTGAGTAAACATTCCTTAGCATTTTGAAATAAAAGCAAATATGGCTGATGTAATCAGCTGTAAGGAAGAGCACTATCATTGTGTTGGAAATTACCTTGATGCAGTGATAGTCTTCCAGTACTCTAGTGGGTGAATGACCCCAGAGGCCATGCACTGAAAAGGCTTGAAAACCAAATTAAGACATTCAAATTACACTTCTTAAAACATATAGCAAGAAGCAAGAGGAAATAGATGGGGTATGTTAACAAGGTTAGGATAGGTGCAAGTGAGACTGAAGGACCATGCTGTTTGAGTCTTGTGTTATACAGTGGGCATACGCCATGTCTCTCTAGGCGACCACCTCCTCTTATGAGGACCAGAGTCAAAGCTGGGCCAGGGATTGCCTAGGGCTAAAGCACTCCCTTGGAGAAACGCAGGGCAACGGTGCTGACCAATAGCTGGAACTTGCCACTCAGTTTAACAAAAAGCACTGGGTTTCATTTTCTTCAGTGTTGGGCAGAGAACACTTGGGGCCAGAAGGAGTGTCACCAAAGAGTGAGCATGGTGTTAACCACTAGAGAAGAGTATCCACAATGTTATAGAAGAGTTGCTTCTCATTTGCAGCAAGTTTCAGATAGTATTTCAATTTTTAAAATTGCATGAAAGATGTTAAAATAATGGAATACCCAACTAGTAAGTCAGGTTTAACCAGGTACATCCTGATGTTGTGCAGTCTCCTTATTGCATCTAAGGAAATTTTGATAATCTTACTTACGCCCCCTTTAAAGGTGCAAAAAGATGGAAAAGATGAATTACAGAAGGCTGTTTCACTAATTAGCTATATATCTTTGCGGCATGGAAGAAAAATTTTAATGTTGCAAGTAATCTTTCACACTCTCATGGGGAAAGCTTATCGAAGTCCAAAACCACGTTGGTAGAGCACAGTGAAGGCCGGTTTATTCAGTCTCCTCATTATGCTTTGGAGCAATAATAAAACCTACTAAGCAAAAATGCTGATGGGATATGGGTTTCTTTACTGTCATAAGGCAAGCAGCACATCAACTTTCATTGTTGGAATGTGAGGCCATTCTTGATGTTTATCCCTTTTTACACAAGCAAATCATATAAATTCACAATCACAAAGCCTCCTTTTCCCACACAGTGCACCTTGATTCTGGTATCGGAAAAATATGATTATGATAAGAAGAAAAAGACTTGCCCCAAAGAAGATTTAAAGATAAGCACACTCCATAATCCTTAGAGTTACTGCAAAACATGCCTTCCATGCATCTACCCCACCACCAAAGCCTGCCTGATACCCCGGCATCATACAATTCACTTGATCTGCCTCTTTCCAAAACCTTTGATAGCTATAGGTAGGGTATGTGGTGGGCTAGTGGAGGGGAGAGCAAAGTGAGGGAACCTCTATGGCTTCCTTCTGCTCCTTTCCCTTAAGAAGTGATATAGCTAGTAAGAAAATTGGTCCTGATGCTAAATTTAATGTGCATTCCTTATAAGAAGGGCTCCTAAGGCATCAGAGAGATGTATGCATGTTCCCTGTTATACTAATCCATGTGTTCAACAGTCCATTTCAATGATGGGAGAGTAATACATTCTGAGAAGCATTTCCTGACAAGTGGAAAAAGATGGAGGCCACAAGATATTATGAACTGAATGCCTGCATCCTTCCACAATTCATATGTTGAAATCCTAACCCCCAATGGGATGGGATTAGGAGGTGGGCTTTGAGAGGTGATTGTGTCATGAGGGTGGAGCCCTCATGAATGAGGTTGTTAGTGCCCTTATAAAAGCGACCCCAGAGAGCTCTCTTGACCTCTTTCTGCCATGTGAAGATACCATGAGAAACCAGCAGCCCTCAACCTGGAAGAGGTCCGTCAACAGAAACCCACCATGCTGGCACCCTGATCTTTGACTTCCAGCCTCCAGAACTGTGAACAATGAATGGTTGTTGTCTATAAGCTACCCAGTCTGTGTGCCTTGTTATAGCAGCCCGGACTGACTAAGACACAGGATACTACAGAAATGCTCTATGATCTATTGTAATGCTGTTTGCATGCTCAAGCTTATGTTTCGTTTTTGTTTTAGCCAATCAGAAATAAGGAGGAATTCCTACAATGTTACAGTGCAAAGACAGAAGAACTTTATATTCCAAAGGTTATGAAGCATCAATGTGCTCAAATACCTATGGAATTTCAACTGTCCCTATTCTTATGGAAGCCCAGTGCCACGTAAATATGTATGGATTTGTCCTATAATGCTGCTTATCAGAGTTTTAAGAAAAACCATGCAAAATTGAATTGTATTTTCTTAGCTAATCATGTTATACTGATTTTAAAATATATTAGTCTATACCAATGGGCAGCAAACATTTTTTATAAAAGACAGTATTTTGGGCTTTGTGAGCCATATGATCTTGTCATAACTACTCAACTCTGATTTTCTGTAGTGTGGAAGTTGCCATAGACAATATGCTTTAAAAACATGAGCAGGACTGTGTTCCAATAAAATATTATTTACAGAAGCAGGTGGTGAGCCAGATTTGGTCTACGGGCCTTAGCATGCTGATCTCTGGTTTATACAATAGTTGTAACCAAGACTCTTTTTTTTTTTTTTTTTTTTTTGAGATGAAGTCTTGCTCTGTCACCAGGCTGTAGTGCTTTGGTGCGATCTCGGCTCACTGCAACCTCCGCCTCCCAGGTTCAAGAGATTCTCCTGCCTCAGCCTCCTGAGTAGCTGGGACTACAGGTGTGTACCACTATGCCCAGCTAATTTTTGTATTTTTTAGTAGAGACAGGGTTTCACCATCTTGGCCAGGATGGTCTCGATCTCTTGACCTTGTGATCCGCCCACCTCAGCCTCCCAAAGTGCTGGGATTACAGGGGTGAGCCACCATGCCTGGCCATAACCCAGACTCTTAACATAGACAAAGGAGGCTCTGCATAGCCATAGGCCAGGTGCAATGCATTATCTGCTCAGGGTTAGCTTTGCCACTAAACAAGCTGACTCTTAATCATGCTTCTGGTCCAGCTTCAGATGTGTACCTTAGAGCCTAGGAGGAAGATGCTCTTCTATTTGAGTCTTTGCGTGTTTGTTCAGAACATAGGAATCCACTGGGCTAACTGCTCATAATCCATTAGTGCTATGGTCTGAATGTTGATATCTCTTACAAATTCATAGTTTGGAACCTAATACCCAATATGATAATATTAAAAGGTGGGGCCTTTTGGGAAGTGATTAAATCATGAGGACTCTCCACTTGTGAATGGGATTAGTGTCCTAATAAAAGAGGTTGAAGGGAGTTGCCTTCCCGCTTCCACTATGTGAAAACACAGCAACAAGAAGCCATCTATTAAGCAGAGACCGTGCACTTACTACATGTTGCATCTGCGGGTGCCTTGATCTTGGACTTCTCAGTCTCCAGAACTGTGAACAGTAATTTTGTTATTTATAAATTATCCAGTCTAAGGTATTTTGTTTTAGCAGTCTGAACAGTCTGAGACAATGAGGTATAGTGGGGACACTGTAAATCTGGCTTTCATTTGAGTTCTGGCTCAGCAACTTATGAAATATCATAAGTTGAACAAATGTATCTCTCCAAGCCTACTTTCTTTTCTTAAAAATGTTTATAAAAATATTTCTGGGAGAATCTTATTATATAAAAATATTTCTGGGAGGTTAGAATTAGAAATGACAAGAATGGGTGCAGTGGCTCACGCTGGTAATCCCAGCACTTTGGGAGGTGGAGGTGGGTGGATCACTTGAGGCCAGGAGTTTGAGACCAGCCTGGCCAACATGGTGAAACCCCATCTCTACTAAAAATATAAAAATTATCCAGGTGTGGTGGTGCACACCTGTAAACCCAGCTACTTGGGAGGCTGAGGCAAGAGAATTGTCTGAACCCGGGAGGCAGAGGTTGCAGTGAGCTGAGATCGCACTGCTGCACTCCAGCTTGAACAACAGAGTGAGACTGTCCCAAAAAAAAAAAAAAAAAGGAATTAGAAATGACATACCAAAAAGGTAACATACTGTAGGAACAATTGTAAGAGCACAGTTTCACCAAGTTCACCCAGATATCTTAAATACATGTTCCATGGTAGTTCACTCACATTTTCATAATGCCTTCTAGATAACAGTGACTAAACTTGTTGGAATAAAAACCAATATGATTATGCTCTTAAATTGCAACTCCAAATGAGAAAAAAAATACATCTTTTATGGATGCAATTGTGGATCCCTAACAGAACTTCTTCCTTGTGGAATTAATATTAGAAAAATACTGTATAAAACTTCAAGGGAGGAAAAAAATTAAAAACTTTTAAAGCAGAAAAGATGCAAATTCCTTGAGGACTTGTACACCTGAATTAGAGATTGTTACTGAAAGCATCCAATAAATATTTTCCAGGTGAAAAGCAAATAAAATGAAAGGCTGTCAATAAATAAAAATCCATTTACATGAGTATGGGGCAATACAGGTAGCAGGATTCGGCTAGCGATTCTCTGAAAATGTAAAACAGTGAGCATAGACATCCTTGGCAATTTGTAGGTCTCATTCAAGCCCAAATCACCCTGAGTTTTGTAAGTAAACTGGTGCAGCTGCCAGCAGGTGAGCTGGTGACTGTGTAACACACTGGCAGAGAATCATGCATGTTACAGAACATGATGTTAGGTGGGTTGAACCAAGGACAGATGCTTTGCAACAAGCTTTTCACAATTTAGAAAGGAAATCGTTCATAGGTATAAAAGAAGGCAACTATAAGATTCTGTTATGAAATTTGTATCTCTAATTTTAAAACAAAAAAAACGCAAAATAGACTGAGCAAGTTTTCTGGTAAATAGGAAAAGTTAATATTTAGAAAACTGTTTCATCAAATTATCTTAAATCCACAAATAGAGGTCTCCTTGTCTTCTTTAAAGACTGGTTTGCTTTTACTTACTTACTTGTATGTGTTTGCTGAACTCTGTCCCTGTCACTGCATTTCTAACAGTGAATTAACAAGAATGTTGCTATTTGGACTCCATTCTGCCCAAGACATTTGCTCAGGATGCTGCTTCTAAAGTTTCCTTCATTGTCATCAGATGTTCTATATCTAAAGCAGTGTTTCTCCATCTGGGGTCCTCGGATGCTTGAAGGTGTATTCTTTCAGGTCTGGGAGAACTCTATAACAATATTGTAGCTTTGAGTTTTTATTTTGATAATAATCAACTGTACTATAAAATCAAAATAGTTTAAAAAGAGAAAAATGGTGGAAGAATTGGATTATCACATAGGGCATGGTAGGCATTATAGGCCAAACTTAAAACAAAAAGTCTGTGTTGTGGCAATTAGCATATCAGCATATTTTCTTTCTTTCTTTCCTTTTTTTCTTTTCTTTTCTTTTTCTTTTTTTTTTTTTTTGAGACAGAGTCTCTCTCTGTTGCCCAGGCCGGAGTGCAATGGCGTGATCTTGGCTCACTGCAGCCTCTGCCTCCCGGATTCAAGTGATTCTCCTGCCTCAGCCTCCCGAGTATCTGGGAATACAGATGCCCGCCACCATGTCTGGCTGATTTTGTATTTTTAGTAGAGACAGGCTTTTGCCATGTTGGCCAGGCTGGTCTCAAACTCCTGACCTCAGGTGATCCACCTGCCTCGGCCTCTTAAAGTGCTGGAACTTGAGCCACCATGCCTGGCCGGCAATCAGCATATTTTCATATCACAAGTTTGCAATGGCGTTTTAGCAAAATAACATCACACTTTAATGTTGTTAAGTGAAATTTCATTATTTTGTATTATACTTGATTTATAACAAGATCATAGGCATTAAGAAGTTATGCCTAATTTTATGTTTGCATATTTTAAGTAACATTAATAAACAAGGTTATATATCAAAATTTAATGATATGGTTTTCCTTTTAGAAGAGGCCTCTACATATCTAAGCTTGAAAAGTACTAATCTAAATTCTCTTCAACAAGCTGGTGTATTTTCCATTAAAGAGTACCGTGATAAAGTTAGTCAAAAAGTATGCCTGCTATGGAAGTTTCTCAAAAAAATTGAAAAGAACTACCATATGAGCCAGCAATCCCACTTTTGTATATATGTCCAAGAGAATTGATGTCAAGATCTTGAAGAAATGTCTGCACTCCCATGTCCACTGCAGCATTACTCACAGTAGCCAAGATACAGAAACAATTTAAATGTCGTTCGAAAGACAAATGGATAAAGAAAATGTGGCACATACATATAATAGAGTATTATCCAGCCTTTGAAAAGAGGAAAATCCTGCCATTCGTGACAACGTGGATAAATTTAGAGGACATTATGTTGAGTGAAATAAGCCAGACACAGAAGGACAAATACTACATGATAATACACATATGGGGAATCCAGAACATTTGAACTCATGGTAGCAGAGAGTAGAATGGTTGGTTGCTGTGGCTGGGGGGAGGGAGAAGGAGAGGTATTGGTCCAAGTGTACAAAGTTTCTGTTATGCAAATGAATAAGTGCTAGAGATCTACTGAGTGACACAGTGACTAGAGTAAGCAATGCTGTATTCCATACTTTAAAATTTGCTAAGATAGTAAATCTTATGTTAAGTGTTCTCATCACACACACAAAGTAATAATCACAAATAAAGAGGGCTGGGGGAACTTTTTGGAGGTGATGGATAAATTTATGGCATATATTGAAGTGATGGTTTAATGGGTGTGTCCTCATCTCCAACTCAGGTTGTATACATTAAATATGTATGGCTGTTTGTGTAACAATCAGTAAAGTGGTTAAAAAAAAAAAAAAAGAAAACCTACCTGTCTAGATCCTAAGAAGGGGCTACTTACTGGATAATTTGGTCACGTGATGCTATGGTCTATTAAGGGATCCATGTCATAGGGTCTTCACTCCTGGGAGACCCAAGGAGTAAAAAGCCAAAGTAACATTTGGCAGCTCTTTCTAGGTGCCCTGTGGCTCCAGCCCCCTGCTTCCCACATGCAGCATCTTCATCACTCTGGATCTATCTTAATTTCCTGTCTTCCTCGGCTCAGTGGTTTCTGATCTTTTGTGTATGAGGTCTTTTCTTCAAGGTTAAAACATTACACCCACTAATCAAAAGATCATTGTACTTTCAGTGGAGAAAATATATAATGACAAAAATACCATAAATTCAATAATGCTATTAAATACATTTTAGAATTTTAATCATCATAATAGCACTTGTATGTTTTAAAAAAATGGCCTTATATACATGAATATTTCTCATTCTGCCTCCTCAGAAGGCTTACTCTACATATGGATGGAAAGACCTCTTGAAATAACTCGTGGCCCACCAAGGGCCCAAGGCCCACAGGTTGGAATTGCTGTTGTAGCTGTTTACAATGTCAGCATAGAAAACAAATTCCCTCCAAGGCAGACAATCACCGTGGTGCTTCTTGACATCAGTAACAGCTACAAGAAGGCGGCACCATCAGATAGTGGGATAATTGACCTGGAAATGACTTATATTAAGTCACCTGAATTGTGCTTACGTGTATGTGTGTATGTATGTGTGCGTATGTACGTACATATGTCAGACGTATATACTATATATGCTAATATATGTATACATATGTTAGATATATATTATGTATCATATGTACATATGTTAAATTAATACATATAAATATATATCTATATACACACACACATAGATTCTACCATTCATTTGCAGGCCTGAAACAGAGAAATTTTTTGGCATGATTTTGGCAGATTTCCTTGTTTGTGAAACAGACACTAAAAGAGAGGACTTCAGGAAGCAGAAAACAAATTATTCATTTTTTAAAACCTCTTGCCCTTCCCAATGTTGCTACCTTGTAATGTACAAGAAACAAAACTCAGAGTGGTGACACGATATCCTTAAAAAAAAGCTCCTGGTGCTAGAAAATTGGGCAGCCAATTTTAGCAAGTGGCTGAATTCCAGAGCGTTGACTGTTGTCTACTGAAAGAGTAAAAATGTTATCACCTGTGTAAGCACTGCTGACCGATGTATATTCAAAAGCAAATTCAAACAGTTGCACCCACTTCTCAGGCATCAGGGAAATCAGATGAAACTAGTGTCTCAGAGATATGATATCAATGGAAACTTTTTCTTTCTCTCTCTTTTTTTCTTTCTCTCTCTTTTTTTCTTTTTTTCCTTTTTTTCCCAGTGGAGTAGGAGAGGGAAGGAAGAATTGCATTAAAATGTAATGTTTGTCAATGACTGTGATTTAAAAAAAAAAAAAAAAAGGAGAAGAAGCAGCAGGAAGAAAGGGAAAACTTCCCAGCCCACTGCTAGCTAAGGTGTGCAGCTATCTGAATATATTGGTAATGCGAGGGGCTGATTAGTCTGGAAGGCTGCCTACAGGTTAGCAGGCCTCATTTCAAATCTCTGACAGCAATATGTGCCGTTTCATGCTTCATCCTCATTCCCCATGTTCAACACAAACCGGGGTCACTCTATATATGGAAATCACTGTCTTCAGGGCGAAAAAATTAAAAAAGGTGAGATTGCCGCTTTAACCTCACTGGCCTCAGAAAATATGTTTTAGTCTGATACATTATACTAGTAGGAATTATTTATCAAGAAGATACAAGCTTGATATTTCAGAAATAATGAGATGTTCTGGTTTTGCAGCTGAAATTTTATGGTCCACAGAGCATCAGCTATGAATCCAGGGGAATGAAGTAAACTTGCAATGAATGATATACACCAAGCAGCCAAAGAAAAATGGCTGTGGAAAGGGTAATATGAAAGTTATAACACAGTACAAAGCTTTCTAGAGCTAAAGTTCCTTTGTTGCTAAGAGAGGAAATATATTTTAAGGAATGATAAAAAGAATCCACACATAAAAATCTCTCAGACTTTCCTTCCCGGTATTTTATTTGGCAAAGGACCTATGGGGTGAGAAAACTGTACTAAACATTACAGTCAGTCTATGGTTTACATGAAATATTTAAAAATTCACAGCAAAATAATCTGAAAAGTCTCATGACCTGTCACCGTTGTGGAGCATCCTGACATTAATGTGGCAGCTGGAAGAAGAAAAAAAAATGAATAAACACACGATATTGCTTTTTGGAAATGTAGATTTTGCTTACATTTTTCTTGACCAAATTGCCATAGTGATAAAAGGCCATTTGCCTTACATTTCCAGGACTTTAAAAGAATGCCCAGGAAATGCCAGGAAAATACTAACCTAGAAAAGTGACAAGCCGCTTTCCACCACCATACTTTGGTGTGTATTGTCCTTAGCTGGTCCTTCTCCAGCCCACAGCTGAATTCTGATCTTTCCCTGTTCTAGATCCACTTCCTAAGATCTTTGAGACCTATCACAGTTCCACATCACACAAAGTCAGGCCTGGCTGCACCCCAAGGAGCAGCAATTTGAAATCATCCACTGGTGATTCCAGTCCCCCTTGGGATATTTAGCCAACAAGTCTAATCATGAGGACTCTTCATTAGAGCACACAGCTTTGAAAAGCATGCTTCCCAGTACAGAATATTAGAAAATCAACATCAATAATTTAAAACCCTTTGCAAACATGATTACCCAAAGTGGTAGGCTTAAATCAACCTCCTGCAGACCTGTGTGCATTTTCACTGTCAGTCAAGGTCACCAAAAAGCATTAATTAAATACTTGAGGGCAAGAGGTGCTGTGTTAGGCTGTGTGCTGGGTATCAAGCAAATAGAATAATTTCCGTCCACATTTTCTCTGCTGACAAATGGAGATAACAACACTTACTTCACAGGGTTGTTCTGAGAATGAAATAATTTAATACATGCAGAGCACTCAGGATAGGGCCTGACACATTTTGTGCAATAGGGTAAAAAGCCTTGTTAAGTGTTGTCATAACACATGACAAAGATGGCTCTTTGATGCCAATATCTATTATTGCTTAGTAATAGAATACCTGATTTTCAACCGACCACGTGGCCACATGGAATCAGGACTATTTTTCCCAGCTTCTTTTGCAGCTAGATATGGCCATGTGGGGGAACAATAGAAAGTGTTGTGTACAGCTTCTAGGAAGTATTCTTACAGTGTCCCTTACTTCGTCCTGTTGTATAGAATGTGGCTGTTATGGCCGGAGCTCAAGCAGCTATTTTGGACCCTCAGCTACATGCCGAGAAAAGCAGAGCATAGGAGGAGCCTGGGACCAAACTGCCTTACTATCCCTGGACTTTCCATCTTGGGAGTTCTTTCATATTAGAGAAATACATTTCTATTTGTTTTAAGCTACTGTTATTTTAGGTTTGCCTTACCTGCAGCAAAATCAATCCTAAAGGACATATCCCTTTTGAAATTAAATGCCCTCTGAATTTTTTTTTAAGTGGAAAAAAAAAGCTTGCTGAAGAGAGCACTGGAGTCCCAGGCATACCTGCTGTGGCAGATATCTCAAGAAGATAAGGCCATGGCTGAGACAGACACTAATATGTAACATATATAGCAAATATTTAACAGGTCAGGTATTTATAAGTCAAGAAAAAGCCTTGTGTTTCATTTTAACCTTTCTTCAAAAAAAAAAAAAGAAAAACCACTTGGGCGTGGTCCTAACCCTGGGTACAATGAGTGCCAAGTAGAAAGGGATAGCAGCCTTCTAGAAAAATTGAGACAACTTCCACGCCGGAAAATATTGTTCTTAAATATGTGAAGAGGTAGAAGTCTATGGTTTGTAAATGACCTTTATGCAATTTGATTATTACCCAGATACATTTTAATCACAAATTTTTGTCGTGTACTTTGGGTTGCCAGATGATTTTGTTAAAAGAAAAGAACCTTAAGAAATTAAATTTAACAGAGTTTAATTGAGCAAAGAATGATTCACAAATTGGGCAGCCCTCAAACCAGGATAGGTTCAGAAAGACTTCAGTGCAGCGACATGGTGGAAGATTTGTGGATGGAAAAAGAAAAGTGAGTACAGAAAACAGAAGCCAGGTACAGAAACAGCTGACTGGTTACACCTTGGTGTTTGCCTTCTTTGAAGATGGTTTGAACGGTTGGTCACTTTGATTGGCTGAAACTCAATGATTGGCACAAGAGAAGGTTACAGTCTGTTTACACATCCAGTTACATTGCAGTTCACTATGTACGGAGAAACCTTTAGGCCGAGCTTAATATATGTAAGGAGGCAGCTTGAAGCTAAACTTTTTACCAGTTTCCATAAATACACCAGACAAACTTGATTTTAAAATGTAAGCATGTTTTCTATTTTATCATATATGATTTATTTTATACTATCAGGATTTTACTGCTGATCAGTTACATATCTTACATTTTACATTTGATCATATAACTTTTTTGAAAATTTTATTCTTTACAAAAATTATATTTTGCTCCCAGCTACAGACAATGTTGGCTGCTTACCCAATATCCATTCCCTTTCCTTCTTTGCAAACTCCAATTTTGTTCAGGATGATAGATTCCGTTAAGTCAAGTAGTATTCGGCTTCCCCAGGCCCATGAAGATAAGGGTGGCCATGTGACACAGTTTTGCCCAATTAGAAGTGAGTGCATGTCTGATGGGAAGGGGCAGGAAATCTTTTGCTTTCCTGAAAAAAGAAGACAGATGTGACTGACCCTGCCTTAGATGTTAATTTGGTGGCTGGAGCTGCAGGAACCATTTGCCTGAGGAGATGGACAGAAGGACAAAAGCCCACAGGCTAGAGAAGTGGAGTGGAAAGGCAGAAAGAGCCTGGTTTTCTGATACTATCATTGAGGAGATGAATGAACACTCTCAGTTACCTACTTCCACTTCCTTTTCATGGATAAGAACAGCCCTTTACTTGTTTAAGCCAATGTTAGTTGGGTTTTTGTTACTTGCAGTCAAAGACTGATTCCTAAACTGATATAGTCCCAAGCAAATAAAATAAAGAAAAGACCCCCAAAATTCCTTTCTTAATTACTCCACACCCAATATGTTCAAAGATGAAAATTTTTAATGATTTTCGTAAAAGATTTGGAACTTACCACATGTATTTCTACTGCTACCCCCTGGATCCATAAAATCAACGTAAATAATTTTTGTTAAGAAAGTTTGATAATATGTAACGAAGAGAAATTGAAGAGGTTCATAAGTGGATGAGGAAACTGAAAAACATTTCCGGATGAAAGGCAGTGAATGGAGGATTATTGACCAAGACACAAAGCAGAGGTGGACGCACAAAGCAAGCTGCGTAGATCATGCCTGGCTGAGAAGTACTGCCTGTCTACACCGAGCTCCTATCCAGCCTTCCCGTGGCCTAATTCTTAAATATGAATCAAGAATCACCAGGTATCTGAAGAACACCTAACAAACAAAGTTAAGCAAACAGAAAAACTGATCGGGAAAAAAGCGAGGATAATTTTAGGAACAGAAGAAAAAAAAACCCTGAGAAACAAATCCGGGGAAATTCTTGGAAAGATTGAAGAAGGTACTACTCCCAGAAAGTTGAAGTAATGTATCATGAAAATGAATAATTAGAGAACTCTTGAAAATGAAACAGTTGGCCGGGCGCGGTGGCTGACGCCTGTAATCCCAGCACTTTGGGAGGCCGAGGCGGGCGGATCACGAGGTCAGGGTATCGAGACCATCCTGGCTAACATGGTGAAACCCCGTCTCTACTAAAAATACAAAAAAACAAATTAGCCGGGCGTGGTGGTGGGCGCCTGTAGTCCCAGCTACTCGGGAGGCTGAGGCAGGAGAATGGCGTGAACCTGGGAGGCGGAGCTTGCAGTGAGCCGAGATCGCGCCATTGCACTCCAGCCTGGGTGACAGAGTAAGACTCTGTCTCAAACAAAAAAAAAAAAAGAAAGAAACAATTGATTATTTAAATAGAAATATTAATAGGATGCTTGAAGAATATTTGAAAAATAAATAATTGAAGAAAAAAACAGAAGAACACAAACCCTGAGGCAAGAAATATGAGGCCGGGTGTGGTGGCTCACGCCTGTAATCCCAGCACTTTGGGAGGCCAAGGTAGGAGGATCACTTGAGCCCAGGAGTTCAACACCAGCCTGGGCGGAATATAGTGAGACCCCGCCTCTACAAAAAATAAAAAAATTAGCTAGGCATGTTGGTGCATACCTGTAGTCCCAACTATTCCAGAAGCTGACGTGAGAGAATTGCTTGAGCCAAGGAGGCTGAGGCTGCAGTGAGCTGTGATCACACACCTGCACTCAGCCTGAGTAACAGAGTGAAACCCTATCTCAAACAACAAAAGAAATAAATACATACAAAAGAAAGAATAAGAACATAGAGAATCAGTTCAGGTGAGCCAATAAACAGTTAATAAAAGTTCCAAAAATGAAAGTATGGATAATTTGGAAATGAGAAAATTAGCAAAACAGCAACAATAACAACAAAAACATAAAGAAGTTTCCCAGAGCTGAAGGGAGACACAAATCTTCAAATTGAAGGAGATTGCTGAGTACCAAATAGGTTGCATAGAAAAAGTCCACAACTACACAATCATTACAAAATTGCACAATGACATAAAGAATAGCATATATTCAAAACATTTACTGAGAAAAAAATAGATCACTTACAAAAGAATTAAACTATCATCAGACTTCTCATTAGCAATTCTGGATGTTAACAGGCAATGGGTAGTGCCTTCAAATCTCTGAAGAGGAATGCATTTTGATGGATTTCTATGCAGCTGGAGTATTCATCAATCGTGATGGCAGAATAAAGGTACTTTCAGACATATGAAAGATTATAAAGTTTATTTTTCATATACTCTTCTTTGGAAATAATTTAATGATATGTTTTGGTTAAATGAGGAAGTAAACCCAAAGAGGAAAAACATGAGATTCAGGAAACTGTAGATTCAATCCAGAAGAGCAAAGAAAGGAAGGTCTAGGAAGACAACTGTGCAAAAGACCTAGAAAATAATCAGTTCAAACGTATGCAAGTGGGTAGAAGGCTCCCTGTAGGAGGTCTCCAGGAGTGAAGGGATTCCTTTGGATGGACAGAAAAATTAAGATGCTAGAAGAACATGATGATTTACTAAAGATACAGAGTGCATGAGATCAAATGGGGGAATAAAAAGTTCACAGGAGAAAAAAACCAACACAAAAAAAGTGATGGTTCAAATATGAAGTAAATGGTTCTAATTAGCTGTAGACGTCATGAAAAAGAATGAGAGAGATTCTAAGTAACAGACAGAAAGAGAAAAATGCTGAAAGGTATAGAGGTTATTATAAGGAGGCACACGATTCTCCATCAACCAGATAAGACAGTCGATCAGAATCTCATGGAAAATCAAAAAGCTGTGCAAAGCATGCTGTGACTCCAAAGCAAACAGAAATGTGGCAGAATTTTCAATCACTGTTGGAGCGTAATCAAGATGATTCCACTGTAACAACACTCGTTGAGTGGAATTGGGGACATTACCTTAGATCTACAGAGAAGAAAATATAATATGAGACATGTTCTATCATGACACTTGAATCTGTAGTAAATAATGTTAACACGCTAACTTAAACATAACAACAACATGGCATTGGAGAGAAGGATAAAGGAGCCAATATCCTTACTTTACAAAGTTGGGGGTTAAGATGTACTGCATCCAGTTGACAGAATGAGCAATAGATGTTTAAGCATCTTCATTAACTTACCAAGGTATACTAATAGAAGTAAAGCCTAATGGTATAAATATATGAAGATGAGGGGTATAAATGAAGCCACATATCCTTGAGAAGTAAAGAAATGGAGGTGACGTGTTTCATTTAGGGATATTGACATAACCACTGGAAGTACTAAGATATTGTTTGTAATAGTTATCTCTAGGGAGGTGGCTGTGGATGGGAGGGTTGGACAAGGAACTATTCTTTCCACTATAAGTTCTTCGCACTATTTGATTTTTTAGTCATATGCATATATTACTTTTATTTTAATTAAGATCCTTTCCACATAGAAATTTGCCACAGGAGTTGAAATAGATTATCAAGTCAATTTAAGTGAACTTAAAGCAATAGATTATTTGCCGTAAAAATATTTTCATTTATTGAGGGTGTTTCCCCAAGGGAAATGAATATTATATCAAAGAAATCAACTCTTCATAAAGAATATTTTTCAAATGCAACAATATCCAATTTTTAATTACTTTATTTTAAAAAGGAGATTTTTCATGGTTAGTTGAATTCAAAGCACTCAGAGTGCAATTTGGAGAATTTTCAAAAGGAAACCATTTCTTTAGATATTTGGGCCTTGTATACATTATTGTATACATAGTATATACATAATGTTTCAGAGGCAAAGCTGTTGACCAAAAGATTGCTGTCCTAAAAATCTTTTTTTTTTTTTTTTTTGTGACAAAAATCTCACTCTTGTCCCCCAGGCTGGAGTGCAATGGAACAATCTTGGCTCACTGCAACCTCCGCCTTCCGGGTTCAAGCGATTCTCCTGCCTCAGCCTCCTGAGTAGCTGGGATTACAGGCACCTGCCACCACGCCTGGCTAATATTTTTGTATTTTTAGTAGAGACGGGGTTTCACCATGTTGGCCAGGCTGGTCTTGAACTCCTGACCTCAGGTGATCTGCCTGCCTCGGCCTCCCAAAGTGCTGGGATAACAGGCATGAGCCACCTTGCCCAGCAGGTCTCCTAAAAATCTAAATATACTTTTAAGTATCACAGAACTAAATTATCTTTAAGTAATTATTGTTTTAAGGCAATCGGCCGTGTGTGAGTTTAAATTTCCAAAAGCTCCTTGCTTTGAAAGAGTGTGGAAAGAGACAGACTTGTCCGTAGAATTATCTTCCCAGCAGCTTTCCAACCTTACCACCTGGCAAGCTCCAGTCATATTTCAGGACTCAACTCACATAATCTTCTCAATGTCATAATCCCTTTGTGTTCTCACTTGTACCCTACACATACATCTGTCACTGCATTGTTTATATGTTTACTCCCACCTGGAAGTAGGCAGCAGGTGCTTCATATCCAGCTTTGTATCTTCTAGTGTCTAGTGCAAGGCCTGTCACCAGATAGCAGCCCTATGAATGGTTTTTACATGAACAGATGAACCCTCTGTCCTGCCCAGATCTGTTTTTGGTTTGTTTTGCATGTATTAAATGCATTGGTTCATTTAGGAAAAAAAAGATGATCAGAAAAGTATATAGAAAATAATACAGATTTTTTTAAGTGGAAAGAAAAGAGAAACGTAAAATTGGCGACTACTGGAGTAGCATAGAGACTATTTTCACACACGCTTCCATTTCCTATTTCCTTCTCTCTGTTATTTTCTTTCTTATCTCCCTCCTAATTCCAAAACAAAGGATCTGAAGTGATGCGCAATACAACATATACAAATGTAGATCAGAAGGAGCATAAGTTCCAAGATAATTGTAGCCCACCCAGGAAAGATGTTCTTCTGTTTTACAATTATTGATCCCCTATGTGCCAGGCAATGTGCTTGGCATCAAGGATGAAAAGGAGATATCACCCTGATCACATGGAGATTAGGTTATAGTGGAATAAAATTGTTTCTCTAATTGAACAGCAAATTTGATTCTGAGATTTCAAAAGAGGAAACACTAGGATAAGTTGTTTTCATTTTGTGTCATAAAATATTTCAGGAAAGACACTATATTACTCTTAGACACATACATCAAGATTAAGTGAGAGAATGATATGACATGAAAGTGCAAATAAATGTTAGCTATTACATAAGAGACATTAAGTAATGTTTCAGTGGTGACTTTGCTGAGGACACTGAAATATGCATGATGCGGACCCAATGTCTGAGCACAATATAAACCTCCTAGAGCTTTCTACTTTAAGTGCCCATTCTATGGGATTGGTAGAGGCCTAATTCCAGTCCGTTGGAATTTCCTCTCTTTTTCAAGGGCTTAAAATAGAAATTGAGTTTCTAGAGAAAATAAAATTAAATTAAATGTGTTGCATTCCTAAGTTTGTGGACTGAGTCATCCTAATACATGGGGGTAGGGGGGAGGGGGCAGTCATCTGGAATTGCTGAGGATCCCTGTGCAGTATTGTAGCTATCTGCACTGTGGACTGATTACAAACCCTAGGATTAGAGCTGAGTCATTTGAGCAGTGGCCCTGCAGTGAAGAATTGGAGAGCAGAGATGATGTGGACTCTTGGAACTCACTTTCAGTGAACAGTTTTGACACTGAATTTGCAAGAAAACCAAGGAAGCTTTAAATTCTCTGGTTAGACACAATGTAGTCAGTAGAAGAAAAGAGTACTGTAAGTGTTAAACCTTGCTAGAGTTTGGTGATAACATTAAATGCACTGATTCCAAGGAGTATGTATATCCAGAAATGAGCAATATCAATATAATGGAACTGACTCCATCTTTTGCTTGGCTGCTGACAGATTGCCCAGTCTAGGCCAGGCTTGGTGGCTCATGCCTGTAATTCCAGCATTTTGGGAGGCCAAGGTGGAAGGATTGCTTGAGCCTAGGAGTTTGAGATTGCTTGAGCCTAGGAGTTTGAGATCAACTTGGTCAACATAATGAGACCCCATGTCTACAAAAAAAATTAGCCAGGTATGGTAACACAATGCCTGTAGTCCCAACTACTCTGGAGGGCTGAGTTTGAGAGGATCACTTGAGCCCAGGAAGTGGAGGCTGCAGTGAGCTATAATCATGCCAGTGCACTTCAGCCTGGGTGAAGTGTTCAAACAACAACAGCTACTAAAAAGAGCATCTCAATCCTTCTTCTTTCTCTCTGTCTCACACCTGGCAAAGCTGATAACAAAGTAGGGGTGAACTTTCATTTGGGTGCTGGTAAAAAGTTTAAACCAAATGTAGAATCTTCACTCTGGTCCCACCTTCTAACTGCTATGAAAAAACCTCCAGCCAGTCTCTTTTCCTGCTCTCTGAAGAACTCCTGAACTACTACTGGGGCTGAAAGGAAAAAAGAAACAACAACAGCGAAACAAAACTTAATCCAATGAACAAATGAACAAGAGAAGATGCGGCGGCGGGAGAAGCAAGAAATATACCTAAAAGAAAATATAAAATAAGGTGGCATGAGTAAACCAAAATATATCAGAAATTACAATAAATATGAATGAATTGTTTTTGTTTTAATCAAAAGGAGATTTTAGAGTGAGTTAAAAAAATAATTCTTCTCTATGTTATTTATAAGAAATATGTCTTTTTAAACACCACATGGAGGAGTTGAAAATAGAAATATGCACAGCAAATGGGAAGAAAAATGAAGTGGTATATCAGTATATCACACAAAATTGAATTAAGTGCAAAGACACTGAGTAGAACACAGAATGTTTCATGTTATATGTACAATACACCAAAACATGGAATGACCTTGAATCTTTTTTGCACCACACAACATAGCTGCAAAACATATAAAGCAAAAACTGTTAATACACTGGGTAAAAATGACAAATTCATAATCATTATGTGATTTTTCTGAGAAAATCTATTTATGACCTGAATATAAGACCCAGACTTTGTCTTACATAGGGTTTTGGGAAGAATGGAGATGCTAAGGTATTGGTGGATTTTTCCCAAAGTGGGAATGTTCAGGAAGTGCTTGCCCTTTATCTGTAGAAGTGTGGATACTCCAGCAAGACTTGCTGATTGGTTGATATGAAATGAGCTGATTAGGGTGAAGCTGTTACTGTTTGGCTGACTTTCTTTTTTTTTATGTTTTTGTTTTGAGATGGAGTCTCACTCTGTCACCCGGGCTGGAGTGCAGTGGCATGATCTTGGCTCACTGCAACCTCTGCCTCCCAGGTTCAAGCGATTCTTCTGTCTCAGTCTCCCTAGTAGCTGGGATTACAGGCGTGTGCCACCATGCCTGGCTAATTTTTGTATTTTTAGTAGGGACGGGGTTTCACCATGTTGGCCAGGCTGGTCTTCAACTCCTGACCTCGTGATCCACCCACTTTGGCCTCCCAAAGTGTTGGGATTACAGGCGTGAGCCACCGTGCCAGGCCCTTGGCTGACTTTCAGAAGCCACTTTACTGATGCAAAATTGTCAGCAACCAATTAGGCATGTACAAACCCAGTTCTTGTATTTATTTGCTTCTCTAGCCAAAGAACAATCAATGCTTTCCTACAAAGAAACTTTTATTCTCAGAATCCTGCCTTCAAGGAGCCCATAGTGTAGTAGTGGGGATAAGAGAATATACAAGTAACTGCCATACAAAATAAAGCATTCTGTAATGAATGCTGGAATGGAAGTCCAGAGATCTCGGTTTAAATTGCTGCTGTGTGACCTTGGGTCAGTCAATGAACACTTCCCGATTTCAGTTTCCAGAAACTGAAATAATAAGCCCTGGTCACTTCACAGTGATGGATGGACATATAATGAATTACTGTAATATGTAAAAATACTTGGCAAATTGGTACCAAGTTAAAAAAAAAAAAAGACATTATCATTATCCACTGAAAGGAGACACAATCCGAAACTATTTTTTTTCTTTTTTTGTGACGGAGTCTTGCTTTTGTCACCCAGACTGGAGTGCAATGGTGCAATCTCGGCTCACTGCAACCTCCGCCTCCCGAGTTCAAGCGATTCTCCTGCCTCAGCCTCCCAAGTAGCTGGGATTACAGGCGCCTGCCACCACGCTGGGCTAATGTTTGTATTTTCAGTAGAGACCGGGTTTCACTATGTTGGCCAGGCTAGTCTCGAATTCCTGACCTCAGATGATCCATCTGCCTCAGTCTCTCAAAGTGCTGACATTACAGGCATGAGCCACTGTGCCCGTAATCCAATCAGAAACTTTTGAGATTAAGAGCAAAAAATCATTGCACCCCGAAATTTGGAAGAGGGAAAGTTGGGCTCAGGGAAGAGGTCATATTTGTACGAGCCTTGAAAAATGGCCTCATGTTATAAAGGAGCCCAACACAGAGAGGACTAATGTAAAGACCTTCATAGTAAGTGCAAAGGCATGATGTGGAAAAAAGACAGAATCGACAAATGGTATGGTTTGGTTGAAATGTAGGAAAATATAAGAGAAGTAATAGGAAACAAAGCTGTGAAAATTATGTGGAAATTAACCTAGAATATTAGACTATAGGCTTAGACTTTGTTCAATAGAAATGTACAGTTCCTGGAGGGTTTTGAACCAGATTTTTCTAGACATGTGTCTTGGCAAGACAAATCTGATCTGGTAAATGACTGCAGAATAAATTGGAGGGCTGAGGCTGGTGGTAGAGTGGCAGACAGAAGGCTTTTGCTAGTAAATCTCAGGAAGGCATCATTGACGCCTTAAGGGAGGTGACATTATGAAAATAGAAGGGGATAGCAACAGAGAGAACAGTGCGAGGGCAGTGCCAGCAGAGTATGATTAAATCTGATTGCAAGAGTCAAGATGAGTCTGAGATTTCAAGCACCACTGACTAGAGAAGAGATATGGGAAGTCAGAAGGAGGAGATGATTTGGAGAAGGTGATGACAGATTTTTTTTTTTTTTTTGGACATGAAAAGTTTGGGAGACATGCAGGGACCGTGGAACTATCATGTCTAGAGCTTGGGAGTGAGATCCAGCTAGTGTGTGTTTGGGGGGTGGGGGGCGGGGGGTGCTTAGGAGTCATTCATACTAAATTGACAGTTGAGTAACAGGAGTAAATGCTGCATAAGCAGACAGCTTAAGACAGAATCTTGGGAACTATGTTTAGTGGGTAGGAAAAGAAAGTGGAATCATAAAAACAGAGGGGAGAAACTTTAGGAATGTAAGAGGATACGCAGGAAAGTGTACCTTAGGTAAAACCTAGAAACAATTTAGTTTCAGGAAACAGTAAGAAGTCAGTTATGCCAAGGCTGCACTGAGGTAGAGTAATGTGAATTCTTAGAAGTCATTGGATTTGAAAAGAAGGCAATCTTCATAAAAGTTTCTAGAGCCCAACTGCACATCTGAGGAGTAGCAAGGAAAAATAAATGTGCATGTAGGATATCTTTTAAAGGCATTTAGCAGCAATAGTAGAGTTGAAATAGAATGGAAGTGTCAGAAGAGAGATTTTTAGAATTATTAATAAGCAGGCAGAGAGGAAAGGGCAGGGAAAAGGGAAAGATTGAAGATGCTGAAAAGAGAACACAAAATTGATAAAGCAAATTTCCAGAGGGAGTAGATGTGTCATGTTCTAAAGGAGAAAAGGCACTTCTTCCCCAGAAAAAGAAGAGAATGAAGGGAAACATTTGTGATGGTATAGACAGAAAAGTTGAGGTAGAGATGAGGGAAATTAAGGAAATAGTGACTGAGTGGTCTTAATTTCCTCTATACAAGGTGAATTCATGTGGGAAGAGTCATAAGGTGAGCATAAAATTGTAACTTCAGAGAGAAAAAAGCTTGGGTAGGAATGCAATTACAGATTTATTAAGAGACACCTCAAAGGGGTTATCAGCTACCAAGCAAGGATAAAATTGAGTTAACATTTTGTTAACTCTAAATCAGTAAGTAATTTTAAGAGTAGAAGTATTAGTGGTAGGTGACAATACACAGATTGCATTAATTTATCTAAAAACTTTGGTAGAGGAAGGAATCATTTGCATGAGAGCAGGGGAAGTGACAATATAGGGCTAGAAATAGGCAAAGTGGCCCATTAAAAGGTCAAAAGAAAAGGAGGTTTCAGAAAGTGACAAAAAGGAGTGTCTATTGCAGAGACATCATAAGTTAAGCAGGGTATGGATTAGGGGTGAAGGCATTTGGATATTTGTCCCCTCCAAATCTCATGTTGCAATGTGATCCCCAACATTGGAGGTGGGGCCCGGTGGGAGGCCTTTGAGTCATGGGGGCAGATTCTTTAGGAATGCCTTGGTTCCCTCCCTCCACATGGTAATGTGTGAGTTTTCCCTCTGTTCGTTCACATGAGAGCTGGTTTAAAGGAGACTGGCACCTCCTCCTCTCTCTCTTCCTCTTTCTCTCACCATGAAACATGCCTGCTCTCCCACTTTCTGCCATGAGTAAAAGCTCTCTGAGCTTCACCAGAAGCTGAGCAGATGCTAGTGCCATGCTTGTACAGCCTGTAGAACCATGAACCACATAAACCTCTTTTCTTTATAAATTACCCACTCTCAGGTATTCCTTTATAACAATGCAAAACAGACTGATACACTAAGGGAGGCAGATGTTCTGGCAGAACAGAGAGGAACTGAAGGGCTAGGTAGTGCCTGTAGACAAGATGAAGGAACCAGGTGGCCATGATGAAGGGGAAGGTCTGAGTTCCAAAGTCTCGGTGATCAAACGAAATGGCATAGATTGAGGTTCTCTGTTGGTAATGCCCTGAGAATCGGAAAATCATGAAGCTCTCCATAGGTTAGATGGTGAAACAGCCTTGGTGCCAGTGTATTCGAAAGAAGGGTTCTCAGTGAGGAGGAGGATATCACCAACGATGAGGAGAGCACAGGACAAGATGAGGATGGGTCGGGCTGATGGAAATCATCAAGGAGGATGGGACAATGAGTAAAAGATCGGGTTACTGTGGAGAGTAGCCACAGAGAAGACATAGGTGAGCAATGATTTTTTAAAAACCCATGGTTGAACAGTCTCTGGTCAGATGGTAGAGTCCTGCTGTGGCTCTCCTACAGGAATCCTTTGTGAACAATTCTATTCTGTTCATAAGGCAATTAGGAAATGAAGAGTAGGCATTCATCAGGCAGTGTGGCTTCACAGGCTTCACCGAGATCAGATGTTAAGAATGCCTGCCTCATGTGGCTTCTTGATGCACCGGGTCACTCAGTTAAGCCTCACTTGGTTTAAGCTAACTCAGAGGTTTTCTGCCTTTGCTAAAAGGACAGTGCCCTGAGGAGGCCATACATTAAGCATAATCAATCATTCACACTGACATGTCAATGGATCTTTGATAAGACACAATGGAGATAGGGCAGGAGAACACTGAGCATCAAAAGATGGAGAGTGCAAATGCCTCCGAGGAGCAAAGGGGAAGGCTGAGGGTGTCATCCTCCTGGCCTGGAAAAGCAGACCTTGCAGGGCTTAAAACAGCAGGCTTCATAGGACTGCACAAAGATCCTTGGGATTTCACTTTCATTTGAAGAGTTTAATACCATGTTTGAATACTGGAGTCAGACCTCTTGTGTTTACAAAACTGGCTTAAACTGCTGCCATTTTAGATGGCCATAGATGATCTAGATCTTTAATTGTATACAGCAGCACCATCCAACAGAAATATAATGCAAGTCACATCTGTGAGCCACAGATGCCATTTTAAATTTTCTGGTAGATAAATTTTGAAAAGTATAATAAAATAGAGGAAAATTAATTTAAATAATATGCATTATTTAACCCAGTAAAACCAAATGTCCCCAAAGCCCCTTTTCCTTGGAATGGCCATTTCAACATGTAATCAAATTCTGAAAGTTATTGAGGTATTTCTTCTTTTTCTTTTTTTAACTAAGTCTTTGAAGTGCAGTATGTGTTTTACACTTATAGTGCCTCTCAGTTTGGTCTAGCCACATTTCAAGTGCTCAGTAGTTGCATATGGCTGATGGCTACCATATTGGACAGCTCAGGTATATCATTTAATATACACCTGTGTCAAAAACACAGTTCAGATAATATGTGCCTGGGGGAATTAGGAAGGTGAAGGGTTGAAGGAAGGCTGAATTTCTCAGGTTGAGAAATTCTTCGTGGAATTTAAGATGGAGTTTCAAATTAGGATGAGTGGAAAGGAGATGAGAATAGGCCATTGCAAGGAAAAAGCTTTGAGGACACTGGGAGTGGAGAAAGTAGAAAAAATAAAAAGTTCAACAATCCCAGAATAAAGGGAGCAGAGAGAGTCAAGAGACTATCTAAGTGTCTAATTAGCTGAAAGCGGTGTAATTATTCCCCTCCATCTTTACAGCTGTTATCTCTTTGGGTGTGGCTCCCTCTTGCCCAAATTTACACCATGATCCAGGGTCCTCTCACTTTCCTCCCCACTGTGAACATAAGCAGCAAGGCTGGGCTGAGCTGAGTGCATTGATAGAATGCTGATTACCTATAACTGAGTTTTCAATTTTCAGGTTTGCCCCTCACTCCACAGCTTTCGATCCTGCACCCAGCAGCCTTTTATGAAGGGCTAGAGTGGGGCTGTGGGGAGATGACAGAAAAAAAAGGAAAGAAAATGTCCTCACAAAACAAAAACAGTATTTTCAAAATTCACTCTGCTGCTTTCAGACTATTTCCATCAACCCTCTTATTCATTTTGATTTATTTCTATCCGTAAGCAGACTAACGCTTCTCTGTGCTTTTATTGTTCTTCAAGAATAGGCCTTCTATTGGAGGAAAATAATGTCTCTACGACCACCACTTTGCTCAATGCAGATCTTCATTAATCTGCAGTCACAGAACAGGCTTTTAGCAGCGAGCACTTTTGATGGGAATTGAATTTGATATTGCATTATGGTTGCAGGGAGTCTCACAATAGACTGTGTTCTTTTCTGTGTCTGAGCACAATCAGAGAGACCCAATTAAATAATTTGGTGCAATAATGGAGAACAAAAGAGTATGAGGGCTTAAAGTGAGGGCTTCAGCATTTGTATTCTCTCGTTTCTGTATCATGTTAATTAATTTGCCTCAAAACCAAAAGAAAGAACACAATGTAGAGCAGCAGAGCTCATCTACAACATGTAGACACTTTAAATGCAGACACAGCACCAAATGGACTCCTAAGAAAAGGGCAGTGGATTCGTTTCCTAGAGCTGCCATCCCCAAACTGGATGGCTTAAAACAACAGAAACGTATTCTCTGGCAGTTCTGGAGGCTACAAGTTTGAAATCAAGTTGTCAGCAGGGCCTTGCTTCCTCTGGAAGGTAAAATCCTTCCTTGCTTCTTTCTAGCTTCTGGTGGTGGCCATCCATCCCCCGCTTTCCTTGGCTTGTAGTTGCATCCCTCCAATCTCTGCTTCCATCCTCACCTGGTGTTCTCCCTGCGGGTCTCTGTCTTTAGCTGGTGTTTTCCTCTTCTTATAAGAATACCAGTCATATCGGAGTAGGGCCTACCTTAATGATCTCATCTTAATCTGATTATATCTACAAGGACTCTATTTCCAAATAAGGTCACATTCACTGGTACCAAAGGTTAGGGATTCAATATATGTTTTCTGGGGACATGAGGCAACCAATAAGGGGCAATCTATGCATTTCCATGTAAAGAATAAAGTTGAAACTCGTGCCAATTCTGAATGATCCCTTTGGTCCAGGTGGTAATAGTAGTCATTGCTGCCTGTGCAGTCGAAGAGAGAGCACTCTGGAGTTTTCTGATAGCATTTTTTTTTTTTTGAGACAGAGTTTTGCTCTTGTCACCCAGGCTGGAGGTCAATGGCATGATCTTGGCTCACTGCAACCTCTGCCTCCCAGGTTCAAATGATTCTCCTGCCTCAGCCTCCGGAGTAGATGGGATTACAGGTGCCTACCACCACGCTCAGTTAATTTTTGTATTTTTAGTAGAGATGAGGTTTCACCATGTTGACCAGGCTGGTTTTGAACTCCTGACCTCGTGACCCACCTACCTCGGCCTCCCAAAGTGCTGGGATTACAGGTGTAAGCCACCACACCCGGCCCTCTGATAGCATCTTACAGTCAATAATGTGACTTTATAATATAACTGGAGATGTGGAAATGAACACAGCCATCTAAGAGGATAATGACCTAGTCAGACTCAATGTTTGTGCAGCTTTAATCAAATACTTTATGTGCACACCAGAAACTTTGTCTCTGAACACTGACTTTGTTTAAGATTGTCTTCAGCACATAAAAATGATCATTTTGAGCTGAGTATGGTGGCTTGCTGTAGTCCTTGTTACTTGGGAGGCTGAGGCAGGAGGATCATTTGAGCCCAGCAACACAAGATCAGTCTAGGCAACATAGTGAGACCCCATCTCTACGAAAAAATTTTAAAAATTAGCTGGGAGTGGTGGCACACACCTGTAGTCTCAGCTACTTGGGAGGCTGAGGCAGGAGGATTGCTGGAGCCCAGGAGCTGGAGGCTGCAGTGAGCTATGATCGTGCCACTGCACTCAGCCTGGGCAACAGAGTGAGATACCATCTGGGTGGAGGAGTTTGATGCTGATGCACTCATCACCTCCAATTCTGACCCATCGGTACAAAATACACTATTTCTTTTTCTGTTTTTTTTTTTGTTTTTTTTTTTTTTAAACTTTAAGTTCTAGGGTACATGTGCACAATGTGAAGGTTTGTTACATATGTATACATGTACCATGTTGGTGTGTTGCACCCATTAACTTGTCATTTACATTAGGTATATCTCCTAATGCTATCCCTCCCCCTTACCCCCACCCCACAACAGGCCCGGGTGTGTGACGAACCCCTTCCTGTGTCCAAGTGTTCTCATTGTTCAATTCCCACCCATGAGTGAGAACATGTGGTGTTTGGTTTTTTGTTCTTGCAATAGTTTGCTGAGAATGATGGTTTCCAGCTTCATCCATGTCCCTACAAAGGACATGAACTCATCATTTTTTATGGCTGCATAGTATTCCATGGTGTATATGTGCCACATTTTCTTAATCCAGTCAATCATTGATGGACATTTGGGTTGGTTCCAAGTCTTTGCCATTGTGAATAGTGCCACAATAAACATACATGTGCATGTGTCTTTATAGCAGCATGATTTATAATCCTTTGGGTATATACCCAGTAATGGGATGGCTGGGTCAAATGGTATTCCTAGTTCTAGATCCTTGAGGAATCGCCACACTATCTTCCACAATGGTTGAACCAGTTTACAGTCCCACCAACAGTGTAAAAGTGTTCCTATTTCTCCACATCCTCTCTAGCACCTGTTGTTTCCTGACTTTTTAATGATTGCCATTCTAACTGGTGTGAGATTGTATCTCATTGTGGTTTTGATTTGCGTTTCTCTGATGGCCAGTGATGGTGAGCATTTTTTCATGTGTCTGTTGGCTACATAAATGTCTTCTTTTGAGAAGTGTCTGTTCATATCCTTCACCTACTTTTTGATGGGGTTGTGTGATTTTTTTCTTGTAAGTTTGAGTTCTTTGTAGATTCTGGATATTAGCCCTTTGTCAGATAAGTAGATTGCAAAAATTTTCTCCCATTCTGTAGGTTGCCTGTTCAATCTGATGGTAGTTTCTTTTGGTCTGCAGAAGCTCTTTAGTTTAATTAGATCCCATTTGTCAATTTTGGCTTTTGTTGCCATTGCTTTTGGTGTTTTAGACATGAAGTCCTTGCCCATGCCTACGTCCTGAATGGTATTGCCTAGGTTTTCTTCTAGGATTTTTATGGTTTTAGGTGTAACGTTTAAGTCTTTAATCCATCTTGAATTAATTTTTGTATAAGGTGTAAGGAAGGGATCCAGTTTCAGCTTTCTACATATGGCTAGCCAGTTTTCCCAGCACCACTTATTAAATAGGGAATCCTTTCCCCATTTCTTGTTCTGTCAGGTTTGTCAAAGATCAGATGGTTGTAGATGTGTGGTATTATTTCTGAGGGCTCTGTTCTGTTCCATTGTTCTGTATCTCTGTTTTGATACCAGTACCATGCTATTTTGGTTACTGTAGCCTTGTAGTATAGTTTGAAGTCAGGTAGCCTGATGCCTCCAGCTTTGTTCTTTTGGCTTAGGATTGTCTTGGCAATGCAGGCTCTTTTTTGGTTCCATATGAACTTTAAAGTAGTTTTTTCCAATTCTGTGAAAAAAGTCATTGGTAGCTTGATGGGGATGGCATTGAATCTATAAATTACCTTGGGTAGTATGGCCATTTTCCCGATATTGATTCTTCCTATCCATGAACATGGAATGTTCCTCCATTTGTTTGTGTCCTCTTTTATTTCGTTGAGCAGTGGTTTGTAGTTCTCCTTGAAGAGGTCCTTCACATCCCTTGTAAATTGGATTCCTGGGTATTTTATTCTCTTTGAAGCAATTGTGAATGGGAGTTCACTCATGATTTGGCTCTCTGTTTGTCTGTTATTGGTGTATAAGAATGCCTGTGGGCCAGGTGCAGTGGCTCACGCCTGTAATCCCAGCACTTTGGGAGGCCAAGATGGGCGGATCATGAGGTCAGGAGATCGAGACCATCCTGGCTAACATGGTAAAACCCTGTCTCTACTAAAAATACAAAAAATTAGCTGGGCATGGTGGTAGGCACCTGTAGTCCCAACTACTCAGGAAGCTGAGGCAGAAGAACGGCATGAACCCGGGAGGTGGAGGTTGCAGTGAGCCAAGATCACGCCACTGCACTCCAGCCTGGGTGACAGAATGAGACTCCGTCTCAAAAAAAAAGAATGCTTGTGAGTTTTGCACATTGATTTTGTATCCTGAGACTTTGCTGAAGTTGCTTATCAGCTTAAGGAGATTTTGGGCTGAGACGATGGAGTTTTCTAAATATACAATCATGTCATCTGCAAACAGGGACAATTTGACTTCCTCTTTTCCTAATTGAATATGCTTTATTTCTTTCTCCTGCCTGATTGCCCTGGCAAGAACTTCCAACACTATGTTGAATAGGAGTGGTGAGAGAGGGCATCCCTGTCTTGTACCAGTTTTCAAAGGGAATGCTTCCAGTTTGTGCCCATTCAGTATGATATTGACTGTGGGTTTGTCATAAATAGCTCTTATTATTTTGAGATATGTCCCATCAATACCTAATTTATTGAGAGTTTTTAGCATGAAGGGCTGTTGAATTTTATCAAAGGCCTTTTCTGCATCTATTGAGATAATCATGTGGTTTTTGTCTTTGGTTCTGTTTATATGCTGGATTACGTTTATTGATTTCCATATGTTGAACCAGGCTTGCATCCCAGGGATGAAGCCCACTAGATCATGGTGGATAAGCTTTTTGATGTGCTGCTGGATTCAGTTTGCCAGTATTTTATTCAGGATTTTTGCATCAATGTTCATCCAGGATATTGGCCTAAAATTCTCTTTTTTTGTTGTGTCTCTGCCAGGCTTTGGTATCAGGATGATGCTGGCCTCATAAAATGAGTTAGGGAGGATTCTTTGTTTTTCTATTGATTGGAATAGTTTCAGAAGGAATGGTACCAACTCCTCCTTGTACCTCTGGTAGAATTTGGCTGTGAATCCGTCTGGTCCTGGACTTTTTTTGGTTGGTAGGTTATTAATTATTGCCTGAATTTCAGAGCCTGTTATTGGGCTATTCAGGATTCAACTTCTTCCTGGTTTAGTCTTGGGAGGGTGTATGTGTCCAGGAATTTATCCATTTCTTCTAGATTTTCTAGTTTATTTGCATAGAGGTGTTTATATTATTCTCTGATGGTAGTTTGTATTTCTGTGGGATCTGTGGTGATATCCCCTTTATCATTTTTTATTGTGTCTATTGGATTCTTCTCTCTTTTCTTCTTTATTAGTCTTGCTAGCAGTCTATCAATTTTGTTGATCTTTTCAAAAAACTAGCTCCTAGATTCATTGATTTTTTGAAGGGTTTTTTGTGTCTCTATCTCCTTCAGTTCTGCTCTGATCTTAGTTATTTCTTGCCTTCTGCTAGCTTTTGAATGTGTTTGCTGTTGCTTCTCTAGGTTCTTTTAATTGTGATGTTAGGGTGTCAATTTTAGATCTTTCCTGCTTTCTCTTGTGGGCATTTAGTGCTATAAATTTCCCTCTACACACTGCTTTAAATGTGTCCCAGAGATTCTGGTATGTTGTGTATTTGTTCTCATTGGTTTCAAAGAACATCTTTATTTCTGCCTTCATTTCATTATGTACCCAGTAGTCATTCAGGAGCAGGTTGTTCAGTTTCCATGTAGTTGAGCGGTTTTGAGTCAGTTTCTTAATCCTGAGTTCTAGTTTGATTGCACTATGGTCTGAGAGACAGTTTGTTATAATTTCTGTTCTTTTACGTTTGCTAAGGAGTGCTTTACTTCCAAATATGTGGTCAATTTTGGAATAAGTGCGATGTGGTGCTGAGAAGAATGTATATTCTGTTGATTTGGGGTGGAGAGTTCTGTAGATGTCTATTAGGTCCACTTGGTGCAGAGCTGAGTTCAATTCCTGGATATCCTTTTTAACTTTCTGTCTCGTTAATCTGTCTAATGTTGACAGTGGGGTGTTAAAGTCTCCCATTATTATTCTGTGGGAGTCTAAAGAGTCTAAATCTCTTTGTAGGGTCTCTAAGGACTTGCTTTATGAATTTGGATGCTCCTGTATTGGGTGCATATATATTTAGGATAGTTAGCTCTTCTTGTTGAATTGATCCCTTTACCATTATGTAATGGCCTTCTTTGTCTCTTTTGATCTTTGTTGGTTTAAAGTCTGTTTTATCAGAGACTAGGATTGCAACCCCTGCCTTTTTTTGTTTTCCATTTGCTTGGTAGATCTTCCTCCATCCCTTTATTTTGAGCCTATGTGTGTCTCTGCACGTGAGATGGGTCTCCTGAATACAGCACGCTGATGGGTCTTGACTCTTTATCGAATTTGCCAGTCTGTGTCTTTTAATTGGAGCATGTAGCCCATTTACATTTAAGGTTAATATTTTTATGTGTGAATTTAATCCTGTCATTATGATGTTAGCTGGTTATTTTGCTCATTAGTTGGTGCAGTTTCTTCCTAGCCTTGATGGTCTTTACAATTTGGCATGTTTTTGCAGTGGCTGGTACCAGTTGTTCCTCTCCATGTTTAGTGCTTCCTTCAGGAGCTCTTGTAGGGCAGGCCTGGTGGTGACAAAATCTCTCAGCATTTGCTTGTCTGTAAAGGATTTTATTTCTCCTTCACTGATTAAGCTTAGTTTGGCTGGATATGAAATTCTGGGTTGAAAATTCTTTCCTTTAAGAATGTTGAATATTGGCCCCCACTCTCTTCTGGCTTGTAGGGTTTCTGCCAAAAGATCTGCTGTTAGTCTGATGGCTTCCCTTTGTGGGTAACCTGACCTTTGTCTCTGGCTGCCCTTAACATTGTTTCCTTCATTTCAACTTTGGTAAATCTGACAATTATGTGTCTTAGATACTCCTCTTCTCGAGGAGTATCTTTGTGGCGTTCTCTGTATTTCCTGAATCTGAATGTTAGCCTGCCTTGCTAGGTTAGGGAAGTTCTCCTGGATAATATCCTGCAGAGTGTTTTCCAACTTGGTTCCATTCTCCCCGTCACTTTCAGTTACACCAATCAGACGTAGATTTGGTCTTTTCACATAGTCCCATATTTCTTGGAGGCTTTGTTCATTTCTTTTTATTCTTTTTCTCTAAACTTCTCTTCTCGCTTCATTTCATTCATTTGATCTTCCATCACTGATACCCTTTCTTCCAGTTGATGGAATTGGCTACTGAAACTTGTGCATTCGTCACGTAGTTCTCGTGCCGTGGTTTTCAGCACCATCAGGTCATTTAAGGACTTCTCTACACTGGTTATTCTAGTTAGCCATTTGTCTAATCTTTTTTCAAGGTTTTTAGCTTCTTTGTGATGGGTTCGAACTTCCTCCTTTAGCTCAGAGAAGTTTGATCATTTCAAGCCTTCTTCTCTCAACTCATCAAAGTCATTCTCTGTCCAGCTTTGTTCTGTTGCTGGTGAGGAGCTGCATTCCTTTGGAGGGGGAGATGTGCTCTGATTTTTAGAATTTTCAGCTTTTCTGCTCTGTTTTTTCCCCATCTTTGTGGTTTTATCTACCTTTGGTCTTTGATGATGGTGACGTACAGATGGGGTTTTGGTGTGGATGTCTTTTCTGTTTGTTAGTTTTCCTTCTAACAGTCAGGACCCTCAGCTGCAGGTCTGTTGGAATTTGCTGGAGGTCCACTCCAGACCCTGTTTGCCTGGGTATCACCAGCAGAGGCTGCAGAACAGCGAATATTGCTGAACAGCAAATGTTGCTGCCTGATCATTCCTCTGGAAGCTTCGTCTCAAAGGAGTGCCTGGCTGTATGGGTGTCAGTCTGCCCCTACTGGGGGGTGCCTCCCAGTTAGGCTACTCGGGGGGTCAGGGACCCACTTGAGGAGGCAGTCTGTCCGTTCTTAGATCTCAAACGCCGTGCTGGGAGAACAACTACTCTCTTCAAAGCTGTCAGACAGGGACGTTTAAGTCTGCAGAGGTTTCTGCTGCCTTTTGTTCAGCTATGCCCTGCCCCCAGAGGTGGAGTCTACAGAGGCAGGCAAGCCTCCTTGAGCTGTGGTGGGCTCCACCCAGTTCGAGCTTCCCAGCCGCTTTGTTTACCTACTCAAGCCTCAGCAATGGCGGGCATCCCTCCCCCAGCCTCACTGCCACCTTGCAGTTCAATCTCAGACTGCTGTGCTAGCAATGAGCAAGGCTCCATGGGCATGGGACCCTCTGAGGCAGGCGTGGGATATAATCTCCTGGTGTGCCATTTGCTAAGACCGTTGGAAAGGCGCGGTATTAGGGTGGGAGTGACCCGATTTTCCAGGTGCTGTCTGTCACAGCTTCCTTTGGCTAGGAAAGGGAATTCCCTGACCCCTTATGCTTCCCGGGTGTGGCGATGCCTCACCCTGCTTCAGCTCACGATCAGTGGGCTGCACCCACTGTCCTGCACCCACTATCCAACAAGCCCCAGTGAGATGAACCTGGTATCTCAGTTGGAAATGCAGAAATCACCCATCTTCTGCATCACTCATGCTGCGAGCTATAGACTGGAGCTGTTCCTATTTGGTCATCTTGGAACCGCCCCGAAAATACCCTATGTCAAAACTTATCCTAGGTTTCTACAAAACACGATGAAAATATACTCCTAGGAAAGGACAACACTAAATGGGGGCAGACATGGAGTTGGTTATGTTGTGTAGTTATGTCTGTCATCCTGCACTAAGCAATACATTGGACAAACTTCCCTCTACCTGTGACTTAAATAAATGGCACATCTTTGTATACTCTGCCCCAGGAGTGCATATTTCTAAACCTTAGCTAAATTCTTGGCCATTACATATGTTGTTAGCAAGACAAAAATGATAATTAATATTGGAGCCAAGTAAATTTATTCATTGGACAGATGCGCAGTAAGGGGGGCCAAGTAGAATTTAGCAGATAAACTAGTGGTTTAGAGGTCAAGGGCTCTTGGGCTATGTGAAGGTTCACTTTTCAGGGTGACCCAGTTTTCATTATTTTATCAAAGAAAAGGGCACCAGGGTGGGTGTGTCACTGGGTTTGGGATGGGGTCTTAGTCCTGTGATTCAGGCACAAGAAACAGCACATTTGGGTCCAGAAGGAGGAAGTGTGGGATTTGCGGGGTATGCACTGGTTCCTCCTGGGGGCCCAGGAGCTCCGTTTCTCAGGTTGCTGCACATGCCATGATTTGAAATTTGGCTTTAGTCCACTTTGAAGTTCAGGTTGTGCCATCAAAGTGCTAGAGCTGGGAGAGAAAAAAGCTGAAACAGACTTCAGTGGAAAAACAAAGGATTTGGAGTCAAACCCAGACATGAATTCAGGCTGAGCCGCATACTTGCTATGTAACAGGTAACCTGGGCAGGCTACTCAGTAACTCTGAGCCTCGGTTTCTTCATCTGTAAAATGGGATTCATAGCAGAATCTTCTGTGGGGTCTTTGGAACACTGGGAGATGGAATGTGTTACGTGCCAAGCAGACTGCAATTGCTCCATAAATAGTAGTTCCCAAGTTTGGCCCTTGATAGTCATAAGGCTGGAGGGCCAGTTCACCAGTTCACCGGCTGTCTTGAAGCTGCTAACCCTTTCTTGCTCCTTACAGAGATAGACTTTGTCAGAACAGTGCTACCCAACAAACATTTTTACATCATGGCACTTATAGGAAATGATAAGACTTGTGCTATACCCTGGAGCAAACAGACAATATGCTCACAGGCTACCCCACATCCCACCTGGTTGGACCAAGGGCTAGATCAGTATCTCGGGACCACATGGTTATGTTTATCAATCTCATGGCTTATCATTCGGGAGCGTGTCCAAACAAACAAATAAGAAACACAGATGCTGGGGCTCCAGGACCACGGCTTGGCCCAGGCATTGGTATATTTTTAAAGTGCCCCAGGGGATTCTAATGTGTTGCCAATTTGCAGTGCTTGCCGTAAGGAGACATCTTGGAACTTTGGGCAAGCCACTATTTTGTAGGAGTCAAATTATTCAGATTCAATGACATAAATGGAAGACCTGTCCCAGAGATCATTTTTATCTATTTGGTACTTTTAAAGTAATTATTATTATGGCAAAATATATGTAGGATTTACAATTTTAATAAGTTTTAAGTGTACAATTCAATGGCATTAAATACATTCACAATTTTGTGCAACTATCTACCACCATTTATTCCCAGAACTTTTTCATCATCCCAAACAGAAGCTCTATACTCATTAAACAGTAACTCCCCATTCTTCCTTCCTCCAAGCCCCTGGTAACCACCCTTCAGTCTCAATGCATCTGACTACTCCAGGTACCTTGCTGTCTCAGTTAATTCAGGCTGCTATAACAAATTACCATAGACTGTGTGGCTTAAACAGCAGACCTTTACTTCTCATAGTTCTGGAGGCTGGAAATCTGATATCAGGGTGCCAGTATGGTCAGACTCTGGTGAGGGCCCTCTTCTGGGCTGTAGAGAGTCAGCTTCCTGTGGTGTCCTCCCATGGCAGAAAGAAGTGGAAGGAGCTCTCTGGGGTCTCTCATATAAGGACACTAATCCCATTCATGAAGGCTCCACCCTCATGACCTAATTACCTCCCAAAGGTCCCACTTCCAAATACACTTACATTAGGGGTTAGGATATCAACGTATGAACTTTCAAGTCCATAACACTCAGTTATGTGGCGTCATACAGTATTTGTTCTTTTGTTTCTAGCTTAGTTCACTTAGCAAAATGCTTTCAAGGTTCCTCTGTGTTATAGAACATGTGTCAGAATTCCATTCCTTTTTAGGGCAGGATAATATTCCTTGTATATAAATACCACATTTTGCTTATCTGTTCATCTGTTGATGTACATTTGGGTTGTTTCCGCCTTTTGGCCACTGTAAATAGTGCTGCTGTGAACATGAGTGTACAATCTGTTTGAGTTCCTGCTTTCTTTTGGGTACATACTCAGGAGTGAAATTGTCCGATCATATTGGTAATTCTATGTTTAATTTTTTGAGGAATTGCCAAACTTTTTTTTTTTTTTTGGTTTGCAGTGAATGCACCATTTTGCATTCCCACCAGGAATGCATGAGGGTTTCAATTTCTACACATCCTTGTCAGCACTTGTTCTTTTCTTTTTCTTTTATTATTTTTTATTTCTTTTGAGATCGAGCCTCATTTTGTCACCCAGGCTGGAGTGCAGTGGTGTGATCATGGTTCACTGCAGCTTTGACCTCCCTGGGCTCAGGTGATCATCCCACCTCAGCCCCCAGAGTAATTGGGACTATAGGTGCATGACATGTACCACTAATTTTAGTGCTTTTTTTTTTTTTTTTTTTTTTGTAGAGTTGAGTTTTTGTCATGAATCTCTGGGCAAAGACAAGTCCACATCAGAGGGAAGCTTGCAGGCTTGTCTCCAGGAGCTCAGCCATGAAAGTGACCTGAATCTATTTCTAAGAACCCTATGGGCTGCCATGGTGGTCCTCAGTAATAATTTTTGGTCAGCCAGGCACGATGGCTGATGCTTGTAATCCAGGCACTTTGGGAGGCCAAGGTGGGAGGATCACTTGAGCCCAGGGGCCTGAGCCTGGATAACAAAGTGCGAACCCCAGGCTGTCCTCAAACTCCTGGGCTCTAGCAATTCTCCTGCCTCAACCTCCCAAAGAAGGGGTTACAGGCATGAGCCGCTGCACCCGGCCTGCTTTCTTTTTTTTATATGTAGCCATCCTAATAGGTGTGAAGTGGTATCTCCTTGTGGTTTTCATTTGTATCTAGTTGGTATTCTTGCTCACAATAATCCTGTGAGAAGGGTATTATTAGCTCATGACTTTAGAAATAAGGAAATGGAGTCAAGGAACCTGTCCAAGGTGGCATAGACAGTGCAGTGGCAGTGCCAGAATGAGAAGCCGTGTCACCTGTAGATACATACCAGGTGTCTGTTTAAAGAAATCCTGTTGGTGGCCAGGCACGGTGGCACAAGCCTGTAATCCCAGCACTTTGGGAAGTTGAGGCAGGTGGATCACGAGGTCAGGAGTTCAAGACCAGCCTGGCCAATATGGTGAAACCTGTCTCTACTAAAACTACAAAAATTAGCCGGGTGTGGCGGCGGGCACCTGTAGTCCCAGCTACTCTGGAGGCTGAGGCAGGAGAATCCCTTGAACCTGGGAGGCAGAGGTTGCAGTGAGCTGAGATAGCGCCACTGCACTCCAGCCTGGGTGACAGAGTGAGACCCCGTCTCAAAAAAAAAAAAAAAAAAAAAAAAACAGAAAAAAGAAAGAAATCCTGTTAAGTAGACAGACCCTTTCATCTTGTTTCTAAGTCTAGATGGTCTTAATTTGCTTACATTGAGGTCAGCTTGCTTAGCATCAGCCATGGGCCTTACATTTTTGTAGCCTTCCTCAAAATATGGTAGCACCATGGTTTCTATCAGAGTCCAGAATTCTTGCATTTTTTCCCACATTTGACCAAACATTATTATTATTATTATTATTATTATTATTATTATTATTATTATTATTATTGAGACAGAGTCTTGCTCTGTTGCCCAGGCTGGAGTGCAGTGGCATGAACATGGCTCATTGCAGCCTCAACCTCCTGGGCTCAGGAGATACTCCCACCTGAGCCTCCCGAGTAGCTGGGACAACAGGTGCTCACCACCACACCCAGCTAATTTTTAAATGTTTCATAGACATGGGGGTCTCACTTTGTTGCCGAGGCTGGTCTTGAATCCCGGGGCTCAAGCGATCCTCCCACCTTGGCCTCCCAAAGTGTTAGGATTACAAGCATCAGCCATCGTGCCTGGCTGACCAAAAATTATTACTGAGGACCACCATGACAGCCCATAGGGTTCTTAGAAATAGGGACTCACATTGCTTTCATGGCTGGGCTCCCAGAGACAAGCCTGAAGCTTCCCTCTGATGTGGACTCGTCTTTGTCCAGAGACTCACAGTTGACTCTTCAGCCCTGGAGGAGATGAGGTGACAACAGGTACCCCTTTGTGACCGACACTTCAGTGCTGGACTTTCCTTCCCATGACCATCATCTTACCTCCCACTGCAAGGGCAGGAGCGGGAGAGCTTGGAGGGAAGGACAGCTGCCGTCAGGCTGCTCTTCTGAGTTCCCCAGGACAGAATCTGTTGGGCGCTTTGCTTTCCTACAACCTGAATGGAGGGGTGAATGCATTCAGGGTAAATTCTTTGCGGTTGAAAGTATCAGATAATAAAATACCCATCTACTTTGTATTTTCACACTTTGAAAAATATACGAACATCATGAAAGTTACTTTGAAATCCATTAGCAAAAGAAGACTGAATAAGGCAAGGTGACTGCTGTGGAAAATCCTGCCTTAGCTTGTGTGGGTGGCAGAAGAGAAGTTCTTCTGATTCCAAAGCGATGCTGGTGTTTGAGTGGAGAGAGAAATTGCCCCTTACCAACTGGTTGTACAGTCGCTCTGATGGGTTAGGAGTGGGTTCCTGTAGAATACTGTGCTGTATGATATGGAATGAAGTCAGAGAGCTTCGCAAATACAGAGCATTAGTGATTCTTGATCCTGAGATTTCCAGGGTAGAAAAAAAAATCATTTTAAAAGATCCATTTTTGAGGTGGAAAGGTGGGCAGAAGTTGGTGAGAGAATAGAAGCTGGAAGCAGACCAGGGTAGCTTAGATTCTTCTGCAGTTCCTCTTCTCCACCTGACTTTAAAATCTAAGTGAGATCGAATAATAAGCCTCCTCCCACTTAGAAGGCTACTCCGAACTACTCACTCTCCCTGATGTCTGGATACCAAGAACTTCCATTTCAATGAACGGTTATTTACCTCAGAGACACTATCCTTGAACTTTAAAGAGAAATGATTATCTTGTACCTTAATATTTCTACCCTCATGCTCATTTCGCATAAAGGATGGTCTCAATACCTTACTTTCATTTCAGTTGAATTATAGAATAGGAGCCCTTCCTGATCTTTACCTCCAGATGAAATTCACCCAAGCAAGTGTTTCTCAAGGTGCTTAAAACCCGATCATGACCTTGTTCATCTTGGTAAGATCCCCAGGACCACAGCTTTTTGGATGGTGCTTCTATGACATTCTGGTGAGTCAGTGGCAAAGGTGGATCTGAAGGCCACTGCTGAGCCCCACTGGCCAATTTACTGTATCTGACTCAATCAGTTTCTATCGTTTGATGCTACAATTTGGTAACTCTACTTGCCCATAAACTTGGGGACGGAACAAGCAGTCATTACTTTACCAGGTCATTTGGGAGGATTTGCAAGTGTCTTTATTAGAGCCGTCCATTCTGGTGCTTCTTTGGGCCATAATTGAAATAAACGAGGCATGCTGTTGTTACATTACATTTCTGATTCCCTCAAGAGAGGAGGGAGACAGATGAACACAGAATAAATTGCTCAGGTCTTTATAAATGCCTACAATAAGTTGATGAAGTGGGTTGGAGGGAGGAGAGAAGAGAGGGAAAGGGCAGGAAAGGGAAGGGGAGAGATGGAGGTACAATCTACATTTCCCCATATTCCCAATTAATTCAGCCTAAAAGTATCACTCTTATTCAGCAGCAGTTAAAATAGGCTGTGATGAGAGCATGACAATTTCCAGCTAAACTAGAGGATAATTAGAAATGCCCTGTAGCAGGCAAGTCAGCGCTTCAATTTATTTGCTGTTTATTACCAAGTCCCTGCCCCTTGGGTGTAATGACTGTAAAACCCCGCCAGCAGCTTCCCCGGGTTTGATTTAGTGCCGTAAATGGTGCTCAGAGAGTAGATTAAGCTGGAATGTGATCAAACCTTATTTGCAATCCGATTATACAAACTGCTTCTTGCACTGACCAGATTGAAGTAATTTCCCTATAGAAACGTTTAACTCACTTTGGTGTAAAAATGATTAACATTTCCTGACTGTAGGTCAGCCTTTCACTTCCACTATAATCCTTTATCAGGCAATATGCCCATCGTTTTCCTAGGTTTGTCTCGTTCGCATCCTGCATGGTATTTAACCAACACATGGCATCTCAACTTAATTTAAAACAACAATAACAAACTATAAGTAGCCTCTCAGGCTTATAGTGATGAATGGTTATCAATAAATAAACACTCTGGAAGAAGCAGATTAATAGCATATTTTCCTCCGGTTTGACTGTTCAACATTATTGAACTCACTTAATGATCTAATGGAGAACCCTTATAAACCACCAAAGAAATTTTCCTATCCACTTGGAAAGGTCTGTGGAGGTACTTAGAAACAAGTGGCCTTAACCTCAGACGGGTTGATGTATGGGCACCAGAATCAATCACTGAGCCACCATTTAAATCACTTCAAAAACTATTTAAATACCACCAGCCACTGCTAATCCTTCCTCTTTTAAATAATTATCCACATAGGGTGTTTTGGGTTCCCCCAACCCCCGATTCCCTTTACCATCTCAAGATTTCTGGATGTGAAAGCAGTTCTCATACAGTTAGCCTCTGGTAATGAAACACAACTAACTCCATGCTGAACACTGAAAACAAACCCACGGCTCCTCACATGTTTTTGTGACAATCAAAGAAAATATTTGAGTCTGAAATTCATTATCATAACCTAACTCCAATACCCACAATAACATGTTTTGTTGTAAAACATACTTAAGCTGATTTTCTTCAGACATTTTCTGCCTTAACCCTTTAAAAACCATACATATTCTGTAAATGGGTTCCCAGGCTTCAGCTAGGTAGTTGAGAAATGTCAAGATAGCAGAGGTTAATTCTGCTAGAGTATTTCACTTAGAGTATTTCTAAGTGACTTAAAAAGATGCAGATGGCATGAAACCAAAAGAGCCACATTTAGATAAATTCTTTGTATAGCATTTTTTTTATGACGTGTAAATGGTATAGCAATGACATCTGAAGTCTGTGCAGATTGGAAGAGGGAACTACTTTTTGTATTTTCTCCATGCCAGAAAAAACTATTTCTCAAGGTCAGGAAGCTTCAGAGTAACAAAACCAATGTGATTTTTAGCTGTGTTGCTGATTTTCTTTGGAATTTACAGTCCACAGAATGTGTGGGAAATGACCTGAGACACTTGAACTCAAAGCTTCAGAGGCACAGGTGTGCATTCTTTTCTTTCCAGGGATCAGGAAATATTTTGGAGACAAAAAGTACAATATGGTAGGACTGAATTTGACTCTTTCCAAACGATGTGTGCATTTGTGTGCATACATGATGGGCTGGGTTTTTATTAACAGTTACAAGTTAGCAAATGGATAACAAGAAATATCTTCCTGGTATTTTGTTTGTTTTTTAACCATTTCCTCTTATAACAAGGATTTGTTAGATAGAAATCAGTTTCTACTAAAAGTCATTATAAGACCCTTGCTTCTTTTTTTTTCTTCTTTTTTTCCGTTACAAAAGCAACACTCTTAGAAACACCGAGGGGAAAGAAGCCAGTGAAATTAAAATAAACTGAAAGAATGTACTAAGACTCTACTAAGGAAATAAATTCTGCCTATAGATTTTAGAAACAATAATGAAAACAAATCAACAAACATCCCTAACATCAAGCCACCATCTGTGTCCACTTGCTTTGGGTTCTGACACACAGAACACACGGGAAAGAGAACAGGACATGCCTGAGCAGCTAGGACCACAACCCTTGCTGCAGTGACACCTGTACGTACAAACCTTAGCCCCCTCGGGTGAACAAAGATGCCGGTTGCCTCCTCTAACAGTCATTGTTATAAACTAGGATCGTAATCCCAGGTCGCCATGTCAAGCTAGTCTTATGTCAAGAAACACAGCAGAGCAGCAGAGTTGGGAGGCTCTAGGCATCTAGTCTCTCGGGGAGAAGCAGAAGATGAGCTCGCCCTGGTGAGCCAGTATCAGCAGACGGTATCTGATGCTTGCCTCTCATTTGGTCCTGTCGTGAGCCTTGGACAGATGGGGCTTGCGGAGCAGCCATCCCGCCTAAAATGAACAGGGGTCCATTCCCAGGTAGCTTGGCAGGGAGCTCAGCAGCTGTACAGGGAACCAGCACAGATGCACGAGAACACAGGTGAGGGAAGGAGAGCTCGCACTTAGACTGCTAGACAGTGTCTCTCTCCTCCCCATTCTCATCTTGCCACCAGCCTTCTCAGCAGCCTTCTTGGAATGGCTAGGTTTTCTTTCTGTGACACTGTTAGTACCTGTAACTTTTGCTAATGTGAAAATGTCGGAATAAAGAGGATGCTAATTTGGAAGAGCAGGTGAAGAAAATGAACGTGTATCAAGGAGAATCCAGGGGACGTGATTGCTAACAACTCATTTCAGAGATGCTCCCAAAATATAGAATGTTTCCTGTACGTTTATTCTTAAATTATCCCACCTTCAGGGAAAAATGCAAGGTTGAGGCAGGATGTGAAATTTATCTCAAATATGACAGCTCTGAAGCTGTCTTATGAATAATGCTTTGTTGGCACAAATAAAATATTTTCACATTGAATATAAAGGGCAGAGTCTGTTTCCACTTCTGCCCCAGGTCCCTGAGGTCTTCCTGTTTCATGTTATGCATTTATACGGAGTGTGCTGACTGGCTAATTTTGTGGTGCCACGTATAAAATAAGAAGCATATGTATTATTTCCAACCTATAAACTCTTGCATTCAAATATCATAAAAATCACTGATTTGGAGGAGGACATACATATTAATAGTGCTTAGTTTTCTGATTTTTCATGCCATCCAACTAAGAATTCAGATCAGAGGTCTCGATCGTTGAAGTGATTTACACGTCGCAGTTGGCAGATAGCTCCCCCTAATTAAACCTTTAAAACTAATTATTGAATTAAAAGATGAATTATTTTGAAAACACACAAAATTGTGAGCCATGTTATATAAATTATAAAATTATAATCAGAGCCCAGTGTCTTTATCCTTCAGTGGTATTCTGTATAATCATCAAAATGCTACTTAGGTGAGGGCTATCACTTTTCACAATGCAACTCCTCTCTGCCCGCCGTTGAACGTGATGGTGCAACAGCATTCACTGAACACAAACTTTCACAAGATTCCCCACAAGCTCCAAGAGGGACACAGGATTCATCCAGCTCAGCACCTTTCGATACGTTACGTGACTTTGCAGATAACCCTGGTTTCTCTCTGGTTGCCGCTGATGCCAGACAAACATAAATTGTTTTTGAAGTAGTTTTCAATTATACAGGAAGTTTAGTTTTTATTCCTAGTGGCTGGAGAGTTCCTGATGCTGATTCATCACTGAATAAATGTAGGCAGGCTTGCTGCAAAAAAAAGAAAATGAAACAAAACAGAGGGACATGTTTCCTGTCTCTCTCTCTCTCTCTCTCTCACTATCTGTCGGTCTCTGTCTCTTCCTCTTCCTTCCTCCTTTCTCTGTTCCCCCTCCCTGTCTGGATGCATTATGTCTGCTCTATAAAAAACAAAACAGGCCCACCTATTTTGTGAAACAGCAGACGAAAGGAACAAAGAGGAAAAAACAGGAGGACTAGAGAAGTTTAGACAAAAATGTTTAGTGTCAGAGACTAAGGAAGTATAAAGACAGGATTCCAGTAGCCGTTTTTACATCCACGTTATAGCGACAGCATGAATGGACCACAGAATACAAACACTTAACTGGTCCAGAAATTCAAACCCATATTTTCTGACTTCCACTGCACAGTACTTGTGACAGTGGCTATTCAAGCCAACATCACAGGTGTTTTCTCGTGTCTTAAAAACAAAAGAGGCTCTGTGCTACGGAACTTTGTATAACATGTCATTAAATGTCAGTGACGCAGAACCACTGAAATTACGCTCGGCTCCTTAAAAATGGAAGGCTTTTCGGGTGTGACTTCACCAATCCTTGCCTTCACATTTAACCCAGATATGCGATGCTGGTTTGAACTTGAGGTTTTCCATGTGGCTTTTTCGTTGCCAGTTTCTGGAATGCTCTGCCGTCCCTTTAACACACTGGCTTGTGCGTGTGTATGCTATAAATGTGTTTATGTGTTTAGCTGGAATTCGGTGGCTCTTCTTGATATTTTTGCAGCCATCTCATTTTAATGCTCCTGCAGAAACTTTGTGAATTCATTACAAAGTAATGGCCCAGAATGACTACATTGCTAAACCGCACTCTTGTCTGAATGAAAATTCGGTGTCCCTCTGTGGCTTCGACGCCTGCTGGAACGGCATAATAACAGTACAAGCTGCATCTGTGGTAGGTTTCTGTGCAGGTTTTCAAGACCCTCTGGTCATTATTTTACCAATGGGGAAACTGAGGTGTCAAAAGCCATGCCAGGAACCATATCCAAACATCATCCTGATTTGTTCTGTTTGTTTAATGTATCTTCTTTAGTAACCAGGAAATTTCAGGACTTCCTGACGTTGTGACTAATGGGCTCGTTTGGCAAGCTGGGGCACAATTCAATTTTTGAAGTGAGATGATAGGCATCAGATGAGGTGGCTCACACAGCATTGAACTTAAAATTTAGGGGCTGAATTCATAATAAGCTTGGTGCCATCTATTTTGGACTATGCCTTGCATACAGCTTTATGGGAACATTTGTCAGGCAAAAGTATAATAATGGCAAACTCTACGCCTTTTATTTTAAATTAGATTGGTGTGATTTGATGCTGACGGGAGTGAGAGTAATGGCCTTATCCTGCTGCAGGCTGTGCTGAGGATGGCCTGGTCTGCCACCCTCCTCGAGTAGCATTTTGCATGTGTAACAGGGTCTCCCCTCTGGGGCACAACAACAAAGAGAAGTTGCTAAGGACAAGAAGCAGGTGCGGAAATGCATCTCCCATTGGAACAGCCCTGGGCTTACTCCAATGGCTGAGAGAGGTGCTATGGCCAGTCCTCCCAGAGCTCTGCAGCTGCACTTGGGGGTGGACAGTCTCGTGCTTGTCCTGCGTGATAACGGCCGTGAAAGCCAGCCAACTGCTGCCCAGCAACGCAGAGCTGCAGAAGGCCTGAAAACATCCAGCCTCACCAACATTTCCGCAAAGTGCTTACATAACCCCTTCCTGCCAGCGGCTTCCTCAGGACACAGCAGCAGGCTCCCTCTTCCCTGGATCACCCAGCCAAGAGAACACACGTGCCTCTGCTCGCAGGCCAGCGTTTCATCCACCAGCCCATATCCCACGAATCTATCCAAAGGCTGCAGAACACAGAAAAGTGACTACAGAGAATTGGTCCAACTTGACCCATTTTCATGCAGTCAAAAAAGTTGAGAAGGGTTCTTTGGGTTTATCTAAGCGAGCACCCTTACTTTTAGAAAGGAAAAACTGGGGCCTGTTAACTGCCAGGGTCAGAAGTCACAATACTTGTTTGTGGAAGAAGCGCATCTGGCATCCACATCTCCTGACCTTGTCATGTGTTTATTGCATGCTGGATTTCCTGATGAAAGCTTAGGACATTAACTCAAAGCATATTTCTTTTCCACTATATGTGGAATCTCTAGAGAACCAATCTCCTACCTCTTAGTCCCTAACGCCTAGCAGAGGACCAATTACACTCTATTGTTTATTCAGTAACAATTTATTGGGCCGGACGCAGTGGCTCATGCCTGTAATCCCAGCATTTTGGGAGGCCAAGGTGGGTGGATCACCTGAGGTCAGGAGTTCAAGACCAGCCTGACCAACATGGTGAAACTCAGTCTCTACTAAAAATACAAAACTTAGCCGGGCATGGTGGTGGGCGCCTGTAATCCCAGCTACTCGGGAGGCTGAGGCAGAAGAATCACTTGAACCCAGGAGGCAGAGGTTGCAGCGAGCCGAGATAGTGCCATTACACTCCAGCGTGGGCAACATGAGTGAAACTTCATAAAAAAAAAAAAAAGAAAGAAAGAAACAATTTATTGAACCTACCCTAAAGGCTGGACACAGTGCTATATGCCATATACGCCAAGGCAGGCAGGGTCACCAGGCAGGCATGGCCTCTGCTCTCCCTGAGCCCACACACTGCAATAGCCAGGGTATAAGTAATTTTTGAATGAATGGCTGCACTTTAGTTTTTTAGCTGCCTATAGTATTGGCAAACTACTATATGTTGGTATTGGCTGACCTATTGACAAAATCAAAATAAAATAAGGTTTGAAGTGGAAAACATTTAAATCCACTGGCTTAAGTAGAATCTGTTCTTAGTTCTGTTTAGAAATTGATGTTGATGAGCCATCGAGCTAAATGACACAACAAAAGATGATTGTAACTGGCTTTCAAATGTTTACTATTGCGATAGATTTTTTTTTTTTAGAATCATGCTGTTTTTCAGTGAGTATGGCATCCCTCTCTAGTGAGAGTGGCTAGGATGGCAGGCAATGGTAACAGAGAGGCTTACTGACAGCTGGGTAAAAGCAACGAATGTGGGATTAAGAAGAAGAATAATGAATGTGGGGGGAATGGGGAATCGCATGGCCTTAGCTGCATTTGCTAAAGGTTCTGGACTTTGTTTGGTAGTTCCTTTCAAATAATGGCTGTACACAGAGCAAATGAGGTACCTCAATGGATTGTTAGGGACGGGCAAAGTCCCCTCGTCTTCCATCGTACAGCCTGTCTCCCTTCTCCACCAAGAGCGGGAACTGGTTTGGCAGGAGACCAGTTTGATGATTGGCTGTGGTTGGAAACGGAGAACAGGGATTGGGCTGTATCTGCATGTTTGTGTGATATTACAATGGTGTATACTGGCTTTGCACTCAGTATATTTTATAAGGAGATGTGTGATCTCTATCAGATGGGGGTGGGAAAATAAAACAGGAAAAGCAGAACCATCCTCAAATCCTATAAACTAGCCAGGAACAGAGCCCACTGTGCTAATTGCATGAGCAAGTTCCAAAGGCTTCCAGAAAATTCATTTCTACCTTTTCTAAGAATCTGTTTCAAGACTACTCTTTATTTTCCTGATGGACTTAAAATGGATATGTAGATTAGGCCCAGAAAAAAGCACTAAGGAGAACTTTGTCCTACAGAGCTTTCCTACTGGTACTCCAGGTGCCCGGTCCCCCTACAGGGTCTTTTCCAATTCCAGCTTCCTATTCTTCCTCCTGCCTGGTGGCAGCTGACTGGGCTGAGACATTGATTGTGTTAATGTGTAAGGTAGTAATAGCAGAATGCTGACAAGTAAATGTACTACCTCTTTCTTCTGGCCAGCACACATACACCTTGAGAAGATTCTCTGGAGCCAACGTACTCACTAGAAGAAACTATTCCAATGGGGGTGATTTCTAGTACGGTGGCTGGATAACCTTCTACAGCTTCAATCACACCCCAAAGAGAGCTGCAAACTCTTCAATGCACAAGGACAACCCTGTATGCAGCAAATTTGTCACTTCAGTGATGGTTGATAACGTGCGTGTGTGTGTGTTGGAAGGATATAACTGATAAAGCTTCAATTGAACAAATCCTGCTTGTTCATAAAAAAGAATGAGATCATGTCTTTTGCAGAAACATGGATGGAGCTGGAAGTCATATCCTTAGCAAATCAATGCAGGAGCAGAAAACCAAATACCGCATATTCTCACTTATAAGTGGGAGCTAAATGATGAGAATTCATGGACACAAAGAGGGGAACAACAGATGCTGGGGCCTACTTGGGGGTGAAGGGTGAGAGGAGGGAGAGGATCAGAAAAAATAACTAGTGGGTACTAGGCTTAATACCTGGGTGATGAAATAATCTGTACAACAAACCCGTGTGACACAAGTTTACCCAAATAACATACCTGCACATGTACCCCGAACCTAAAATACAAGTTAAAAAACACCCTGCTTGTGAAGTGATCATCTTCTCCAAGGCTTTGATGGGATTGCCACTGCTTTTGGAGCCAGGGAAAGAACCTTCTGGGTCTTCCACCATATACATATACAATGTTCTAATCACTGTCTACATTTTGGTCCTGCTATGGACAAGGTGGTTGGAAGAGAAGACCCTCAGCCATAAGTGGCTATTTCCTCCAGAAAAACAGGGCAGAAGGAGCACCAAACCCTGTTTACTGGGACTTGCTTCCTTACCTAACCTGTTTCTCCACTTAACTACCAGAGTCAGGGCCCTTTGGGGGCTTTGAGCATGGGATGAGGCCAGACGACACACTGACCTGTAGAGTTGGGGAGTATGTGGTCAGGAAAGTAGCCACCCCTCCTCTCTGTCCACATAGAGCACCAGAGCCCACTTCTTACTAATCAAATAGACTGCCTTCCATGACATCAAATGCCTTGTGCCCTTTTCCTACAACTTAATACTTTGGTCAGCCACTCTTGGGGAAATGATTCTAAAAGTGGGCTTGCAAGCTTTTCCATTAGAAGTACATTATATGGGTAAGTTACTTAGGAAACTGCAAATTTCTCTTTAGGCTTGTTTTATTAAATTTCTGAGAAGAAACAGCTTTCTATATTCTCTGTCAGAAAAGCAAAAACAAACGGATTTATGAAGGGAGCATTCTGTGGACAAGTAAATTGCACATGGCAATTTGGGGCAAAATTTTCTTGTATTTCTGCTAGTCCTCTGAGTTCTTAGATAAATTGCAGAGCCCTGAAATTATGGGGAAGTAGAAAATAGCATGAATCTACTTTTCTCTGTAAGGCTAATTTTAAAATATCCACCAGAACTTAAGCAAACTAGTCAAAGATTTCCAGTGAAATATTTAAAAGACTCATTGCAATGCCTTCTAAGAGATGCTGGAGGTCATTGTCCAGGCAAAAAGAATAAAGTCATCTCGTTGTCTTCTCTCTGGAATTACAAATGTTGCAGAAGTATGAGTCTCTCCTTCCATTTTATCCTTGTTAGGTTATCAATTCTGACTAACATATTTCTTATGAGAATATCATATAATGATGCTCCAATCATTTTCTTAAAAAATATCAAAAATGTTTCTTAAAGTGTTTGGCCTAACTCATAAACAAATTCAAACTTAAATGATAGGCCATTATTTGAGGTATCAAATAAGCAAAGATTTAAAATGTTAACACTCATTGTTGGTGAAGATACTGTGAAGTGGGAACACTTATTAAATACTTATATGTCTATGAATTAGTTCAACTTTTTAAAATAGAAAAATCTAGAAATAATACTTATTTTTATACCTTTCATAAAGCAAATGATCATGCCTTTTGCACTGGTATCTCATTTAAGAATCTGTCCTAAGAAAATAATCAAGGGTGACTAAAGGTAATGTTCAATACTATTGATTGGAGCATTATTTTTAACAGTGAAGAAATGGAGAATGTAACTCTCTTTTAGAATCCTACGACTTTCAGATAAATAAAGCTTCTTCAGATTATTTAGGATAGAAAGTTGATTAGAGTTATGGTAACCAGGATGATTATTTAAATGACAGATTTAAACAAGATTCATCCTTCATAGAATCTGATTCAGAAGGATCCTCCTTCGTCTAACTATAATCACTTTCTGTTTTAGTGAGGCTAAGACTTCAGGAAATGATGTTCTGAGGTCACTATGGTGATGAGCACTGCTTGTAAAAACAAACAAACAAACAACAAAACAAAACAAGCAAAGGAAAGAAGCACCAGGAACAGATAGTTCAGGAGACAAGATTAGCTCTACCTAAGGGTAACCATGGGAGCCTACTGTCCTTGTGACTCACTTCTCTTTGTCCCTGAGTCTATGGTGACTGTCTTTTCTGAGTCTTTGGTATTCCCTCTGCCTCATGAATTCCACTTATCTTTTTTGTTTTGTAACCCAAGAGCCAGATTTTATTCCCTAAGCAAGTGACACAACACCAGAAATGGGAGTCACTGAGATCCGCTGGGCTCAGGTGAGTGAGAGCTGTCTTAGCCAAGAGGTCATCTGCTTTGCTTCTCTTAAGTCTAATTGACAGAACTGCAGAGTCGTTCATCAGAGCTGACTGTGCTAGGTTTTTAGAGCCTACATGTTTCCCAATAAAGAGATCTGTGAACCATTGTTTATCTTCTTTATTCTGTTACTGAAGGGTACAACTGTTAAAATATGCTTTCTGGATCACTCCAGAGAAAACTAGGTTGAGTTTTATAAACTTTTCAGTTTGAGGTTTTACCACAATGAATGTCATATTCTGACACTAGCATTCAGGTTCTACAGAAAAGTACACAAATTATATGTGTCCAGCTTGTTGAAGTTTTAGAAGATGGAAACATCCATGTAACCACTAGATTAAAAAAAAAATAGAATGTTACTACAATCTCAGAGCCTCCCTCATGTCCCCTCTCAGTCATTACCCTGCCATTCTGGCATCTACCAGCCTAAATTGGTTTTGCAAGTTTTTGAACGAATGTAAATGGAATCGTACAATATATATTCTTTTTTGTTGCTAGGCTTATTTCTCTCAGCACTACATTTGTGAGATCCATTTATATTGTGATATGTAGCTGTGGTTTATTTTCATTAGTTTATTACATTAATAAACTACCATTTATCCATTTTACTATTGATGCACATTTGGGTTATTTCCAACTTTAGGTTATTTTCAACTTTTTGCATAGTGTTGTTATGAGCATTCTAGACATTATTTTAGTGTACATGGATAAATATTTCCATTGGGTATATTCCTAGGAATAGAATTGCTGAATCATAGATTATATACATGACCAACTCTAGTAGATATGTTCTAACAATTTTCTAATGTGGTAAACCAACTTACTTTTCCCCCAGAAGTGTATGAGAGTTTCAGTTGCTCCACATTCAGAATTCTCAGCTTGAAAACAATTTGTCATTCTGGGATGTATATATAGTATTACATTGTGGTTTGAATTTGTATTTTCCTGATGAATGACGAGATTGAGTACCTTACATATTTAGTTGTTATTTGGTTTTCTTAATTTTGTGATGTGCTTATTCAAGTCTTCTGCCCATTAAAAAAATCGTGTTGTCTTTTTTTTCTTATAGACTTGTAAGAGCTCTAAATATATTCTGAATATAAGTCTTCTGTCAATTATATTGATTGCAAATATTTTCTCTCCATTCTTAGGATGGTGCCTTTAGATGAACATTAGTTCTTAATTTTAATAAAGTCCAGTTTATTTTTTTCCTTTGTGTTCCATTTAAGAAACATCTCTCTCCAAAAGTAAGATATTTTTTTGTTATCTTCTAACAATTTTATTGCTTTAATTTTCCCATTTCTATCCAAAATCAACTGGAATTGAATTGTGTGTAAGTTGTGAGGTAAGGGTGAAGGTTCCATTTTTCCATATTGATATTCAGTTGACTTGAATTATGCTTATTCTTGACTTGTTTGCTTTGTGGCTTTTACTGCCAGTTTTCTCTTCTTCTCAGCCACATTCCTGTGATCTATTTTCTCTCTGCTTTGCATTTACACTTCCTACAAGATACTTTGCCTGAGGGTATTAATCACTGCTCCTGGATACAATGTCTCTTTTGAACAATATTTGTTACCAGGTGGGTAGTCTCTCTATAGTTGTGATAAATGCACCATAGAAATGTAACATGTAGGGGAAGCTGGATGAGGGGTAGATGGTAATTCTCTGTACTATCTCTGCAACTTTTCTGTAAATCTAGAACTGGTCTAAAATTAAAAGTTCATTAAATAAATTCTGCTTCTCTAAAAGAAATCAGAAAAATCAAGTTATCATCCAGGTACAAGTTGTCCTTGGTTTTTGTATTCGTTCCTCAGTTAAAAGCCTTGAAGTTGGATATGCATCTATTTTTAAGATTTGTTTTCTTCCTTAGTGAAGAAGGCTTTTTCACAAAGCAGCAGGTAAATATTCAGTATTTGATTTCTCTACACAGTTTCCATGAAGCTAATTTATGGTCAGCCTTAAGCCACTGGACTCGCAAAATCACCCATTCAGGACGACATTCTCATTATATTGCGTGTTTACCATCATGATATCTATTCAGCAGTGGCAATTAAGAAAGCCCATGGGGTTTGATAATAGTAGGACAAAGCCAGTAAGCTTGGGCTCTTCCTGCAGTGATCCTGGGTTTGAGGTCTACTTCAACCATGGCCTGCAGCTGCCTTATCAAAATATCATTCTTATCCAGGTAGTCCTGGTAATGCTCAGGTTCCTGACACAACTGCTTTCTTCAATAGTGAACCAGGATTTCATTCTGCAGTTTAATATTTATTAGGTCCTTATATTATAGAAAGCACAGGCTCATATCTTAGGTGTCCAATCATAGTGCATGTCCAGGATGGCCAAGATATAAGCTCTCTCAGGATACCACACTGTAATACTGTTTTGTTCCCTAAGTGTCTAGAATGTACATGTCTTAAAAACACTTGGTGAGGAGGCATCTGTGATGTAGGGGTGGCTGCACCATGCAGTGGAAAAAGAAGGAGCTTTGCAGTTGAACAGATATGGGTTTTAACTCCAGTTCCTGCATTTACTTGACCCTGGGCAAGATACTTAAACCCTCTGAGTCTCAGTTGCCTTATCTGGAAACAAGAGTTCTATTATCTCCCTGGAGTACTGCAGCCTCGATTGAGAGTGAATGTGAGTGCCAGGGACAATTGCAATTTTTCAGTAAGTGGTTTCTTAAGATTATTTCCTGATGGGCCAAGAGCTGTGTTAGAGGTTTCCACAGATGACTAAAATATAAAAAAAGTAGTCTTCTCTTCAGGGGCTCTCAATTCAGATGGCAAAGGCAGTCATGCAAAAGAATAATGATGGTTTAGTGTACTCAGTGGAGAGAGCAACCAGCCCCGAGTGGCTTCTCAATGTCACCTTGAATTAAGTCACTGTCATTAGAGTGGGTATGACTGAGGGGGGAAACATAGTTAATACATTACCACCCATTAATAATTGAACATGGGTCCAGGTGATTGAGCAAAGAGTTGACATCATAGACTCATGGCCCTGAGGCAATGGTTCAAGATGGGTGTATTAGTCTGTTCTCATGCTGCTAATAAAGACATACCCAAGACTGGGTAATTTATAAAGGAAAGAGGCTTAATGGACTCACAGTTCCACATGGCTGGGGAGGCCTCACAATCATGGTGGAAGGTGAAGGAGGAGCAAAGTCAAGTCTTACATGGCAGCAGGCAAGAGAGTGCGTGCAGGGGAACTTCCCTTTACAAAACCATCAGATCTCATGAGACTTATTCACTATCATGAGAACAGTATGGGAAAAACCCACCCCCATGATTCAGTTACCTCCCAACAGGTCCCTCCCATGACATGTGGGAATTATGGGAGCTACAATTCAAGGAGATTTGGGTGGGGACAGAGCCAAACCATATCATTGGGTGTCCAGTCTAAAGACATGTATGAGCCACATTGCACAAGATGTGTCCCAAAGAGGACGTTTCCCCTTGCTGCTGCCTTGGAAGCACTGAACGGGAGAAGGAAGAAAGGAGGGTCATGTGTGTGACATTCATTCTTTCCTTTAACAAACATGTGTCCAGCTCCTTCTGTGTGCCTGACTCTGAGTTAGTGGGTATTCAACCACTATCAATATGCTCATCAGGTCAGAATGTCCTTGCCTTCATGTTGCCTATGTTAATAAATAGGCAGATGGTAAGAACTGCTACAAAAATGGCCCAAGATAAACTGTCCCTGGCCTAAAGATTTTCCAGTATCTAGTTCTCACTGTGTAACTGAAAGGATCCTGAGCAAATATTGACTGAATATCTCCTGCTCATGAATCTAGAATGAATGTGCTTTGATAAGGGTGCCCACTAAATAGATTGGTTGAATCCCCTGAATGAATGGGCCTTCCCCAAAGGCTGTGGAATTTGATGAAAACCGCATCGGACCTAGAGTCCAAAAGGATATTTAACGTGCTGCCCATTTGCCATGTTAATAGCCAGGCTTCCAAAGCTAAAGCACCATGAAGAATGGAATAAATCACTGAGATTACTTTACCTTCTCTCAGCACTCCGCTTTTCTCTCTCGTGCCCTCTTTCTGCCTGATCCAAATCGCTTTTGCTTAAATTGCTTGGAAAAATTACCTAACTTTTCCTTTTCCTTTGACTGCAGAAATGTGGTCCATCACACTTAGCCAGTTTCTAGAACAATTTGTTCTGTCTGCCCACTCAGTAAGTGGTGGCTGGCCAAGTGAAAGTATTCCATATCTGACATCAGTGTTTTGGACAACCAACCTCGGGGCTGAAACCTGAGGTCATAATCAACATTTAAGTAAATCATATTTTTTTAAATATGGAAAATAAGTATCAGTCTGTAAAAGTTAGTTCTGATCAGTTATTAGCTACCAGTTATAGTAAAGTCACTCAAAATTGTATTGCAATAGTATTCTCACATACACACATTAGAAAGCAGAAGCAGTGTGTCTTTTCTCAAATTGTTGCTAAGTATATTACTTTGACCTTTCAGAATATCAACTAGCATTCCCCAGCAAATTCATGATACAGATTTTAAAAAAACATTTAATAAGCCACAGTTATGGGTTTTAATTATATGCAACCAATTGTTAGAGGAAGAAGATCTGGTTTCTAGTCTTTAAGCAAACCCAGCCTCAGTTCCCACATCATGATTATGAAGGCCTAGAACCACAAAATTCTGTTATTTCTAATAATGGTAAAAACTAACTTGAGTTCAATAGAATAAAATCTAACAGAGTTGTTCAAACAACACCCTAGGAAAAGACAAGAAAATTATTCTAATACAAATTAATTTTACAAGTTTAGCATAGTTCAAAAATCCCAGAAAATATACTTATGCCTACATATTTCTTCTTATATTATTGTATTTTGTGTTAATTATTATGGCTAACATTGCATAGAACTGTTCAGTATAGCCGGGTTAACTTTGTGATGGGAATAATTATTTTAACTATTAATTTGTGAAGATGAAACACAAACTATTTAAAAGGTATAAAGAACCTTAACAGGAAGAAACTCCAGGCAATGAGATTGTGCACATAAAAACTAAGATCAATTGTTTCCCCATTACATAATATTTCACTGGTTTCAGGTCAAATGACCAGTGTTATTATGAGTCACCAAAGCAAATATTATTTTATTACCACATATGCATAATAACACTCTTAATTACCTTCCTTCCAATGACTTTTAAACTGTTGGTTTTCCTCTAGGTATGGCATGAGTGTGTGACTGTTTCTCCTAGGGTAAGGAGAGATGTAAAAATGTTGTCTAAAACAGAGAGACTCATCAGATACTTCAAACCACTCTGTATTTGTAAGCACATTTATCATATCTCGTGTTAAGTAGTAACTTTTCCTTCAAATAACTCCAAGGACCAACAAATCTTGTTAAAATAAGTGTGACCATAGTCAAAGAGCTCTTCAGTGAAAGAAAATGACAAATTGTTCTCTATTTCTGATCACCATAAAATAGAAAAAATATGTACTTAGGATTTAGACTTTTAGCATCAGAAAGAATTTCTTGAGTGTGTCAGAAATTGGTTAACTCAGCCGGGTGCAGTGGCTCACACCTGTAATCCCGCACTTTGGGAGGCCGAGGTATGCAGATCACCTGAGGTCAGGAGTTTGAGACCAGCCTGGCCAACATGGTGAAATCCCGTCTCTACTAAAAATAACAAAAATTAGCCAGGCGTGGTGGTGAGGGCCAAAGTCCTAGCTACTCAGGAGGGTGAGGCAGGAGAATTACTTGAACCCGGGAGGCAGAAGTTGCAGTGAGAAGGGATCGTGCCACTGCACTCCAGCCTCTATTTCAAAAAGAAAAAGAAAAAGAAATTGGTTAACTTATTTTAATGGAATGGAGGGAGCGAGGTCCTACAAGGATGAAACATTGGACAGTAATTGTATAGTGTGAGAGATGGGAGGAATTGGGGACACGTGACGGACAGGAGAGGAGGGTTGCATGGCAGGATGCATAGGAAGAAAGTTCTGGAAGATAGGCACCTGATCCCAAGACATACCTGTCTCACTTTGCTAACCGAAAATGCATTTCAGTTGCCTTCCCTCCTTGGAGAACTACAGGGGTGCACGATAGAGCCCTCAGAGAGCCATGCCTCTGTCTGAGGCTCCTCCCTGGAAGACTGAGGAGGACAACCAGGACAGCTGCCTTGAGGCCTCCATGTGGCTGCGACACCACGTCCATCTGTGGGGTTCAGCACGAAGGACACTGGCAGAGGCTGCTGGAGGAAGCTGGGTTCTGTTTCACCTGGGCCAGGCCTTGCATAGAAGCAGAGAGTAGGAGAGTCCACTTAGCCTGTTTTCTTTTTACAAGTCCCAAAGATATATCAGTGGCTACATTTTAAAATTTTTATCTGAAAGAAGAAGCAAGGTCTTGCTCTATTTCTGCCGCAGCTCCTTGCGCTGGCACTGGTCACCCAGACTGGCTGCCTTTACTATTTTGTTCATAGTTCCATAGTAATGCTCCTGTTCCATAGATATTTCCACGACTGGGAGACACTTGAGGACAGGGGTGGGTCTTCCTGTTGTAATGAACAGCTTAGCAGATGTTCTACGTGTGTGTGTGCCCGTGTGTACACACATACATATATAAAATGAAGTTGCTCCCTGCCAGGTGCGGTGGCTCACACCTATAATCCCAGCACTTTGGGAGGCTAAGGCGGGTGAATCACTTGAGATCAGGAGTTCGAGACCCGGGGTGGGTCTTCCTGTTGTAATGGACAGCTTAGCAGATGTTCTACGTGTGTGTGTGCCCGTGTGTATACACATACAAATATAAAATGAAGTTGCTGCCTGCCAGGTACGGTGGCTCACACCTATAATCCCAGCACTTTGGGAGGCTGAGGCGGGTGAATCACTTGAGATTAGGAGTTCGAGACCAGCCTGGCTAACATGGAAAAACCCTGTCTCTACCAAAAAAAAAAAAAAAGAGAGAAGAAAAACTTAGCTGGGCATGGTGGAGCACACCTGTAGTCCCAGCTACTTGTGAGGCTGAGGCAGAATTGCTGGGACCCAGAAGGTGGGGGTTGCAGTGAGCCGAGATCACACCACTGCACTCCAGCCTGAATGACAAAGTGAGACCCTGACTCAAAAATAAAAATTAGAAAACAAAATAAAATGAAGTTGCTGGGACTACAAGCCAATTTTTCTTATCTGTAATGGCGTGATAATGATAATGTTTATATATATAAAAAAGTTTATATATATGATATATATATATAATTTTCTATGAACCAGACACTGGGTGGGTATTTTATAGATATGATCTCATTTATCTCAACCCTATGAGGTAGGGCACTGTTATTGTTTCTTTCCTTTTCTTTTTTTGAGACAGGGTCACCTAAGCAGGAGTGTAGTGGTGCCTGCTTAGCCTCACCTCTCGGGCTCAGGTGATCCTCCTGCCTCAGCTTCCCAAGTAGCTGGGACTACAGGTGTGCATTACCATACCTGGCTAATTTTTTGTGTTTTTTGGTAGAGATGAGGTTTTGCCATGTTGCCCAGGCTGGTCTTGAACTCCTGGGCTCAAGCTATCCTCCTGCCTCTGCCTCCTAAAATGCTGGAATTACAGGCATGAGTCACTGTACCTGGCCTATTGTCTCTTTTAGAGGTAGGATGCTGCAATTAGTAGAGGTTGAAGAACTTCTCCAAGGGCACACTCATGGGAGGTGGCAGAGCCCAGATTCAAAACAGGTCAGTGACAGCAAAGAAAAATGCCCCTTGTACCCACTCTGTGATTCCAGCACACCCCAACCCCCGCCACAGTGGCCTCCAAATCCAATGCTGTGACGCTATGGGATGTGACTGTCTCACTTGGTCATCAACTTGATGACTTCCTCTGAGGGGCTGGAAGTGAAGTGGAAATGCCTCGGCCTCCTGTAGAAGGCAGTTTAGGAGAAACACTAGCAAGGGGAGGTTGGACCCTGGGATCAGCCTCACTCAGCCCCACGCACCTCCTCTGAACATTGACACGTTTGCATGGACACCTACACATGTGCACTCATATCCTGTCCTGTTTCCAAAGGGAGCCTAGGCAACTTAAGAAGATTCCAAAAACACAACAAAATAAAAGAAAATGTATTTTGATGATTAATAGAGAAAAACAGAAGTTAGAAATGTGGCTAATATAAAAACATTTGTTTTAAAGTTCTGTGTACTTGCTAACATAGGACCTAAATTAGCCTCAAATCCTTCAGTTCCAATATGAAATGGGAACCCTGCCCAGTTATTAATACATGATTCACAGAGTCCACGATAAAACCAATCCACTCTTACTGATATTAAGACCAAGGGGAAAAAATTCTACCTAGGGAAATTGTTTTCTCTGCAGGATGATGGGCACTGTCCCCACCAGTAATCTCACAGTAGACACAGCAATGAGCCTCATTGGGAACTTTCTTCTAATTCAGTGACTGAATTAGCTGGGCACAGTGGCTTACACCTGTAATCCCAACATTTTGGGAGGCCAAGGCAGGAGAACCCCTTGAGCCCAGGAGTTCGAGATCAGCCTGGGCAACATAGTGAGAAACCGTGTCTACAAAAACTAAAAATACAGCCGGGCATGGTGGCATGTGCCTATAGTCCCAGCTACTCAGGAGGTTGCGGCAGGAGGATCGCTTGAGCCTGGGAAATTGAGGCTGCAGTGAGCTATGATGGTGCTACCACACTCCAGTCTGGGTGACAGAGCAAGACCCATCTCAAAAAAACAAAAAACAAAAAAAAAATAGCTGAATTAAAAGCCATTTTCTGCTGTTCACAGTTTAGCCAAGAAAATGCCTACTGGAAGCACCAAGATTCTTGCTAGGAAACAGCAACAAAATCACCAAAAAGCAAATTTGTTCTAACATTGAAAGTATGGGCTTCAAATCTCTGTTCCCTACCACCTGATCGGGCACATGATCCTACCCAGCCAGCTTGGCTACTGAGGCCATGGGCTCCCCCAGCCCTCCCACCCGCAGGGATGCAAGAGGCTCTCGGGCCTGCAACAGGCTCCTTCCCTTCTCAGCAGGGGTCTTGTGATGGCATGGGCCGCTGTCCACAGAAGAGTGCTCTGTTCTCTGGTTCTTTCTTCTTGTTGCCCTGTCCATAACCAAGAGAGCTGAGAGTCGAGGAGTTTAATGGCCTAACACACCAGTGTCCCTACAGCAAAGCCTGCAAGACCTCAATTTATTTTGCTTTGCTATCTTCGCAACATTAGCACATACTGTTCTGCTGTGTGTTTTGTTGGAGTGTGGTTTCTACTTTGGTCTCACTGCCTCCTGTTCCTCAATTTATTTTTCTTCAAACTTTTGAATGGTGTGCAACAGGCTTAGAATTTGATGACTGTGGTTCAAGTCCTGCATTGCTCCTTCCACTGCCCTTCTGTGGAATATGGTGGCCTTAACGCCTCACTGTCAATGAGACTGTGAGTAATAAATGACATGATGTGGGTAGAAACAACAAGCACAGCCCCTGGCACAGAGTAGGTGCTCAATAAATATACTTAAAAGAACAACTTGGAGAATTAATATTTCTCCTCTTTTCTTTACACAGCTGCCAGCATCCAACAAAGTATATACATAGGGTTGATGTCATTTCATTGGGATATTTGCCAACAAGTTCGGGCTACCAATATGCCTGATGAGAGCTCTAAAGAGAATGAAAATCATTTTCCATAAAATAGTATCTTGGAAAAAAAAAAAAAGAATCTGAGTGTACCTGTCCTTTTCCTGTGGCCTGATTTTCAAACCCCGACTACACTGGATTGTGATGTCAAGAGAAAGAACAGTTTCACAATTAAAATTATAGCTCAAGTTGCTACCATTAAGTTATTAACTTTTATACTTTAAAATGATAGAATAAATATAGCTTTGAAACTACCTAAACCACAGCACTGTACTTCAAAGGCAAATCTATGGGAAAAACCACACTGAGGGTAATTTTTATTAGTTTTATAGACCCCAAACTTTTATAAACATTTTTAATAATATAACTTACAAGCCGAAACCAAACAACTAAACACTGTATAAAAGTAGCCCCCTCAGAAACCTGTACAACATTGTGTATGTGTATGGATAAGTTTCATTTTAAAAAATAAGTAAAACTAATTTCTAAAGGCTGATATTTTCCACTTACCTTCGAGTTACAAATAAATTTAAATTTGATTCTTATTTTCTTGGGTAGCAACTGGCTCAACTTTTAATCTTTGAAAACATCATACCTTAATAAAGGCAAATTAGATTGAAAATGAAGCTTTATTAGAATGTGTGTTAACTAAAAATATTGAGTTTCCATTACCTTTTCATTAAAGCAAATATTTTTAATAATATTTTTTGTTGTAAAGGTTACACTCATTCTCTATAGAAAATTCAGAAAATGTGGAGAAGTAGAATTTTCCAAGAATAATTCATAAACTCAGGTGATGAGAGGTGCTCAGAGTTTGGATATATTCTTTTAAAAAGTAATAGTATGTTAAAATTCATAAGTTTTTTGGCTTTTCTATGAATACCCCTGGCTTGGGCATGTAAACACCTGGCTGCCAACATTACTTTTAAACATTTTGTTCATTTTTCTTTTTAAGACTATTCATGTACTTCTCTTGCGTAATTTCTCATGTTTTCCAAGCTTTAAATAGCATTGCATTTGTCTTCATGTTCTTTACCAACTAACCTTTCTTTCATCAGTTAATGTTTTATTAACAGCTCTTTCTTGTTAAGTCTCTGAATTTTTCAGCATTCTACAAAAGTGGGACACATATAATATAGTTTTAGTTGCCATGTTATATCACCTAGTTATGGTAATAGAATAGGTATTAACACTTAATGAGCATTTACCTGACACCTTGCAATATTTCTTTTTTTTTTTTTTCCTTTTTGAGAAAGGGTCTCACTCTGTCACCCAGGCTGGAGTGCAGTGGTGTGATCTCAGCTCACTGCAACCTCCAACTTCCAGGTTCAAGTGATTCTCCCACCTCAGCCTCTCTAGTAGCTGGGACTACAGGCATGTGCCACCACACCTGGCTAGTTTTTTGTATTTTTTAGTAAAGACGGGGTTTCACCATGTTGGCCATGCTGGTCTTGAACTCCTGACCTCTAGTGATCCACCCGCCTCAGCCTCGCAAAGTGCTGGGATTACAGGCATGAGCCACCACATCCAGCCACCTTGCAGTATTTCAATATCATTTAATCTTCTGAACAGATCTTTGAGGGCGACTGTAACCCTAGTATCCCAATATTACAGATGGGAAAACTGAAGCTTCAAGAAACTAAGTAACTTACCCATACATTTTGGGATATATTTTGAAGACAGACTCAAGAGGACTGCTTGGTGAATTTGATGTGAGATATTGAAAAAAAAAAGAGTTAAGAATGACCCTTGATTTTTTTTCTTTTTTTTTTTTTTTGGCTTGAGCTACTGGAAGAATGGAGTTGCTGTTCCTTGAATGAATGACTGAATGAGGTCAAAATAGGAAGAAAAAGATAGCAAATTGGAGACATACATGAAGACTTAAAAACTAAAGGGGACAATAGATCCTTTGTGAGTGAATTAAATGAATAAAATCAAAACATCTTGTCTTGAGTGTTTTGAAGACATGAATAAGTTAAAGTGAATGGTGCAACAAAAGCCCTCATGTTCTAAACAAATTCTGCAGTTTGTGGGAAATTGTATACAGTGCAGCCAGTAGCATTTCCTTTCAATTGAAGGATAGCAAGATTGGTATCTATTCTATGTACTAAGATACTATCAGAATTGCTAACATAAGAAATATGCTTCATCTTGGTTTGGAGAGATGCAAATGATTGACAATTGCAATGATTCCATGTGAAGTCTCCATCCCATTAAAGAAAAAATATGTATTTGTATTTATGGCTAAAATAGAGACAAAACAAAGAACTAAAATGGTGGCATTGAACACTTGGATTCCAAGATGCCTGACATCCCCTAAGGAGGTCACACAGAGATAGACTCTAACTCTGTGTCATGTGGATGAGCCTCACTAACCTATTCTCAGGCCAACTTGTTAATCGAGTGTCTTGTATTTGATAACTTACTGTCTCCCTTCCATTTCTGTGTAATTATGTATCTTTCATGTTTTATGTTGCAGGACTTTACCTTGTAAATAGCTCTATAATAAATATTGTAATTAACTTAATAGTACTTTGACCACATTACATTTAAGGGTGTGCCCTCTCTAAGCATCTTTTGGAGCCATGCCAAGGAGCCTCTGTGTAGAAGCAAACTTGTCAGACTCCCCCTAACAGATTACAGTAATGGGAGATGAGAGAGTGAGGAAGGGATGTAACCTTGGAATACAACTCAAAATGCAGATCACAGATCCAGGGTTCTCTCCAAGACCTACCACCAATAGGCTCATGAATTATGAAAGGCAAACCAAGGGGTCCCTGGCTAGACAAGGACATGTCACCATATTCTCATTGGAACCTAAAGAAGGGGCCCAGTGGAAAGTCTGAGACTCCTAAATAAAGCCCCAGGACATCCTCTTTCCCCTCCAAGCAGTGGGACAAGAGGTCTCCAGTTTTGTCATGGCTTTCAGAGTCCTGGGAGAATTTTTCTTTTTCCATCTGTGACAGGAGAAGTCTATGCTGCTGCCTCTGAGGACATGGGGAATGAAGAGCAGTTGAGCGTATTTAGTGCTGCTCTCTTAAAAACTTCAGTGCAAAGCTGCCGAGGTTCACAGCACACTAGTAGAGCAGTTTTCCCTTTGGGGCATGTTCTAGAAGGAATTGCTGGAAGGAAATCCTCATGAATGTCCACATTCAATAGATCTGCCAGACATTTCTCAGGTTTATCTCTCCCACCAGTTACCTCATCATTACTGCGGAATCTGCCCCTTGATAAAATCTGTTTGGTGGGTGATATGTTTTCACCTAAGGAGATATTCTGATTTAAATACACATCCTCCTGTAAATCACGGTATCTTCATTTTTATGGATTCCGTGGTGCCTATTTACAGTCTAAACTTTGAAATAAATTCACACACTTAAGAATGGGCTGTCTAGCATATGAAATCTATTTGGCATAAATGCCACTCATGAAGGAGGGAGGCTGTCCCTGTGGTTTCATTTTATCAAAACTGGAAAATAAGTCTTCTGGGCTCAGTCTTTGCCTTTGGAGGCCTTAAACTTTTAAGATTCCACTTGGTAATCTTACAGCTGTGATAGGAGGGGTGGTTCGGGCTTCTGCACAGAGAATCAGATAAAGACTTGGAAAACTGATGTCTATCAATGACCCATTCATTCATCCATTCATTCATATATACATGTGTTCAATAAACAAATATCAGATATTTATTGACTATTCATGGTGCCAGCACCAGGGAGATTAGCAAATATCCCCCCACCCCTTGCCCTCAGAAGACTTCCAGTATAGCAGAATAGAGAGTCTCATGACCTCACCAACTTTTCACACCTAAAAAATCAAAATAATATTTATTTGCCAACAAGCAAGAAACATTTTTAGGTGAACAAAATGTGTTGATGCTTCCTGCAGCTTCTGAATTCTTCAGTTCTGAACTCTGCAATCTTTCTGGCCTAAGGTAGATCCTGATATCTATGGAAGTTGTACAGTCATTAAACTAAATCAGTCAAAGCCACAGTTTCGGTTACAAAGATGGTATTAATAAAAACATTACCATATGATTATTAAAACAATAGCCATAAAACCTGGCCCTCTGGCATTTAATTTTGTTCATATACATCACAGCTTGAAATAAATTGTTAAAAGTTAACAACATTGAAAAATTAGTCATGTTGTGCTTTAAATACACTTCTTTAAAAATCTTAACACTAAATGTCCTTGGGGGACAGCACCCGAAAGGAACGCCATACACCTAGAGAGCCTTTGTAAGCCATAATAATGCAATAAGCTATATTGGCAAAACTGATCACTTAAAGTTGTAAAATGTGCCTATAAGAAGTTAGATCCAATATTATGTGAGAATCTATTCTTTACGAAAATGGATGCAGTTCATGGTCAAGTTGAAGTTCAGAGTCCCCAAAACAGAATTTTAGACAGATCGCCTGCAACCTTGTATTAGTGCACTATGCCCTTTAAAGCACAGAAGGGTCTATTCCCCTGTAAACTCCTTGAAATATGGGGAGTGCGATATTTAAAATTGTAATGGCTATTTCAACACAAAGTTAATAATTATTATCACCAAAATACAATTGAGGCAGGTAAAGAATGAAAAAAAAAAAGCTAAAATTTCCTACCTTTCCCCGTGCCCCCTGACCCCACAGCCCTCATTCCAATTCAACATAGTTATTATTAACAGTTTGTGTCCTTTCAGATCTCATTCAATGCAAGAAACATATAACAATGAAAATTAAAATATCCAGGGAGATTAAATAAAGAACATTTCACTCCCTTGGTATTTCATTCCCACTTGCCAAAGGTAACCACTTCCCTCTTTTGTTTCTTCTAGTGGTTACCTCCACATATCTATTTTCCCTCAACTTTTCTTTCTTGACTTGTCAACTTTAAGCTGTATCAATGGACACAGAACTGAGAGCTTACCTGAATTACTTCTCTCTCCACATCCTCCCAACTTCACATGTTTATTTTCAGTTCTAGTGGTTGATTTTATCAATTACAAGAATATTCTAAATCCTCTATTTTTTGAGCCTCTAGCTTTAGACTGTGTGCGTTGATCTCCTAGCATGTAATTTGAGGAAATTGGAGCCCTCTACCTATCCCTACACTTTTCTGCCTTTCTACCTACAACTGCCATGACTTTTGTACTCTGTTCTTTAACAGTAATTAAATCTGCGATTTTCTGTAAGTTTATTTTAAATATTGACAACCAGGATCAGGCACAGTGGCTCACGCCTTTAATCTCAGCACTTTGGGAGGCTCAGGTGGAAAAATTGCTTGAGTCCAGGAGGTCAAGGCTGCAGTGAGCCGTGATCGTGCCACTGAACTCCAGCCTGGGCAACACAGTGAGACCCTGTCTCGAAAACAGAAAAGAAAAGAAAGAAAAACAATAGCCAACTCTATCATCTTCCATTTCATTGAATTTTAAAATTTCAGTTGTCATACTTTATGACTCTTCCTTGTTTTTTGGGTTTTCCTTTTCAGAGTAGCCAATTTTTTAATTAAATCTATTTTTTTCATAAGTTTTTGGGGTACAGGTGATATCTGGTTACATGACTAAGTTCTTTAATGGTGATTTGTGAGATTTTGGTGCACCCATTACCCAAGCAGTATACACTGCATCATATTCGTTGTCTTTTATCCTTTGCCCCACTCCCACTCTTCCTCCCAAATACCCACAGTCCATTGCATCATTCTTATGCCTTTGCGTCCTCATAGCTTAGCTCCCACATATCAGTGAGAACATACGATGTTTGGTTTTTCCATTCCTGAGTTACTTTACTTGGAATAATAGTCTCCAATCTCATCAGGTCGCTGCAAATGCTGCTAATTTGTTCCTTTTTATGGCTGAGTAGTATTCCATTGTATATGTATATACCACAGTTTCTTTGTCCACTTGTTGATTGGTTGGCATTTGGGTTGGTTCCACGATTTTGCAATTGTGAATTGTGCTGCTATAAATATGCATGTGCAAGTATCTTTTTCATATAATGACTTCTTTTCCTCTGGGTAGTCACTAATTGTGGGATTGCCGGATCAAATGGTAGTTCTACTTTTAGTTCTTTAAGGCATCTCCACACTGTTTTCCATAGTGGCTGTACTAGTTTACATTCCCACCAACAGTGTAGAAGTGTTCCCTGATCACCACATCCACACCAACATCTGTTTATTGATTTTTTGATTATGGCCTTTCTTGCAGGAGTAAGGTGATATCATATTTTGATTTGCATCTCCCTGATGATTAGTAATGTTGAGTATTTTTTCATAGGTTTGTTGGCCATTTGTATACCTTCTTTTGAGAATTGTCTATTCATGTCCTTAGCCCACTTTTTGATGGGATTGTTTGTTTTTTTCTTACTGATTTGTTTGAGTTTGTTGTAGATTCTGGATATTCATCCTTTATCAGATGTATAGATTGTGAAGATTTTCCCCCACTCTGTGCGTTGTCTGTTTACTTTGCTGACTATTCCTTTTTTGCCATGCAAAAGGTCTTTAGTTTAATTAAGTCCCAACCATTTACCTTTGTTTTTATTGCATTTGCTTTTGGGTTCTTGGTCATGGACTCCTTGCCTGAGCCAACATCTAGAAGGGTTTTTCCAACGTTATCTTCTAGAATGTTTATAGTTTCAAGTCTTAGATTCAAGTCCTTAATCCATCTTGGGTTGGTTTTTTTATAATGTGACAGATGAGGATCCAGTTTCATTCTCCTACATGTGGCTAGCCAATTATCCCAGTACCATTTGTTGAAAAAGGTGTCCTTTCCCCACTTTATGTTTTTGTTTGCTTTGTCCAAGATCAGTTGGCTGTAAGTATTTGGGTTTATTTCTGGGTTCTCTATTCTGTTCCATTGTTCTATGTGCCTATTTTTATACCAGTACCACACTATTTTGGTGACTATGGCCTTATAGTATAGTTTGAAATCAGGTTTGTGAGGCCTCCAGATTTGTTCTTTTTGCTTAGTCTTGCTTTGGCTATGTGGGCTCTTTTGTGGTTCCATATGAACTTAGAATTGTTTTTTCTAATTCTGTGAAGAATAATGGTGGTATTTTGATGGGGATTGCATTGAATTTGTAGATTGCTTTTGGCAGTATGGTCATTTTCACAATATTGATTCTACCCATTCATGAGCATGACATGTGTTTCCATTTGTGTCGTCTATGATTTCTTTCAGTAGTGTTTTGTAGTTTTCCTTGTAGAGGTCTTTTGACTCCTTGGTTAGGTATTTCCATATTCCTAAGGTTTTTTTTGTTTTTTGTTTTTTGTTTTTTTTGCAGCTATTGTAAAGGGGTTGAGTTGTTGATTTGATTCTCTGCGTGGTCGCTGTTGGCGTATAGAAGAGCTACTGATTTGTGTACATTAATCTTGTATCTGGAAACTTTGCTGAATTTTTTTTTTATCAGTTCTAGGAGCTTTCTGGAGGAGTCTTTAGGGTTTTCAAGGTAAACAGTCATATCATCAGCAAACAGTGACAGTTTGACTTCCTTTTTACCAATATGGATGCCCTTTATTTCTTTCTCTTGTCTGATTGCTCTGTCTAGGACTTCCAGTATACCATGTTGAAGAGGAGTGGTGGGAGTAGGCATCCTTATTTTGTTCCAGTTCTCAGAGGGAATACTTTCAACTTTTCACCTTGTAGCATTATGTTGGCTGTGGGTTTGTCATAGATGGCTTCTATTACATTGAATATGTCCCTTGTATGCCAATTTTGCTGACAGTTTTAATCATAAAGGGATGCTGGATTTTGTCTAATGCTTTTTCTGCATCTGTTGAGGTGATCACGTGATTTTTGTTTTTAATTCTGTTTAAGTGGTATATCACATTTATTGACTTGCATGTGTTAAACCATCCCTGCATCCCTGATATGAAACCCACTTGATCATGGTGGGTTATCTTTTTGATATGTTGTTGGATTCAGTTAACTAGTATTTTGTTAAGGATTTTAGCATCTATGTTCATCAAGGATATTGGTCTGTAGTTTTTTATTGGTGATGTGCTTTCCTGGTGTTGGTATTAGGGTGATGCTGGCTTCATAGAATAAATAATGGATGGTTCCTTCTTTCTCTATCTTGTAAAATAGTGTCAAATGGATTGGTACCAATTCTTCTTTGAATGTCTGGTAGAATTCTTCTGTGAATTTATCTGGTCCTGGAATTTTTTTGTTGGTGATTTTTAGATTAACATTTCAATCTCATTGCTTGTTATTGGTATGTTCGGGGTATCTAATTCTTCCTGATTTAAGCTAGGAGGGTTGTATTTTTCCAGGAGTTTATTCATCTCTTCTAGGTTTTCTAGTTTATGTGCATAAAGGTATTCATAGTAGCTTTGAATGATCTTTTGTATTTCAGTGGTGTCAGTTGTAATATCTCCTGTTTCTTTTCCTAGTGAAGTTATTTGAATTTTCTCTCTTCTTTTCTTGGTTAATCTTGCTAATGATCTATCAATTTCATTTATGTTTTCAAAGAACCAGCTTTTTTTCCATTTATCTTTTGTATTTTTTTGTTTCAATTTCATTTAGTTCTGCTCTGATCTTGGTTATTCCCTTTCTTCTGCTGGGTTTGGGCTTGGTTTGTTCTTGTTTCTCTAGTTCCTTGAGGTGTGACCTTAGAATGTCCATTTTTTTTTTTTTTTTAAGAATGCAGTATCTTCTTAAAATTCCAAGTAGAATTTTTGAAGCTTCTTTTATGTTCACTGCATAAGCTCTGAAGTTGGTTGTCCTGTTTTTTGTTCTGATGCCTTCTCTCCGGTGCCATAGTTTATCATTGAATTTCTGGCTGTCTTTTGTTGCGTTTGTGCAGAGGCGGCTATCTGTCCACCAAAATCTGCTCTTCTTGGGTCATGGCTAGACTGTATTTTCTAGACATGTTTGCAGTTAAGTGTTCTATCCAAGGTAATGAGCCTCTTCTAGGTGGATACTTTCAAGAGCATGATCATGACCCCTTCACAATTTCATCCCCTCTTTCTGCAGACTGAAGTGATCCCGGGTACCATGGTTGACGATGGCTGAACTGCTCTCCAGAACGATTGCATGAAAAGAGCCGCCTGCTGATTGTATGGCTGCTGGATAGGAAAATGGATCCTTATATTTCTTAAGCTACTGAATAATTGTTAGGTATCTTGTTACAGCATCATTTTTTATTATTCTATTGAGACATGGTCTCGCTGGAGTGCAGTGGTACAAACACAGCTCACTGCAGCCTAGACATCTTCAGCGCAAATGATCCTCCTGCCTCAGCCTCCCATGTAGCTGAAACCACAGTACAGCATCTAAACCTACCTTTGTCATATACGATCCTAATTAAGAAGCTTGTGTGGATGGCTTCTAGATATGGGTAGTCCTGTTTTCTTTCCAGGCCTTCTCTTAAAAGGCAGATGACTATAAGAAATGTGTGTGCCTATAGGGCATGTCGACTTTATGGTCTGTTGGCAGGGAGCTGGTAAAACATTTCTTTTTTATGCCAAAATAAAGAAGTCTTAGCTCTAAGTATCCATAGTCACTCTCTGTTCCCTAGATCTCTCCAACCAATTATTTCTTCACAGAGCAATGTCTGATTTTAATCTGAGACTAAAGATCCTGCCCATACTTGTAGTGGGTAGGGATGGGGGAAAAAGAGCCCATTTGGGTAAGTGTTCCAGAAACTACCCTTCAATGAACCACTTCCGTTTCTGCCTATGTGTCACTCACTCCTACTCTATGTTGCCACCCCTGTGCTTGGAGCCTCTCTCTGGCTCATCCCGCAAAAGAATGTTCCCATCCCCACTCCTCCTTCAGGAACCAGCACATCCTGCTCCAGGCATCATCCCTCAACATCATTCCTTCTCCTTCCCAATTGCCGGAAATCCATCGGCCTTTCTGCTCCATTGATGCTCCTTTTCCCCCTCCTCTCAAGCTCACTTACTCAATTTTGTTCTTCTTTGTTGTCATCCGAATGGCATTTTGGTGGACAGGAGAGTAAACGTCTGTGTTTAGTCCGCCATCTTGGATTAGTAGGCAATACTTTTTTTTTTTTTTTTTTTTTGAGATGGAGTCTCGCTCTGCAGCCCAGGCTGGCGTGCAGTGGCGCGATCTTGGCTCACTGCAACCTCTACCTCCTGAGTCACGGTTCAAGCAATTCTCCTGCCTCAGCCTCCTGAGTAGCTGGGATTACAGGCACATGCCACCATGCCCAGGTACTTTTTGTATTTTTAGTAGAGACGAGGTTTCACAGAACTCACTTTTTGAGATACAGAGACTTTATGAGGAGAAGGAATCAGAATTTCACTCTTCTCACTGAGGTCTTGGGAATTAGCTTTTAAGGAACAAGTTGTTCTGTAATTACACCCATTAGAAAGTGACAGTAAGCAACCACCAAAATGCCCCATGCCCCACTGGCCTGTGCGCACAACACGGTCATCTCAGCAGGAACATCCAAGTTCCCATGGCTCTCACCCCTGACCTGAACATGCAGGAAGTCCACTTCCTTGAGGATCACCTCTCTCCAAATATTTCTGCTAACTCGCGAGAGGTATTTTACATGTTTTCTTGAATCAGTATCTTCCTTTCTCTTGTCATACTGGGGCTCTGACCAAATGACAACATCCCTGGGCTACTAGAGTTGGAATTCGGCACCTCCTGACTTAGCCACTGCCTTCCTGGTGCCAGTCAGAGCCGGCATTTTCCTGCCTCCTCACCTGCCAGCCAGGCGGACCTTGTGGGGTTGGAAGGCAAACATTCCTTCTTTCTCTGTTATTCTCCGTTGGGAAAGGTCTCACAGCAAGGTTGCTTTTGCCCCAGCATACAAAGGAATGAAATCAGGAACAGCTCTGTTCTCTAACATGAGCTAACCATGGCACTTCTACTTGAGTGCGAGTGGCCATCTTGGTGCAGATTCCGTTTGAGATTCACCAAGTGACTGATGATGCTCTGACCCTGGCGAGGCTGGTGCTGCTGGGCAGGCTCTTAGGAAGGGAGAAGGCAGACCGTGCTCATTCAGCTCATCTCTGCTGATTGAAGAGGGAGGATGGGATGGCAGGGTGAGAATTTTATTGTGTAAAGCTTGGGCCCAACATCCTAAAAGATTCGTGAAGCAATTCTTCCTCTTCACATGAACCCCAGTTTGTTCGAGGCAGCAACAATGCCCAGGAAACTACGGCCCCTGTCAAAGATCCACTGCTCGGTCTGGCTGACTCTGCCCTTCTCCTTCCCTTTGAATAGAAACTTGTTTCTGTCACCTCTCCCTCCTCCAATCCGATCATGTCACTATGTCTGACCAATAACTCTGGGCAGAACTCGTGTCCCCTTCCCCAAAGGAGCCCCCTTCGTCCCATGTAAGTCAGTAAATGAAATAGATTCTGAGAGAAGATGGTGTCACTTTAGGTCACATGCAGGATCCAAGGCTTGAAAGGAGATTCTCTTTTTCCAGACCTGACTTATGTTTCCTCTTGCATATTGGCAATCTGTGTATTACCAATTTTCCCTGACTCTGTGGGATAATTGAATCAAAAAGCAACTCTTAAATATCAAGAGAGCCCACTAGTAGCCAGACAGAAAAGGCCTCATTATATGAAATGCTCCCATCTGGGCTTTGAGCAGGGCCATGTCTGGAATCTAAGCCCATGCATAAGTGAATGTCCATCTGAGGGTCACTGTTCTCCCTCTGTGGGTGTGAGGGAAGGTGCCAGGTGAACAACCCCCTCCGGGAAGTCAGGGTACCTGCACAACCAAGTGGCCACACAGCTGAGTGCCTTAAACAACCGAAATGTATTGTCTCACCATTCTGGAGGCCAGAAATCTAATATCGAAGTGTGGACCGGGTTGGTTTCTTCTAAGGGCTGCAAGGGAGAATCTGTTCCATGCCTCTCCCCTTGCTTTTGGTGGGTTATCTGGCAATTTTTGTTGTCCCATGGCTTGTAGAAGAATCATCTGATCTCCATCTTCATCTTCTCATGGTCTTCTTTCTTTCTCTCTCTCTCTGTGTGTGTGTGTGTGTGTGTGTGTGTGTGTGTGTGTGTCTATGTCCAAGTTCTCCCTTTACATAAAGGGGCCAGTCTGAACTCATGGTATACCTAATTAAATCTGCAACAACCTGATTTCCAGATGAAGTCAGATTCTGAGGTCCTGGGGGTTAGAACTTCAACATACAAATTTCGGGATGAGGGGAAACACAATTCAACCCATATTCTTTTCTTGGCTTGGACAAATTATTTTACCTCCCTATACCTTAATTTCTAATATGTACGACCTAGAGTTGTTGCAAGATAAGAGGGCAAGTACAGCGTTCAGCATAGTGAACATTCAGTAAATTTTAGCTATTAGGATGAACGTGCTTTGGTTTCATTTTCAGTACTTCTTTCAAAGAGTCCCACTTGGTATTGTTTGATTGCAGTTGTGGATGTTGCCCATTTCCCTGGGGAATCTTCTGTAGTGACTTTCTATGGTGACAAACTTGTAGTAGCAGGAAAATACACGTACTATTATGCTGTCTCCTAGTTCAGACTCACCAAATGATATTTGCATTCTATTCTCAGTAGAGCTTTGAATAGATAGCTGAGTGACAATAGTAAATCAAAAACTATTTGGTCTTTGGCTAAAGTCCATACATAGAGTAAGTAGATAGGGTTCCAGACCGTGCTTTCACTCAGGCTTTTGAGTTTTCTGGAACTTCCGAGTTGTGTGCTTCGCTTTGTTTCGTTGTGATTTCTTTTCTTTTTTCCTTTTTTGAAATCCATTCCATGTTCTCACATACAGGAAGTCTGTAATCCAGGCCTGTGCTCTGAATCTATGTGATTCTTTTTGCTGCCTTTGCTGAACAGTAAATACATACCCTGTCGATCTGTGAGTGACATCCTCACTCATTGTGAATTTTTCCCCACCTCTTTTTCAGAGGATAAATATATTTGAACACACATCCAGAGTCCTGATACCTAATGTAAAGCAAAGCATTCCAGTGTTTGTTATAAGCCTAATCCACAATGTCTTCCTTGCTGCCTGGGAGGAAGACAGCATAAATTGGCGTGGCTATTTGACAAATAGGTTTCCAATCCCGAAACACTCATCTGTAGGCTTTTAGAAATCAGTCGGGCATGGGGTTCTGTCTGCCTGTGTGTGCATTTGTCATCTGTGCTAGAGGAGCAAAGATGAGTCCGGCAGACATAATTTCTTTGACATTTGGAAAGAAGTGAATGGACCCTTTATAAAATAATCTAATGTCAAACTTTCTCAATCTGCATTTTGGCTGCAAATGTGGCATACGGCTAGTAGTTCTTTCTTAAGAGCAAGGTTATAAACAAAATTTTAAAACTGAGATGACATTAGTATGTGCTGGGGCCAGTTCTCTAAAGACATGAAGAGCCTCTGCCAAATTCCCATTTTATTTAGGTTTTCTACACATGGTAAGATTCAGAGATTTCAAGTTAGTTGTGTGCCTTTGTCTTATGGGAAAAAAAATTATTTCTTTCCTTTTTGACTCTTTTTCTTTCTGAATAAATCACACATGATTTAAAATAAATGTAAAGGAAAATAAGTCAAATGGAAAGAAAAGGCAGTGAAAGTAGAGAGGCCTCTGAGAATACATTTAGTTACATTCACCAAAGACACAGGTTAAAAAGAAATCACAAGAAAAAAAGATTTGATTTTCAACTTTTTCAAAGATGTTAAAATCTCTTTAATAAGAATGGGATGGAGTGAGACTAACAAATTGTAATACTTTTTTTTTTTTTTGAGACAGAGTCTTGCTTTGTTGCCCGAGCTGGAGTGCAGTGGCCCAGTCACGGCTCACTGCAACCTCTGGCTCCTGGGCTCAAGTGATTCTCCCACCTCATCCTGTCAAGTAGCTGGGACTATAGACATGCACCACCATGCCTGGCTAATATTTTGTATTTTTTGTAGCAATGGGGTTTTGCCATGTTGCCCAGGCTGGTCTCAAACTCCTGAGCTCAGGCGATCCTCCAGCCTCGGCCTCCCAAAGTGCTGGGATTATAGGCATTGTAATACAATTTTAAAAAATCAAACTCTTCATTCAACATTTTTGCAAGCCATTGTTTGCTAATGCATTAAAAAGTAGATTTAAGGGACTTTCATCAGTTCCGAAGTGCCTGCTTCTCTAAATTTATGTACTCTCTGGTAAGTGTGGAAAATACAATGAAAACATTAAAAACCTACAGAAAGTCATTGCTTTGGAAACATTTCAGCCATTTTAATATCTGCTTCAAAAGAAGAGACAGGAAAGGGTAGTGTTCTAGAGGTAGCTGAGTTATCCAACCTCAATGATTGTGTTCAATGAGTAGAATTAGTAGTCTATTCATAATATGTGTAGAATAACTGATTTTGATTTTTTCCTATGAACTTACAGTCTTTCCCTTCTTATTTTTGAAGGTCAATATTAAATTGAGTGGCAGACATTACAGAGAATACTGAATTCATGTGTGTGATAACACAACGTATATCTAAAACTAAGACGTGTAGCTGTTTACTTCCATAATACAAAATACTTTCCACCTTGCACATTTAGGACATGCTGATGTCAACCAGCCACTGATGGATACCTCCAAATGTGAGGACTGCAGCAACATATCATACAATTTCACCAGATGTTGACTCCATATTCACTGTTGCCATTATAGATAATGAGCTTTTCCCCCATTCGAAAACTTTTATTTAAAAAACACACAATATCCTCCGTAACCTTCAGCCACACTGTGCTTACTGAACTAAAGCCTTCTATTTCCTTCTGAATAGAAACGCCTCCTGCCCAGACCTTGTACAGCTAGGGATTTGAGTGCAATAGACAATTTCAAAGACTGCTCTTTCTACTTAACAATTGGTGCATTAGGCTAAAATGTTCACACAAATGCAGCAGCAACAGAAGGGGTTTGCAATGTAGTGACAAGGTCCTTCTTTCACCTGGATCTGGAGAATGATGAATGAGCATTAGCAGAATATTCTTTTGGCCCTTAGGTTTACCTTGATCTTCTCACAGAATGCAAATTGACATTATATCCACATTTCTATGGTATTTATTACCATGGTCATGATGTGAGGGCTTTTTCAATATGAATAGTGTAAAAGGGGAAACATATTACTGCAAAGAGACATTATTGTGCAGGGAATGTATAAACAGAAGAGAAGAAAGGAGCGACATGCTCATAATAGAAACTGAAAGCTCCTCATTTTGTCCTGATTGTCTACCCTTCCTTTTTAAACAACCTTCCTTTTTTCTAGCTATCAATACAAAGTTCTTTTTGGTAAAATGAAGTGCATTCATGCTGCCTGAAAGAAGCTTTTAAAGTTGATCTGTGCCCACACAAAAGAGGCAGCACTGGGTCCAACCAGTGGAGGAAGCAAAGTTGGTCAATGTTCATTACTCATGGCTCGACATGCCGGCCCCCATATCATTTTGTAAAGAATCAGATAAACTTTCCTCATGATAAACAACTGAAATAATTTTTCTTAGCTGTCAGCTCCCTTTCTCCTTTTCCCAGCCTGTTCTCATACTCTTCCCCACTCGTAAAAGCAACCGAGCGCAGCTCTTTGGTCTGATAAATGGGCTCCTTTCAACGGGTGGCAGGCTTCAGGAAAAAGAGATAATCCTGGATAATGTGGACACAGTTTTCATTTCATGTCACCCAATTAAACCGCAATTATCCAGAGTGCAACAGCAGAAAAACTGGAAAGAATGGCCGGAGAATGAGGCACTGAGGCACCCTGGGATTCTTTCTACCACGCACATTAGCCTAGATTTGTTCTGTTCTGATAATAAAGTGCCGGCCTAAGCACTCAGCCACACAAAACCGTGGCCAGACCAGCTGCAACCTGTAGCTGCACAAGAAATGCTCCCACAAATTCGATGAGAAACAGCAGTTCAAGTCACAGTCACTTTTTTGTTGGGTAATTTGCATTTAAAGTCAAGGTCTGCGTGGCGATTAACCATCCCCTAAGCCTCTTCAGCACCCTGGTTAGCCTTGCCTTTCCACAGACGGAACCAGGTGGAAATTTCTTATCAGAAAAGAGCAAAATACTTTCTCTGCCATGACAGTTTCAGCACCACATGCAATACCAGCCCAAGAACCAATCATCGGACAGTAAGAGAGAGTGATGATAACTCTGTTATTACAAACACATTTAATAAATCATGCAAAGACATATTAGTCTGAAGCCTGACTAGATATAAACATTTCAGTGAACAGCTGGCTCATCAATTGAGAGGCTTTTCCTTCATTTAAATGTGATGATCTTCAGCCCTGTTAAGAACTACAATTATGCAATGGGGAGTATCTAAAAGGAGCCGTCGTCTTACATTTCTGAATTATGCCGTTTTCAGATTCCCCAGTAGCATAAAACACTGGACTTTTAGTAGAGGAAATGAAAGATAATGCAAACCTTAAGTGTGTAGCTCTAATGGAAATAATTATAGTCATATCTGTAAACACAGCCAAGAGAAAATTAATAATAGTAGAATTCACTGGAGAAAAAAAATAGAATGGAATAAAAATGACCTTTGAGGATGACATTGTCAGAATACAGGAAGATAAATAAGGCAGGTCCCAAATTTACAAACTCCAAAATAACATTTTCATCACTGATAACATAAATCTTTGGATTGATGAATACCCTCCTAAAATAAACTGTACAACTTTACCAGCTGGTATATTTAGTGATGAAGCAACTACGTTAATCTCATAAAATTATTCTCTAGTGTGCTGTTTGGCCCTATATCTCGTCTTCTTTCCTCTTTTTGAGATGGATACCATCTTAATCTTTTTGAGAAGAGCCATTTACGGCTCCTAAAGGTAGCAAATGAGACAGAAGAGTCACTCAAAGTTGGCTTTAACCAGAATAATTTACCCGAGTGTTGCTGTCAACAGGCCTGGAGCTCTGCGACCTCTACCAGGCTCTAGCAGAACAGAGGTAAAAACAAACAAACAAAAAAAAAACACCATCCTAAAATACCCTGCCTGTCTGCCTTTTTCCTCAGGTGATATCAGAAGCCCAAGGTGCTATCTTACCCCAGGCCTTTAAACCAGTGTGGAAGAGCACACCATTGCAGTCACACAGAAAACATCTTTTAAAAATTGGAGAGATGTTGAGATGAATTTGAAAACTGGTTCATTCTTCAGTAATCAAAAATGCAACAATAGTGACTGTAATGATGTAACAACACAAGACAACATATACGTGCCTTTCATCTAAGCTCAAAGCACTAGACAAATAATAGTCTGGGCTAGGATCCCATCCTATGCAGCTTTATGGGAGAATCCACACAATTACAATAACATAATGATACTATGATAGTGATAATAATACCTTATGTTTACATAATGCCTATCTCGGGGAAACCTGAGTAGTTTAGAGATGCTAATCTAATTAAACTCCAGAGCCCAGTCAGACAGGTAGGAGGCAGGTATTTTTCATGCAGAAGCTGTTTAGGAAGTGATGGGAATACTAATATCTTCCACCTCCCTTCCCCCTAGGTATTTGTGAACATAAAGAAAAAAGGTAGCTCAGATTGAAATCTTCTAACTACATGGAAGAACAATGATAATAGTAGAATATAATAATACTGCTTAGATCACTTGTCATCTGATATACTTGTTTTTCAAATTATAGGTTGAATTCATATCCTGTCTTCTTCCATGGGAGATTTTCACACAGCTCCAACATGTGGAAGGAAAGGGAGAAGTAAAGCCATGCTCTTCTGCTGACAAACCTCAGGTAGTTTCTTCAACCATTCCTAGTAGGGCATAATTTCAACTTCCCTGGGGATAGCTCCCTAAACATTTCACAGGGATGGCTCATACAACCTCAGGTCATTTGAAATGGACTTTTTAATATCTACTTTTGGCTTTTGGAGACATTAAGTTCAGAATATTAAAAATAATACTAATAATGAGGCTGTACTTTTGCCTCAACTTGAGAGGAGCTCAGATTAAATAAAATAGCTAAGTATAAAGCAACATCTTAAAATATTACACATGATATAGACAAATTCAATGGAAGGAGAGTTTATATAGGATGACTCCCCTTTCATTAATTACTAGATAGTTTGAAAAAAAAAAAGACTTCATTTTAAACCAATCTCAATATTCGATGAGAGCTATAGCATTTATCAAAGTCTGTAATCATGTTGTTTACTTATTTACCTGTTTATTTTCCCTACCCTTGAAGATGAGCTCTGTGAGGGCCAGAACCACATCTCTCTTATTTCATTATTGTATTCCCACAATATCATGTCTTTAGTACATCATAGATGTTAAATAAATATTTCTTGAATGAATGAATGAATGAAGAAAGAGCCTCCAGCACCGTAAAATGATTAGGTACCTGGACTGTGCAGTCAGCAGATCTGGGTTTGAATTAGGATTCCACTGCCTACTAGGTTTTCAAATCTGGACAAATCTCCTAAGCAATTTTAGCCTCAATTTTCACATCTGAAAATGGGAATTATATATTTGAGGGTTACTATAAAGATTAACTAAAATGATGTAGGTAAAGTCATTAACCTAAATACTTAATAAATATTAGGGTTTTTTTTTCTTTCAAAACAGAATGTTAGGTTGACCCAATGTTTAAGGCCAATAATGTACTTCTGAAATCTGTAGCTTTCCCGTTTCTCCTCCCTGCACAGTTTACCACTAGGCATCATCATCTAATACAGATATATGGCTTTCTTCCCTGGCACTGTGGCCCATAGCACTGGTTTAAAGAAGGTGGCACTGCCTCAGTGCACCCCCTTCCCCCCACTTATTCCTAGGTCCTGGACTGTTTCTGCCTTGACCTCTGTAACTCGTACCCAGAAGCTGCCACCTGTAACTCCCTGCAACCATCAGGACTCTGGGGGTTTGGGGGGTGGGGGGTGAGGGGTGGGGTGCTGGGCTGATATTCTCTGATATCGTGGTTCTACCCACATTCAGGCCAGGCTAGAAAGCAAAGGAAGGAGCTTCCAATCACCCCTACAACTTGCTTCACATGCCCCCCAAACTCACCCTCCTGTTCCAGGTTGGCTGTTAAGGGAATAAGGTCATTTTAGGATAGAGACAAAGAGGGAGAGGTGGCAGTGCCTTAAAAACTCCTGTGTGCCCCGACTGTAAAAGGGAAAGATTTGTCCAGCACTCTCCCTCTTATTCTTCTCCCTTCCCCACCAAACAAATGCTTCTGGGCAAACACATTAGCCTGAGGCATTGAAGGCAATCCTCAGAGAGCCAGAGAGAATGCAGATGAGGCAGGATCTCCGCTTTGTCCCACAGGACTCTTGTTTTGTCAGTATGGGGACACCCTGGGCAGTTTTCCAAGCCTCGTGCATCTGTTTAACAAATCTGCTCCCAGCTGAGGGCTGTAAGCCGGTTGGAAGGGGCCTTGCTGAGTTTGCAAAAGAATGTGAGCTGGTGCCAACAAGCCTTCTGGGGGTCAGGGAGGAGGAACTTGGTCTCTTCTCCTCCTCTACACAGGCCTGAATCAGGAGGACGAAATAGGTTGAGTGACTAAGAACAGTCATGATGCCGGAACCCTTACTCTGCTGCTTACAGCTGCTTGATCCTTGACATGGTATTTAACCTCTCTAGACCTCAGTTTCCTCACCTGTAAAGGGGAGATAAGCTTGCTATAAGAATTAAATGGGTAATATGTGTAAAATGCACAGCACAGGCACATACAAGTGTAGGATCAATGTTGTCCCTGACTGTTATTTGTGGGCTGTATTTATAATAGCAAAAAAATGTACAAATGTCCACTGATGATGGACTGATTAAGTAAGCTATAGTAAATCCACACCGAAATGATTGAGTATCTTGCTAAAAATACAAAAATTAGCTGGGCATGGTAGTTCATGCCTGTAATCCCAGCTACTCCGGACGCTGATTGCTTGAACCCGGGAGGTGGAGTTTGCAGTGAGCCAGATCGCGCCACTGCACTCCAGCCTGGGCAACAAGAGCAAAACTCCGTCTCAAAAAAAAAAAAAAAAGAGCAATAAAGAACATTTCTATATACTGCTTTGGAGGGATCTCTAGAAATTATTATTGAGGAAAAAAAAGTAAGGTGGAGAAAAGTATGCTATTTATCGAAGAAGAAAGGGCTTGCATTTTATATGCATATTTATGTTTTTTTAAAGCAATAGAAAGAGAGACAAAAATGGACAGAGTTGGGGGATAAAAAGGAAGGAGGATTCCTGCTACTTGAGAGGCTGAGGTGGGAAGATGGCTTGAGCCCAGGAGTTCAAGGCTGCAGTGAGACTGTGCCACTGCACTCCAGACTGGGCAACAGAGTGAGACTCCGTCTCTGAAAGTAAAAAACAAGAAAGGTGGAGGAAGTAGGGCTGTACATTCATGGTTTGGATTATCACTGACAGATTTTTCAATTCTTCCCTTCGAATTAGTTGCTGCCATCATCACCATCAGAAGAAGAAACTTCAAACTTACAACCTTAGCAATTTTAGTACTTTGTACGTTGGAGTGGGCACCCGAAGTTTGACGTTGCTTACTGTAGCCTGCAGAGGGACTGGCAGTCATTAATAATTGTAAACTGTTAGGCTTCCTTTTTGGAGTGTAGGTGATGGAGACAATTTTCCTTCCAGACTTTGTATTAATTCTATCTGGTTCCTAATTTTCTCTTCTCTACATACTGGGCACATGTGAAATATTTCTTGTGGACTGGCAAGGGATACCTTTAGCAGCCTCTAGTCTAGAGCAGGGGTTGGCAAACTGTGGACTTGGGGCCAAATCTGGCCACCATCTATTTTTGTACAGACTCCAAGCTAGGAATTTTTTTTTCTTTTTGAAACAGAATCTCACTCCGTCGCCCAGGCTGGAGTGCAGTGGCACAATCTCGGCTCACTGAAAGCTCTGGCTAATTATTTTTGTATTTTTTTAGTAGAGACGGGGTTTCACTGTGTTAGCCAGGATTGTCTCGATCTCCTGACCTCGTGATCCACCCGCCTCAGCCTCCCAAAGTGCTAGGATTACAGGCGTTAGCCACCGTGCCCGGCCAAGAATTTTTAAATTATTGGAAAAAAATAATATTTCATGAGATGAAAATTACATAAATTTTAAATTTCAGAGCCCATAAATAGAGTCTATTGGAACATAGCCACACTCATTTATATCTGTATTGTCTATGGCTGCTTTCACACTACAACAAGGTGAGCAGTCACATATAACCTGCAAAGCCAAAAATACTTACTTTTTGGTTCTGTACAGAAAATTTTTTCCCCCAGCCTAGCACATCAGAGAAGGTCTGGGTTTCAGATATGTCTACTGTTTTCTGGAGCCATCTCTAAGCCCTATGTGTAGAGAATGCCTTGTGTGGGCTGGCTTTGGATATCTATTGTGTTTTTCTAATTCTTTTTTGCCTTTATTGATGAAGAAAAACTGGATTAAGCCTGGAGTCCTATAAAAATATTTCTAATCAATGATGGAGAGACATAATCAATAACTCTAGTCACTGGTAGGCAATCTCATCTACCAGTGTTTCTATTTCTACAAAAATATCTGTTCCTTTCTTGATCTCTCAAGGCAGAATAATGATTACCACCTTCCATCTTGCTGGTCTGGCCTAAAACTAGCACGGGTCCCCATGTCATCTCGTGTTAATACAGTCCACACTGGGCTACTGTAGATGAATGGGTCTCAAACTTTATTGTCTATAAGAACCACCCAGAGGATTTGTGAAAACAGATTCTGATCCAGTAGGCCTGGGGTGGGGCCTGTGAATTTGCATTTGTTACAATTTCCCTGACTGTGCTTATGGTGCTGGTCTGGGGACCACACCGAATAGCGGTGCTCTTGATCCCTGGGTCCATCTGATCTGAGCTGGGCTACCCACTGGCTCCCATGACAGAGAGGAGAGTTTCATGGGGTAGATCTATCCTTTTACCCACCCTTCTTAATCTGGAAAAGTCTTTCTCCACTCATACAATTATTTGTTGAGCACTTACTATGTGCACAATTCTAAAGAACTTAATGTCTTAGTTGAAAGGCCTCAGCATATACTTTCAAAGAAAAACAAACCACTCTCTGCTGAGAAAGACTCAATTTAAAAGTTGCCACCTAGTTTTAAATCTAGAGGTGGCTTTAAAAGCATGTGGGAGATACTATTTATTCTAGGAAGAATCACTTAATGACCCTTCTTAGTTATGTAAATACAAGCCAAGTAGACACTTATTGCCCTGGAAAGAAAGAAATTATAGGACTTTTTTTTTTATGTTGACAAAGCGTACCTCTTTCAATGTTCCTTTTCATAAAGGTGGCAAAAAAGGGCTGGACACATTTGCCGGGACCTTGATGGCTTCATGGGGGAGGCTTGTTCTAACAAAGCAGAGGACTGAGTCTGGCGGCCGTACCCCCAGCCCATGGTGCATATTTTGGCAGCAGCAGCTGAAAAAGTGGGTGTGAGTTAAGGAGTTTTAGCTTCAAAGCTAGATTAAAACTAGCTTTTGCCTTTTGCTGAGGCCTATGTGGCGAAGTGTAAGTACAGGTGAGCATCCCTGGTGGGAAAAGGTTTCCTGAGGAGCTGTTGCTGCAAGGAGTGAGTCATCACAACATGTGTGAGGAGCACCTGTTTTCAACTGGGATCCCCTGTGACCTTGACAGACCTATGACACCAGAAAACAAGGGGCCTATTTTGTTCAAGTCATGCCAGATGAGGTGATATGTTAATCATATTACCATATGAGCATAAAATGGGTAGAAGATACATTAGATGGACGGATAGATAGATAGATAGATAGATGATAGATAGATAGATAGATAGATAAACGAGTGGATGGATAGGTGGAACAGGAGTTTGGGAAAATGGAGAAACTAGAAGTTTCTGCATATCATTTTGAAGGGTTTCATTGATTACATGAAAAATGTCATTTTTGGACAATATGTTTGATTTAGGGGAAATATCAACACTCACAGAGAATTATCTAAGTAAATATGTTGGGTAACCAGTGTAACAAATCCTCTCTTGTTGGGAGGGAGTGAAAAACCAGTCCTTAAAGTGACACACATGATTTTTATGTACTTCTATGAATTCAAAAGAAGAGATTTACCTGAACAGTTTTAATCAATGTGGGATATCTTTGAAATAAAAATATGATTTACTTTTAAGGCTACTTATTCAAAGTTTGTTATATCTTTTTCTTTGAAATGTGGTAAAATAAAAGGAAAGGGTTATTTATCCTGCCTTTGTATGTGTACTCTATGTGCCTCATGATAACCAAATAACTGATATGAGAGTTTCTTTTTGTAGAAGAATTTCAACTAATATATGAAGACAAAGTATAGAATTAGAATATGAAAATTTCTGAACACCTAATGAATTTGGTGGATCTAGGTAATAGTCATCAATAGTTGATAATATCATAAAAAGAGAGAGACAAGGCGTTATGGGCCTCCCAGAGAAAGTACACACCACTGCCTATGAAGTAGTCTTGCAAGCAATTATCCTGCTTCAGCCTCCCGAGTAGTTGGGATTACAGGCATGCACCTCCACACCTGGCTAGTTTTTGTATTTTTAGTAGAGACAGGGTTTCACCATGTTGGCTAAGCTGGTCTCGGACTCCTGACCTCAAGCGATCTGCCTGCCTCAATCTCACAAAGTGCTGGGATTACAGGTATGAGCCACCGCGGCCGGCTATGAAGTCATATATTGTTAAAATCCTGATATTTTAGAGAAATATACCCAAATATTCACGAAATAATAAAATGTCTGGGATTTGCTCCAAAATATTTGGGGCAGAGAGGCAGTAGGAAAGGTATAGTTGAAACAAAATTGATAATTTTTTGGAAGCTCTGTGAAGGATTACATTATTATATCTACTTTTTTAATAAGTTCAAAATGTTCCATACAACATTTTTCTTAAAGCAGAATAAAATTGTGAAAATAGAAGACACATATAATATCTGGCTTCCAGAAAAAGTAGTTTTAGAGAGAAAAGGATATTTTCTATTAGTTGTAGTCATAAGTGATTATATGAGAAGGAAAGAAAGAAAGGCTGAGAAATGAAGGTGTAAACATCCAATTTAAGTTAGAAAAACAGCAACAGAATTCCTCCCACTCCCAAGTAGAAGAAAGTATACAGTTAAGTAAGAGCAAAAATCAATGAAAATAAGAATCAAAAAAGCAAAAACTTGGTTCTTTGGAAAGACTAATAAAATTGACAAACCTCTGGTAAAATTGTTCAATAAAAAAGAGAAGGAAGGTACAAATAAACAACATTAGGATGGAATGGAGGACATAACTATAGATAGAAGAAAAGATTTCAATAAAAATAAAAGAATAATTTGATATTAACGTATTTGAAAACTTGGATGTAACAGTATACATCTTCAAAAAGGTAACAGACAAGCTGACACAAGGAGAATAAAAAGTGTCAAATGTCCTGTAATTATTAACATGCATGAATTATTAATGTAGGGTTTTTTTGCACACAGAAAACATCAAGTTCAGATAATTTTTTGAGGTGAGTTGCACCATACTTTTAAAAGTAACAGGTTACTTCAATTTCATAATAATTCTTCCAAGGAAAAGAGAAGAGACTATTTCCTGATTTACCTGATTAAGCTAGTAGACTTCTGATAAGAAACTAAGTGGGGTCAGTATGTGAAAGGAAATCCATTCACCCATCTCACTCATAAACCCAGATGCAAAAATTCTACACAAAACAAATACATCATGAACAAACTGAATTTACCCCAACAATGTGCAACTGATTTAATATAGAAATTTTATTATTGAAATTATTCTCATTACAGCATATAAAATAGCCAATGCCTAATCATGCCTAGATGAGAAAAAAAATAACTCTGTAAAACATGATTATAAGAATATTTCCTTTATTTTACAAAGACGCCCTTATAAGGAGTCTCTACCAAAACCTACTGTGTATATTTTTCATGGTGGCAAAATATTTAAAATATCTTTAAAATTAGAAACAAGACAAGGAAGCTAATTATTACTATTTCAACTCAATGTTCAACTTTGATCTAACCAGAGCTGTAAGACAAGATGAAGATGGGCAAGAACTTCATGTCTAAAACACCAAAAGCAATGGCAACAAAAGCCAAAATTGACAAATGGGATCTCATTAAACTAAAGAGCTTCTGCACAGCAAAAGAAACTACCATCAGAGTTAACAGGCAACCTACAGAATGGGAGAAAATTTTTGCAATCTACTCATCTGACAAAGGGCTAATATCCAGAATCTACAAAGAACTTAAACAAATTTACAAGAAAAAAACAACCCCATCAACAAGTGGGCGAAGGATATGAACAGACACTTCTCAAAAGAAGACATTTATGCAGCCAAAAGACACATGAAAAATTGCTCATCATCACTGGCCATCGGAGAAATGCAAATCAAAACCACAGTGAGATACCATCTCACACCAGTTAGAATGGCGATCATTACAAAGTCAGGAAACAACAGGTGCTGCAGAGGATGTGGAGAAGTAGGAACACTTTTACACTGTTGGTGGGAGTGTAAACTAGTTCAACCATTGTGGAAGACAGTGTGGCGACTCCTCAAGGATGTAGAACTAGAAATACCATTTGACCCAGTCATCCCATTACTGGGTATATACCCAAAGGATTATATATCATGCTGCTATAAAGTCACATGCACATGTATGTTTATTGCGGCACTATTCACAATAGCAAAAACTTGGAACCAACCCAAATGTCCATCAATTATATACTGGATTAAGAAAATGTGGCACATATACACCATGGAATACTATGCAGCCATAAAAAAGGATGAGTTCATGTCCTTTGCAGGGACATGGATGAAGCTGGAAACCATCATTCTCAGCAAACTATCGCAAGAACAAAAAACCAAACACCGCATGTTCTCATTCATAGGTGGGAATTGAACAATGAGAACACTTGGACACAGGAAGGGGAACATCACACACTGGGGCCTGTTGTGGGGTGGGGGAAGTGGGGAGGGAAAGCATTAGGAGATATACCTAATGTAAATGACGAGTTAATGGGTGCAGCACACCAACATGGCACATGTATACATATGTAACAAACCTGAACGTTGTGCACATGTACCCTAAAACTTAAAGTATAATAAAAAAAGGAAAATAAAAGATTGAAATGGCAGAAATAAAACCGTCATTTGCAGATGGTATAAATTCTATGTATAGAAAACTCAACAGAATCTACAAATTGTTAGAACTAATAAGAACATTTACATAGGAGGCTAGATATAAGATCAAATATTTTAAATGCCTTTTTATAACTTAGTAACACTAATTAGAAAGCCTAGTATTTATAAGTGCTGCACCATTTTCAATAATAAGAAATGGAGCAAGTAGTTAAAAATATACCAGACCTAAGTAAACTGGAAAATATATGATATTTATGGATAGAAAGAGTTCAAGATTGTGAAGATATCAATTCTTTCTAAGTTGATTTATAAATTCAAAGCAATCTCAATCAAAGCTCCAACAAAATTATTTGAGGAACCTAACAAGCTCATCCTAAAATCTGTACAGAGTAGTCAGGAGACTCCTGGGAAAGAATGTGGGGAGAGTTCCCTACCAGATATCAGGACTTACAATAAAATTATAGTAATTAAGACTATACAAAAATGATGAATGCCACTGAATAAAGAGCTCAGACACAGCCTCAAATCTGCATGGGAACTAGATGTGATATCACAGGTCAGTGGGAGAATGAAGAAGATATTCAATAAATGGTGTTGGTCAATTAGTTTGCCACTAGGAAATTGAATTTCTATTTCTATTTCTATTTTAGGCCATGAACACACAAAAAAATTCAACTGGATTAATGAGTTAAATATAAAAGTCAAAACTTTGATGTTTGTGGGATAAAATATATACTACCTTTATAACCTTAGGGAACCAGAAATATTTGTTTTGAAATACAGAAAAGCACTAATTACAAAGATTAGAAAAAGATTTCTAAATTGGACCTCATTAAGATTAAATTCTGTTTATTTAAATTATAAAGAAAGTGAAAAGACAAGCCACTGAGGGGTAAGGGAGGGAAGCTATTTGCAGCATATTTATTTAAAAACAAAAGAAGGGATAGAGAATAATTAGTATCTGGATTATACAAGAATTTTTTAAAAAACCAATAATAAACCAAATAGTTAAATAGAAAAATAGGCAAAAGATAACAGCAATTACTTTACTTTAAAAACCCAGAAATGTTGAATAAATACAGCAAACTGCTCATCTTTATTTGCAATTTGGAAAATGCATGTCAGTAACACAATGAGAGATTATTTTACAACTGAAAAGTTAGCAAAAATAAAAATTTGGCAAAACCTAGTGTTGGTGAGGAAGTGGAACAATGTGAATGAGTTGAACAACTCAAAAACATTTTGAAAAGTGACATTATTTTATAAAGCTGAGTAAGCATGTACTTTATGACCCAGTTCTAATTCCAGGTATATGCCGTAGAAAAAAATGTATATATACCCTAGAGAAAATATATGATACAGACAAAATATACAAGAATATTCAAAGCAGCCTTATTCATAAGGTCAGATAGGTAGATAGGTGGATAGATGACAGATGATAGATAGATAGATAGATAGATAGATAGATAGATAGATACATAGATAGATACATAGATAGATGATGGATGGGTGGGCAGATGGAGACAAAGAAAACCACATTTTCCTTAATAGGAAAGCAAATAAATTTTTAAAATGATACATTCTTATGGTGAGAATATACTATACAGCAGTGAAATTGAATAAGCTAAAAGTACACATGTCAACATGCATAAATTTTAGAAATATAATGTTGAATGGCAAAAGCAAGCAGCAGAAGATAGCATGGAATGTGATATCATTTATAAATCTCAAAAACAGCAAAAACTAAAAAAAAGTACTCTGTATGTATTCCGTATGGACTTATATCAACATAGAAAAACAAGCGAATAATGGACACAAAACTCAGAATTATGATTGCCTCTGGGTGGGGGAGAGAGATGTTATGAGAATTCCATTTCTTGGTTTGGGTGGTGGGTTTCATAGGTGTTTGTTTTGTTTTATTGATGTGCTTCACAGCGTGGATTTGCATTATATATATTCTTTTATGTGTATTATACATATTTTAATTATATATTTTTATTTTTTGTATTTCAAATAGTTTTTAAAAGCTGAAGGAGAAAGGATTACTTCAAAGAAAGTGTGAGAGGTGATGGATGGAAAAAAGACTCTGTTTATTTTATGCAATTTGGATTTTTTATCATTTTAATATATTAATTGGTTATTCATATTATAAGAACAGGGAGAAGGAAAAGTAGGAGGAGGAAGAAGAGGAAGAGGAGGAGAAGAATGTAGAGACTTTTTAAGAGGCCAAGTGTGATGAAATTAACTGAGCTGTCAACATGGAGAAAGGGTAAGCGTGAGCATAGTTCCTGCAGGAAGCAGAAAGGTGGCATGGAAGGACAGTTCTGTGTTGGCTTCAAGCAGTGAAGGACATTTTGGCCACTGTCCACAGTAGAAGGTAACAGAGGGGCCTTTAAATAGAGAGGGAGGAAAACACATTTTTTACTCTTACCACTCCTTCGCTCTTTCTTCTATGTGTTCCCTCTCTTCCCCTAATTCTTTTATTTATTTATTTATTTATTTATTTATTTATTTATTTAGGCAGAGTCTCACTCTGTTTTCTAGGCTGGAGAGTGGTGGAGCAATCTCGGCTCACCGCAACCTCCGCCTCGCAGGTTCAAGTGATTCTTCTGCCTCAGCCTCTCCAGTAGCTGGGATTACAGGAGCCTACCACCACGCCCGGCTCATTTTTTGTATTTTTAGTAGACACAGGGTTTCATTATGTTGGCCAGGCTTGTCTAACACTCCTGGCCTCAAGCAATCCTCCTGCCTCGGCCTCCCAAAGTACTGGGATTACAGGCGTGGCCACCGCACCTGGCCCCTCCTCCTAATTCTTATTCATCCTTCAAGTCTTTTTTTTTTTTTTTTTTTTTTTTTTTTTTTTTGAGACGGAATCTCTGTCTGTCCCCAGGCTGGAGTGCAGTCGCGCGATCTCGGCTCACTACAAGCTCCGCCTCCCGTGTTCATGCCATTCTCCTGCCTTAGCCTCCTGAGTAGCTGGGACTACAGGCGCCAGACACCACGCCCGGCTAATTTTTTGTATTTTTAGTAGAGACAGGGTTTCACCATGTTAGCCAGGATGGTCTTGATCTCCTGAGCTCGTGACCCGCCCGCCTCGGACTCCCAAAGTGCTGGGATTACAGGCGTGAGCCACCGCTCCCAGCCTCAGGTCTTAAGAAATATTCTCCTCATTCTTTGTTATACATTCCCAAGCCCCATTACAATCCATTTTTTTGGTAACAATTTCCGAAGTTTATTGTACTGTAAACTTCGTGAAGGTAAGGATCATTTTTATTTTATTTACCACTAATTCCTTATGCCTAGCACAGAATCTGACACACTGAAATCAATAAATGGCTAATTAAATCATGAATGAACAAATCTCGAATGCCTACATGAAACGTGATATGCAACTGGCCGTTTATATTTGTATTCATTCTTAACTCCAGTGTTTATAATAGGAGAATGCAAACCAAAGCTAAGTTTTTGCCAACAAGTTTATTATGTAACATCTGACATGATTTTAGATTCTCTAATAAAATCTTCCATGCACCAGGCACCAAAAACTTCCAAAGTGAATTACCAGACTGTCTTAAGTTTGTCAAAAATTTCATGAATGTAGCGGAAAGTTGCACTGTCACCTCTAGAGTGTCAAAAAGATACTTTTTCACAGGTGTTTTTCAAAAGTTTTAAGTTGCAATTTTTTAATGATATGCATGTGCTAGGCATAAAGTGAGATTTCCCTAAAGTATTAATAGTGTGGACCAACAGTTGCTACCTCCCTTGACTCTGATACAAAGTACTTTAAGTTGGAAGAGTATGCTAAAATACATTTTTAAAACATTTTAGAGATGTACTAATTTTTTTTAAAAGTAGATTTATAGTAAAACTTGGAAGCCTGGATTTAGTTTCATATAATTTAATGGCAAATAATTTTAATTAAAACATGCTTTCAAATATAAGGTGTGTTGGGATTAAATAATGGCAATGTAACGGAATCAAGAAAATTAGACTCTTTGCTTGAACACCTAAGCTCTCAACCCAGCTATGTCTCTAACTAGCTATGTAATTACTAATGAGTTATTTACATTCCCTGTGTCTCAGCTTCTTGATACATAAAGTAAAGAGGTTGAATAATTACACATGTAATTATCAACACCTGGTTGCAAAAATGCAAAATAAAGTATGCTACAAAATTCCATTACGTATCTGGGGTCAGCCCAATACCTTTGGAAGTATCTATTCCAACTTTGCTTAAGTTGGAAGTAGCGGCCTTCCATTCCAACTTGTTTTTCCCCCTCAGCAGGACCAAGGTCCATTTTCATTCTTATTCTATGGCCCTCACTTCTGAAGACAGAAACTCAAGAGGTTTGCATTGGTAGACAGAACCCTCGTGGACATTTATCCCCCATGCTGGCATCTGGAGATGGACCATAGCCGGGAAGGCAGGGATATTATCTAGGCTGCTCCATACAGGAGCCTGGACACCAAAAGTTCTTAAAAAGGGCAATTTTCCACAATAGCCACTCTGTCCTGGGAACAGCGACAGGTCTGGCTTTCATTCCCTGAATGCAGCTATGTGGAGTTTAAATTTTGGAGTGTTGATGTTTTCCCCTAAGGAGCTGTTGGAGTACAGAATCCCCATTCTATTGCCACAGACAAAAGGGAGAGCACTGAGGACATTGTTTCAAGTTTCTGTGCCTTTGCTATGAAGAATTTCTGGACTAAAGGGCTCTTCGCTGGCAGTCAATTTGCTTTTGTCCCTTAAAGGAAAGAAATATTCAAGGGGAACTCCCTTAAAGTACTTTCACAATTTTTATTTACATAGAGACATGAGTGTCACTTGTCTTTTTAATGGTTGGTTTGGCCTTTAACATCTGGTGGGGAACTCTGGGGTGAGAGTTAGGAGGAGCTAGAGCAAGATTCGGTTTTGAAAGCTGGTGCACGGTAATTATACACAAGTGCCTCTACTGCCTCACATTCATATTTATTTAGATGGGATGGTCACAGAAAATTCATGTTTAATTTTAGTTATTTCATCAGTTTATTTATTGAAATTGACTGCACATTAGCACGGCCCATGGTGTTGGGGTTTAGTAATTAATAAAGAGCTGCCCTGAAAGAGCTGATACTTTATCCAAGGAAAATGACAAATAAATAGAAATTATAATACAACGTAATAAGTTCACGATGTTTATGTGTGTGAAATATATATATTTTATATTTCTCCTGACAATCATAAAGAAGTTTTGAATAAATGGAAAGACACAGCCTCTTCTTGTACAGACAGATTCAGCATTACACAGATCTCCATCTTCCCTTAAATAATCTATAAACTTATAACAATCCCACTTAAAAGGCCAGTGGGATATTTTTAACTCAGCAAGCTATTTCCAAGTATCATATAGAAAAGCAAATGTTTTAAAAATACTCAAAACTCCTAAAAAAAAGAGTAAGGAGGAGAGACCAGCCCTCCAAGACATTAAAATATATTATCAAGCTACTATAATTAGTGGGATTAGACAAATCAATGGACAAGAACAAAGTCCAGAAAGAGACAAAAACATGTGGAGAAATCGCATATGACAAAGGTGGGATTTCCAAGCAGTGGGGAAAAGATGGTTAACTTTATATCATCCACAGGTTTGGCAGATGTGAGATTTCAGTACACAGCTGGAGTCTGGCCTTCCACCACCTGATTCTTTATACAGTCTTTCTTGCTACATTGGTAGATGCTTCTAGATTAATAAGTTTTTGTGAACTCTAACAATTTGGATGAAAAAAGATCCATGCTGGCAAAGACTTTAGTTTGTGTCATATTAAGTTAGTCTTCGTCTACAGAGTGGATTTCCAAATTAAAAGGGACCACTGCATTTCTTCTTATTCAGTTTGTAGTTTGTAGTTTGTAAATGATCATAAATGTCTAGAGTGTGAAAGGATTGTTTTCAGTTATGTTTTTTATATATAATGCATAAAACAGAAAGCTAAATTTAGGTCTTTTCAATTTGGTTTCAAAAAGTAATGGAGGCTTATGAAAGAAACATGTTATCCATCTGAACATATCCATATATGCACACTCACTTCCAATATATGCCAGAAACTGTGGAAAATGCTGGGATAGGAATTAAAGTCAAGGGCACAGAGGATGATGTAATAAAATGTCAAAGACGGTGTTAGAGAAGGTAGGGGGCTTCCCTCTGGCCAATGGTGGAGTGTGTTAAGTCCATTTTGTGTTGTTATAAAGGAATACCTAAGGCTGGATAATTTATAAAGAAAAAGGTTTATTTGGCCCATGGTTCTACAGACTGTACAAGAAGCATGGCACCAGTATCTGCTTCTGGCGAGGCCTCAGGAAGCTTCCAATTACAGTGGAAAGTGAATCAGGAGCAGGCATGTCATATGGTGAGAGAGGGGACAAGAGAAAGAGGAGGAGGGAGGTGCCAGCTCTTCTTAACAATCAGATCTCACAGTAACTCTTAGAGCGAGAACTCACTCATTACCATGGGGAGGTTCACGAGGGATCCGCCCCCATGACCCAAACACCTCTGACTAGGCCTCACCTCCAACATTGGGGATCACATTTCAACATGAGATTTGGTTTGATATCCGAACTATATCATGGGGCAAGCTGGTGGTGAATGGAGAGAAATATCAGGAAACAACTTCTCTGGTGCATGGTGCGTAACAGTGATGAATCTAGATCTACTGTGTAGACACGCATGGGATAAAGCTCCTGAATTACACACATGGGTAATTTTGCTAAAGCTGAGTCTATCTGCATGACAACAAACCACTGTGTACTGATAACAGTCAATGGCGCATTTATGGAGATTTATAATCATAGCCCTTGGCACTGTTTCTTGAACATGAACACCTTCTAGATCTCAAGGAGAAAGACTAGATAGCATGACAAAAAAAGTAAAAAAAATTTAGAGTTAGCAGGGCCTGGATATGTCTTCTGAGTCTGCCACCTGACTATTTGGCTGCCTTAATTAAGTAGATTACTTCCATTTTCTTATCTACAAATGTGGAATGATAATGCTTATCTGGTTCAGTTGCTGTAAGGATTAAAGGGGATGCTGGATTTATAACAGAACACTATTCTGAAACTGAACTGCTTGTATTTCATCACAGGAAACCTCACTTTTATTTATCATCCCTTTTACCTTTGACACCAGCCCTGAGGGTGAGGCTCACTGGCTTATAGAAGCCAAGGGAAAAACAGTATTTTGACTCCTAGAGTCGATGCTGAAAACCCGTAACAAAAAACAGTAGTTTTGAAAGCCAAAGTTTTTGCTCATAAAAGAAATTGTATTTGTTTTTGTTTGTGTTAGAGTGAGAAAAGTGTTTTTGAGGAGCAAAAAGGCTGAGTCTGAACAACCCAGGGAAATAAATTTGTCCCATAAACACGAAGCTTGGAATGAATGCTAACGGTGGAATAGTCCATTTTCTCTCCCTGAAGGATGTAAGTGTGAGCAGCTGGGGTCATGGAAAGAGAGTTGAGAGGGAGAAGAAAAGGAGTATTGTGGTTGGATGATGGGGAGGCTCTCTGCAATGCAATTCTGTTTCAAGCCCTGAGGAGGGGACATTTTAAAAACCTCAAATAGGTTTGGGGGTTCCAGGAGCAGCAAAGACATGAGCCTTGCTTCCCAGAGAAAGCCCAGGATAATGTGGATGCCATTGGGTACAAGTGGCAGCCACGTTTATCTAAGCAGAGAGACTCTGCTACAGCCCCAAGTTACGGGCCAGCACCCACAGGAGTTCTGTGACCTTGAGTGGGCTGTAGACTGCGCGGGTCTTGCAGCTGTGATGACGGGACCCCATCAACAAGTGCAGAGTGAATTTCATGAGCTAGAAGCCATGTAGCCCCTTGGCGTTCAACAGTATATACACTGGGCCTTATCAAAGAAGACTGAAGAAGTGGACACTAACAAGGGACAGGAGATTAATATTGGTCTATGTCTCTGCCCAGACAACGTGATGCCTATCAGCTTCTGGAACGTAGATGTCATTCAGTGGAGGAAGAAGCGGCAGAACCTTACGTTTAAATCCTGAATAAGGTACATTTACCAGAAAGTATGTAGATAAGCTTGTTCTGCTCCAGTGCAAAATGAGAGTTTGAGATGGAACTTAAGTCCTCATATAGTTACAGTTTTGCATACTTGATTGCAGGTCTTCCCCTAACATCTGTGGGCTGAGAAGGACTGGAGCAGTCAAGGATCCAGGAGCTTTGAGATTGTGTAGATTAGTAGATGCTTACTAAGCAGTAATGAGTGTTGTTGTTGACGTTCTGAACTTTGGATCAATGGTTATCAATATTATAGCAACACGTATCAGAAAACCAGGATGAGACTTAGACAGAATAATGCAAGTGGAGTATTTGACAAATACTTCTCACTGCTTGAGTTCAACACTGTACCCTCTTCCATCACACACTGAAGATGATTGACGGATAAGCAGAATAAGAAGGCCTGTTGGTCAAATATATAAAACAATGGTTTCTTGTTTACTGTATCTGCGAATCACAGAAAACGTATAAACAAAACCACAGTGCTGCAAAATTAAAATTCATCTCAAAATAGAAGGAAATAATTAAATCAGGAATACCTCAAATGATCTTCCTGCATTCAAGAATGTCTCTTGCCAAATGGGTACTTGTCCTGATGCTGGATGCTGGTAGACTTATGCACACACTTTGTTTTTAACTTCCATGATTAACTGATTTTAAAATCTTTGTAGCCGAAGCAATGATATTTGGAGCATGGGATGAGTTGGGGGTCGATACATGTTTCTAAGTCATCATAGACCACATAGACTCCAAACATAGTGGGCAAAGATGGAATCTTTTAAGAAAATAAACTTATTCTATCTAACTAGCATTCACATGATGGACAAAGGATTTTTTAAAAACTTATGTGCACATAAAGCAAAATGTCAGAAGAACAAAGGCTTGCATGTAAAAACCAAACTTCATTTCCAGTCCAAAAATAAATAAATAAATAAAGTTCTATAAGCTTTATTTGAACAAAAACCAAACTCTTTTCATGGCTTAAAAAAAGTCAGCGTTTCATCTGAATCAGACAACATTAACAGGTTTGTGCAAGAAGTAATGACCTTGATATTCATAAAAGAAATTACATAATCCTTGGGTTATTCATGTTCTTTTTTGAAGGTTAAAAAGATTTTTATCAAAATGTTGTTGTCTCGAATTTCTAAAATGCTTCAGATTTGCTGCTCTTCACTCCCACCCACTGTATACTTCGTTGAAGTGCTTCCTTTCCATCACCAATTCTACAGAATCTTCAGGTTGAATATGTTGTAGCAATACGTAGGCATTCTATACTGACTGTTTTTGTAGCTCCAATTGACTCAATACATGAAAAAAGATGAGAGGTGTGGCCAAAGAAAAGGAGTTAGGAGATAAAAGGAAAAAAAAAAAGATCAAACTGGATATGACCATACTCAGTTCTAAACCAGACATTCTTATTTCCCAATACACTTTTGTTTTAGAGGAAATAGCTAAGCCCAGAATACCCATTTTTCCACCAGGGCCATTCGTGCCCAACCGGCATCTTCCTGGACTGTTTATCTCCTAATTTCACTCCTTGCTGAAGTTCTTTCCAATTATCGGTGGATATTTGACTGGATTTCATCATTATGTTCCTTTTATGCAGTAAGTCAAATAACTACTTACTAAGTATTAAGTACTACTTCTATAAGAAAAAAGAGAAAGTTAATAAGTCACTAGCTAGCCCAGTTCTTAGAGAAAAAAGACACAAATAACCAAAATTAGGAGTAAGAATGGTGAATGTGAATTATTTATGAGAAAATACTTTGAATAAACCCATGCTAAAATGTTTTAAAGAATTTTTGTCACATTTGGGCTGGGGAGTTCAAGGTTACGGTGAGCAGTGATTAGCTCTACTCCACTCCAACCTAGGCAACAGAGTAAGATCCTGTCTCAATAATAATAATAATAATAATTTTTCAGTGTATTAATTGCTTGGAAAATAGAAATGGATGAAAATGAGACTCAAACTTTAATAAACAAATCAATAAACATGGAAATAACAGAGGATATTGTCAAAGAATTACCCCCACCCTCCCCACACACCTAAATGTGCTAGGTCTGGTTTGTGTCTGATTTGAATAATTTGAAAATAAAAGGATTGCTTATATCATGATAAATTTATTAATACATGTTTTGCAGAAAAATACGATATACGAAGAAGGTATTTTGGAAATGACACATTACAAATCTTTTCCCCAAGTGGGGAAAATGTGGGACAATCAATTGTCCTGCCTTCCAGGTCTATTCTGGGGTTCCTTTACACTTCTGAATTTCTCTGTAGTAAACATTGAACTGTTCTAGTAAATATCTTTAAAGCACATGCTACATGCTTTAACATAATGGTGCACAGATAATTAGAAAATAAGCTTCTGTTAACTTCTTGCTGCGGAAGTTTCTAGCAGAAAAATTTATTTTTTATTTCTTTTATTTTTATTTTATTTTTATTTTTTGTAGAGACAGGTTCTTGCTATGTTCCCCAGGCTGGTCTCAAACTCCTGGGCTCAAGTGATTCTCTCCGCCCGCCCTCCCAGAGTGCTGGGATTACCGGTGTGAACCACCATGCCTGGCTCAGCAGACAGATTTCGAACACTGTGTTTGATGATAAGAAATGTGCTCTACAGCTGGGGAAGTCTGTACTGTAATATTGTGTGTGTGTGTGTGTGTGTGTGTGTGTGTGTGTGTGTGTGTGTGTGTGCAGGGAATGAAAGTTGTCCCAGTGTATAACCCAAGGGTAAATAATAATTCAGGGAGGAATATGAAATAGGTGCACTCCGTATTAAGAATGACCATAAAAAGCACACTTTGGGATTCTAAGTAGAAACTCTGTATAGCCCATCTAGCATCCAATAGGCTTTATTCTTTAAAAAAAAAAACAAAAACAAAAAAACCCACTGTTCTTCATTTTAATATAGAGTGATTTGAATACTCACTGTGGAAGGCAGAATAATGCCTTCACCCCCAAAGATGTCCATGCCCTAATCTCTGGAACCTGTGGATATTTTACCATACATGGCAAAAGAGACTTGGCAGATGTGATTAAGTTAAAAATGGAGATGGAGAGATTATCCTGGAGAGGTTATCCTGGATTCTCCAGCTTGGCCCCATCTAATCACATGAGTCCTTAAAATTGGAGCACTTTCCTTGGCTGTGGTCAAGGAGAGATGTGACAGTGGAAGAATGGTCAAAGAGATGCAATGTTGCTGTTTGAAGATGGAGGGAGGGGGCAACAAGTCAAAGGCTACAGGCAGCCCCCAGAAGCAGGAAAAGGCAAGGAAACGATTCTCACCTGGCGTCTCCAGAAAGAATGCAGTCCTGCCAACATTTTGGGTTAGCCCAGTGAGACCTGAGTCAGATTTCCAACGACCCGAGACAACTTTCCAACCGACAGAACCATAAGATATTTGTGGCAATTTGTTAAAGCTACAATAGGAATCTAACACACTCACTTTTTAGTTTTTGTATGCTTTACAGTTTCCAAATACTTTATCTCATATCTGTCTAGGTTTTTTAAATAAAATAAATGGAAAGCTTTAAGCAAAAATGAGTTCAAAATAGTAGAAAATTAGAAATGGACAATTTTCAGCATCCAGTGGTTGACTGGTTAATCTTTGTGTATGAAAAAGCTGAAATTTCCAAATGTGTCTGAGATGAAACAAAACAAACAAACAGAATACAAATCCAGAGAACATCAGTCTCTGATAAGTGGCTGCTTCCCAAAACTATCAAAGGCAATTTTTCTCGGAATATTTTTAAAGCTTACAATGAACTCTTTTATAATGTTACATTGCATATTGTCAGGCCTCTTTATAGCCCTGTTTTAAACTAGACCAGTGGCCTATGTCCTATTTTCTTTTCTTTATCCTTATATCCTCAAACAGAGCTTGTTTTCTCCTCTTCTTAGTAATTAACACTACCCAGTCTTCTCTGAAGGTGTTCTTCCCCCCGGTCTGGCTGCCAGATAGCTAGTCTCCCCATATTTCCCACTTCTTGTTCCCCTCTAAACACAAGCACTTGGTCTTATTTCATTTGCAGGGTTTTTCCCTCTAACTGCTACAGTGAGACAAAGAGGGCATGAAAAAATAAGCTATGTGGAAAAGGTCTTCCAGCATGCGGCTCCTAACTGATTAAAATCATGACTGCTGAGAAGTAAAGCTGAGAAGAAATAAAACGAAAGGATGACCGACACACGAGGGATGTGAAATTAAAATTTAATAATTGAGTCAAATCATAAGTAGCTGTGATGCTTGCGCGTGAATAGATGCTCTGTGTGTGTGCATGTATCATAACTCCAGTCCCGGACTTCTCTTTCTCCGTGGCAGAATTGTGTTATTACACAATGGCAACACTGGAAGAAGCCATAGAGGTCATTTTGTTCAACCCCCACATTTTGCCAAGGAAAGACTGAAAGCCAGACAGACAGAGACTTGTCTGCTTTTTGACTTCTTTTTCTTTGCTTTTGAATCTTTTCCCATCAGCCGCATATCAACCAATGATCAAATAAGATTATTCAGGCTGGGGTCATTCTATTCCTTATTCTTATTGACCATTACAATCTCTCCCTTTAATTCCTTTCCTTCCTATCTCATCTTTAACACTGTTAATCCATTTCTTTCATGATTTGCCTCTGCCTGATTTTTCTTTTATAGATAAACTGAGTCATCAGCAAGCATTTTGCTGGAAGTCAGCCTTGTTAAATGTCCAGTCTATTTAAGTGACTTTCTATTCTATCCTATCTGCTGGATCACAGGTTTTTGTTGATCAAACTTTCTTATCATGTCAAGTGTTAATCTTCTTTTAGTGATAGAGAAAGTGCCAAATGAAAGTACTTTGGAAAATGAATACATTGACCTGTCATTTCACAGTCCTCACGCAACCAAAGTCCTACTTGCCCTATAGGTAGGTACATTTCTAACTGAGAATGTGAAGGCCATGTACAAAGACTCCTGAGTCTCAGAAGTCTTGCAATCCTCAAAAAGAATTTTTTGAAAACATGGCAGGCCTGGCTATTTTACTATGGTGAAATATATCACTATGGTGAAATATATCACTATGGTGAAATATTACTATAGTCATTGCACTATAGGCAATCAACCCAAACTTGGTATAAAACATTATGGTAGCTAATATTCATTTAGTGCTTACAGTGTGCTAAGTATTATTTTAAGCACACTACACAGATTATCTAATTTAATCATCTGAGTTATGTGCGGTTATTGTTCCTATATCATGTATAGGAAAATGTGGGCACCAAGCGGTTAGGCCACTTGCCCCAAACCCAGAGGGAATAAACAGTGGAGCCAGGATTTAGAGAGTTAGGTGGAGTCTAGTCTCCTAACCCCTCTGCCAAACCACCTCTGATATGGGGGTTAACATGAGTCAATCCACACCCACACCTTGTATGTGGAAAGAGCGTCTTTGAAGGCCATGCCCTGTGGATAAGTGGAGACACCATAGTTTCAGGCTCCAATAAGCACATACAACAGTCTATATGGCACCTGAAGCAGGTAGGTGCCTTCCTTGTCTTGTAAAAACCCAAAGGAAAATATTCTAATGCCTCAGAACCTTCTGGCTGGCTCCACCATTCAGCAACGCTGTCAGGAAGAGTAGCTCTTACACGGCCCTCACAACTTTAGATCCACTTTATGATAAACTGGCTAATGATTAGAAAGAAGTGCATCTCAGAACTATCGGCCTAACTTAGATGACACAGACTTCTGGATCAGGTCTTGCCTTTCCCTGACTTTTTTGAAGTCTAGAGTCTCATTTTGCAATGGTTCAGAATTGGAACTGGACCACCTGCCTGAGGCTGCTTGGGCTGCCCACACAGCTTGTAAAAACTGTATGTAAACATGAAATGCAGCTGCAAAACAAACTTAGTTTTCCTCACAGGAAGTTATCCCCCTAAGGAATCAGGATTAGTGTGACAGGCTTGTGCAAACTGCTCAAATGAGGGTCATCTTTGGCCAAGTAGTCCACCATGTTGGAGTGTACGCTAATCAAAGTGAGGGTGGAAGTTTTCATCCATTTCTACACTTTTAAGCACCTCTTTAGAAATGCTTTTCAACCCATTTCTCCAGCAACTGCCTGTCTTACTAGCACCCGATCCATATTTCCAACGGGGACTAAAGCAAAACATATTTTCTTCCCTATGTTACTAAAGGGCACCAGCATCCACCAAGTTACAGAAGCCAAAAGCCTTGGAATTAACCAAAGCCCTTTTATACCTAATGTCAAATCCAATCCTAAGTACACATCCTGTAGATCTTACTGAAATGGCTCTTGAATCTGTCTCCTGTCCTCCAGTTTCACTACTCTTATACGAGGTCAAGTGTTGATCATGTCTATGCTGGACCAGTCCAATAACCTCCTTTAAATTTTTTTTTTTTGAGAGAGAGGGACAGAGTCTCACTCTATTGCCCAGGCTGCAGTGCAGTAGCATGATCTTGGGTCACTGCAGCTTTGACATCCTAGGCTCAAGTGGTCCTCCCACCTTAGCCTCCCAAGTAGCTGGGACTACAGGTGCACACCACCATGCCTGGCTAATTTTTTTTTTTCGTAGAAATCGGATTTCACCATGTTGCCCAGGGCTGTTCTTGAACTCCTGGGCTCAAGTGATCTGCCTGCCTTGGCCTCCCAAAGTGCTAAGATTACAGATGTGAGCCACCACACTTGGCCAATAACCTCGTAATTATCCTCTACCTCCATATCTTCTGCATCCAGTTAATTTTCTTCTCTATCCTTGGCCATTTTTCTCAAATCAAAATGTAACCGTGTCATTCCCATGCTTAATTACCTGGTGTGTTTCCCTGTGAACATAATCCAACAATTTTATGTAGCATGTGTCTTTTTTCACAATCTAGTTTTGACCTATATTTTGGCTCATCTCCCATCATTACTCTATGTCAGTTCTTTCCATACTCTCTCCCAGAGAAAATGCATCATTTCCATCATGAGGTTCTCATTTTGCCATTTGCTTATAGCATTAATCATATTGTAGCATATCTTTTTGTGTGTCTGTCTTTCCCATTTCTAAAGCATACACACTTCATGAAGGAAGGAACCCCATACTGTTCAGCACCACATCCACAACTGCCAAGCAGAGAATTTGATATTTTGAAAGTGCTCTTGAGGCTGGACATGGTGGCTCATGCCTATAATCCCAACACGTTGGGAGGCCAAGGCAAGAGGATCACTTGAGCCCAGGAGTTTGAGACCAGCCTGGGCAATATAGCAAGACCCCGTCCCTATTTTTTTAAAAAATAGAAAGTACTCAGTGAATATTTGCTCAATAAGTGAATAAAGGCAGTGTCACCTAATTTTATATTGGACATTATGAAAAATGTTTATATGTATAAGCAATAAATCAATATATGTATTGTGTATGTATATATATAGTATAGTGTATATACACACACACACACACACATACTACACATATATTGGTTAATCAATAATTGAGTATTTAGTAGGCAGTAGTAGGTCAAAAAATTATAAACTTTGGAGTCAGATACCTGGTTTAAAATTCCAGCATTGAGGCATACTAGCTAAGTGATCACGGGTCAGTTAAACTCTTCGGTATATTTTTTCATTTTTAAAATGTGGATCATAATACAACTCATGGCATGCGGGTGACAAATAAAGTCAAAATGAGGCAATTTGCCTAAGTGACAAAGTTGGTTTTTAACAAATGACAGTGTGGCAGAGCAACTCTTGTGTGCTAACTCGAACAATCTGCAGCTTTTGCAGTCCTTTCTAATCCTAAACTTGGGGTTTAACTAAATTGGGCACTCTCTAGCCAGACTCTTAAGAGGAAAAGAAGCTCGTTTATAAGTTAAATTGGAGAACAAGATTAAAATGGCTAAAATTAACTAGATTCCCATTTTCCGACACATGGCTCCAGGGTAAAAAACTGTCAGAGATTCAGGTATTTCCACTGGGGTGATAGTATTTTATGATGGACCTGATAGAAGGGGATCATGTGGAGCAGATCCCCGTATTTTCTCTGCAAGAAGCAGTAAAATGTTTAAGATTTTGGGTTCTGGAGCCAGACTGCTGGGTTCAAGCTGGATAAGCATGGGAAGTTTCTTAAATGCTGCCTCAATTTCATCATCTGTAAACTGGGGCTAAAAGGAACACCTAATTCATAAAGTTGTTGGGAAGACAAAACAAACAGTATATGAAGTAAATGCCTAGTGTATAACAAGTGCTCACTAAATATTATTTATGACTTCAGTGGCTATATCATTTATCATCACATTGGGACAGCTTTGAGAGTAAAAAGGTGTGTTATTAAGAATGATGGCAGCACCTTAGGATTAAACTGGAATTTTCCCGGTCAGACCAAGATGCACGGTCACACTGGCTGCGACGATGTGGTTAATATGATGATGATGGTGTCATGCAGTGCAAGCTGGAGGTACTTCCCTTTTAGCCTTTAGCATGTCCAACTGACACACCAGCTCCAGTTGGAGTTCAGGATTCACACGCATCTTCCTTGTCTCCATTATTCCCCACCAAGCATCATCAACCATTAGCTGCTACATCAAGCCAAAGGGAAACGCAAAACGTGCTTTTTTCCTCCTGAGACCCAAGCAGAAAAGAGGAGGTTTAATTATTACTGTATTAAATCAACGACTTCATTTTATTTGGGGAGTCCAGTTTGATAAATCACAATATTGTGGCTGAGACCTGCTGACCTGCACAAATTTGCCCGTTAACTCACAATTCACATGTATTATCTAAATTTCTGAACTTTATTTTTTGTAGAGATGGGGTCTTGCTATGTTGCTCAGGCTGGCCTTGAATTCCTGGCCTCAGGCAATCCTTCCTCCTTGGCCTTCCAAAGTGCAGAGATTACAGGTGTGAGCTACTGTGCCTGGCCTTACTGAACTTTAATAGCTTTGGGTATGGCCATGGATCCTTCTTTTTTTCCTCTTTTCCTTTATTTTTGTTAAATTATGGCAGAAAACCAAATACAGAGGGAAATTCCCAAACACAGGCTGAAACTTGCTTAACCAATTTTATCCAACTTACAGTGTCAGATAATCACATCAAGAAAGTCAGTAGCTATTAGTTTTACATTATTTAGTAACCACCTACCTATATACCCAATATTTTGCCAGGAAATATTCAAGACATGATCTCACAAGAACTTTTCAATCTGGTCCAAAACACAAAAGGAACATTTGTGAAACAGGAATGATATGAGATTATATATAACAGAGACAGGGCTGTCATGCAAATAAGCTCAGCAAGAAAAGAAAAATCAGTCAGGGCTGAAGCTCTAAGTGGAAGACTTGTCACGAGTATAGGTTTTGAGCTGGGCCTTAAGCGTGTTTCAGTCTTAGTAGATGGAAAAGAGATAGGATAACCTACTAGGTGAGGAGGTGAGTGCAAGATAAGACAGGGCTGGGAGTTAGGACTGAGAAAAAAACCTGACATTGCACAATTAAAGAAACCTTTCTTGGCCGAGGGCTGTGGCTCATGCCTGTAATCCCAGCACTTTGCGAGGCCTAGCCGGGCAGATCACCTGAGGTTGGGAGTTTGAGACCATCCTGACCAACATGGTGAAACCCTGTCTGTACTAAAAATATAGACATTAGCCAGGTGTGGTGGTGCATGCCTGTAGTCCCAGCTACTTGTGACGCTGAGGTGGGAGAGTCGCTTGAACCCAGGAGGCGGAGGTTGCAGTTAGCTGAGATCACACCACCACACTCCAGCCTGGGCGACAGAGCCAAACTCCATCTCAAAAAAAAAAAAAAAAAAAGTAAAGGAAGGAAGGAAGGAAAGAAGGAAGGAAAGAAAGAAAGAAAGAAAAAAAAGAAGTCTGTCTTATAGACAGAGACATCCAGCAACTAAAGGGACCGGGCAATAAGGAAATAGCCTCAATTTTCAGGCTCCATTGTACGTTTATCCAATACCTAGCAAATCCACTATTCTAATTGTACAAGATTTCAGACTTTTAAAAAGGCAACAACATGAGTTGAGATTGTTGTAATCATTACTTTATTAGCCTTTTCTCTGTTCAGGAAGGAACATAGGGAGAAATGCCTCTCAAAAGTAATCATGAATTCTATTGGTAAGGCGACATCAAAGCACAAGTCAAATAAGATCATCCGTTTTGAAACGTGGCTTTCAGGCTTGATGTCCTTAAAACATAACAGTATAAAAATTACAAATATATTGGCTTCCCAATGGGGAAGAAAACTTTTCTTGGAAGAACAGCTTTCAAGCCTGGCAAATAACTCAAATAAGTTTCTGCAATGCCCTCCCCTGGCGGTCATAAACATTTACTACTTGGCATCCCAATTCAACCACATATTATTGCTTAATTAAAAGTGCTTCTTTTAATAGATCAATAGACTTGCTTTCAGGAGCTGCCATAATAACACCTATACTTTTTTATTCAAAGTGGTAAGAGGTAGTCAGGAGAGATGACATACATAGGCTTTAAAAAATTCGAGCTGAAATGTGCATGATATGACATGCCATTTTGTGTCCGGGTGCACGTAACGCAAATCACAGCTCTTTGAAACAGAAAAATCTGAGCCAATTCAAACTAATGACCTGGCTCTTGTTTCTACAGTGGGTGGGGGTTTACATGAAACCTTTTTAATGCTGCTCCTAAACACAGTGAACCCCTGAGTTTTTGACCTTCCTGAACTGCAGCCAAAGGGCTTGGCAAAGGCCAAACAAAGTGTATTAGAAAGTAGCACAAAAAGGAGAAATAAGATTGCATGTTCTTTTACATTGTCTGAAAACCTCAGTCCCATTCTTTCTTCTATCTTTCTTCTTTCAGATTTTCTGCTCTTCTCTTTCCTGGAAAATTTGTTGCAAAAGAGCGCTTCTTTGCCATTTATGGGGACACAAACCCCTTTGAAATCTGATCCAAACTATGGACTCACTCTCAGAAACATGAGCATACACTCAAAACCTTGCAGAAATTTTCAGAAGGTCCAGGAAGCCTTTGAAACTCATGTAAGACCCCCAATTAAGAACCTCCGAATGTTCTCCAATGACACTGAACAAGAAAAAATAAGACAGGTATTTAAAGTTACTTTAGAAATATATTGAATCTGAGGGGCATTTTGTTGGTGATCCTCAGCTTAAACAGAATAGTGGGTTCATAACTACCTAGTTCAGGGGTGTCCAATCTTTTAGCTTCCCTAGGCCACATTGGAAGAAGAATTGTCTTTGGCCACACATAAAATACACTAATACTAATGATAGCTGATGAGCTAAAAAAAAATTGCAAAAAATAATCTCATAATGTTTTAAGAAGGCTTATGAATTTGTGTTGGGCCACATTCAAAACCGTACTGGGTTATATGCGGCCTCCGGGCTGTGGGTTGGACAAGCTTGATCTAGCTGGTCAGTACGCATTGCTTCTGCTCCAAGTTTTATGCTGACTCTGGAGGAAGTTACAGATATTTGAGAAATTCTTATCCTCATGTTTGGGCAGTTGCCACAACAAAATTTGTTCTGCCTCGTGCCTATGATTGGCTTGCCCCTGATAGCCATGGTGGGTTGTAAAGAAAAGAAAGAGCATGTCCTTCTAGCTAGGCCTCTGCTTGCTCAATGAAAGGAGTCTTTCTGCAGGAAGTTTTAGAGGTTGCTTTTTTTGTTGTTGTTAATCTTTCAGTTTAATGTAACGTTTTCTGGTTAACTCATAAACCCAAAGTGAAATTCAGGTTCATAATCTTAACATCTGGCATTGTTTTGGCTTCTCAAGGTATAAAAGCCAGTGGCCCCTTCACCTTATAAATATGCAATATGCAACAAAACTCTTTGCTTCATGGGAAAAAATGGGCTGTCAGGGTTTTCTTACCTGTCAGAGGCATAATCTTGTGTGTCCTAATCGCTTCATGAAATGAGCTTTCTTCTGTAACTCTCCTTGAGCAAAACAGCCCTGTCCATTCAGTAAAACAAACTGTGCTAGAGGAAAACCAGCCTCACTCGCGGAGACTACAACATGACACAGTGCAGAGCAATGTCCCGCCCACCAGCTTCACGGGCCTGTGTGTTACTGCCCATTCATCCAGGGCCCCCATTCTAAGTACAAGTGGAAATCACTGACTGATCTATGCGCTGGGTGCTTTAGTGCATATACTCAATGTTTACATGTCCCTGTAAGGTAGATGATAGTATTCTGCTTATTGTACAGATGAGAAAATGGAGGCTTGGAGAAGTTAAGTAGCTTTCCCGAGGTTCCACATCAGTAAGTGAGGTTGTACGAATCGGAGCATAAGCAGCTATCACTGCACTGCATACCCATGGCCCGCTGCCTGGTCCTGGCTGAGACTCTTCATCACAGAAGCTGAAAAACTTACAGTGGTTCACGTGGAAGTTCAGCCAAGTGCTGAGTGGGTCTTCTCTTCTAGCCATGAAGAACCGCCGTTAGAAGGAGTGTGGTAGGCCAAGTGCGGTGGCTCACACTTGTAATCCCAGCACTTTGGGAGGCCGAGGTGGGCAGATCACTTGAGGCCAGGAATTTGAGACCAGCCTGGCCAACACAGGGAAACCCTGTCTCTACCAAAAAATACAAAAATTAACCGTGAGTGGTGGCATGCACCTGTAGTCCCAGCTACTTGGGAGGCTGAAACAGGAGAATTGCTTGAACCCAGGAGGTGGAGGTTGCAGTGAGCCAAAATCATGCCACTGCACTCCAGCCTAGGTGACAGACAGAGACTCTGTCTCAAAAAAAAACAAAAAAACAAAAAAACAAAAAACAGAGGGGGGGTGTGGAGGTGGGATGATCCTTATGGATTTATATCAGTTTCTAATTCCATTTGGTGGAAGATAAAAGTAGAATTCCCAATTCATTGTTGTGTTTTGGGTGGCCTGTGGACTGCTTTAATTCACTATTTCCGCTTTTTACAGGGAATATATTTTAAGTTCTAGCAAATAAATAAATCATATTCCCATTGATTAAGCTGGTTTGAACTAAGAATACATAATCTCAAGACTTTTTTTTCCCCGAAATGAGTAGAAAACACTTCCAAAATAGCACAGAGTAAGTTGCTCAAACAGAACCAAAAAGTAAAGGTTAAAATACAAGAAAAATGGGATTAGATGAAATACATCTTTGTTTTCTGTGAGCCCCTCGATCCCATTATTTTTCTTTATTCCTTTCTAAAAATATGTGGCTGCTCCCTTTCACAGAGCACCCACTCTGATGGTTTCTGTAACTTTCTTTGTACATAACTATCATGTCCACACACAAAAATAAATAAATAAATAGATAAATAGTTTTAAAATAAATAATAAACTTAATGTATGTATAGTAAGTTTTTATCCTCATGGTACTGCCACTAACTTCTCTAGTGCTTGCTTCCTTCAGAGCTACTCTGTGGGAGAACAGTTTTACAGAAGTGTGGGGCACAATCCTAATTTACCTGGAAGTTGAAGAGAAATCAAATCCTGGGACAAAAGAGCTTTTCAACAAAGTGGGAAATTGTGTACATTGTGTACATTGCTATCCATGTGCGTGAGTGTGTGTGCACACCTGAGTGTATTTACAGTGGCTTAATAGACAGTGGTTATTATATGGAATGACTATTTGTTGTTTTACATAGATCATTCCATAAAGCAAATTAATCAAGCCAGATTAAATATTCATGGAGGATGTAATTTTTAAAACCACATCTGTAAAACCATATTTTAGGCTGCTCATGGTGACTCACGCCTGTATTCCCAACACTTTGGGAGGCTGAGACGGGAGGATAGCTTGAGCCCAAGAGTTTGAGGCTGCACTGAGCTATGATCACACCACTGCACTCCAGCCCAGGCAACAGAGAGAGATCCTGTTTCTTAAAAAAAAACAAAAACAAACACACACGTACACACAAAATCCCACATCTTAAGTCCTACACTTGGGAAATGTGCACCTTTTGCTAATGTTGTGCAAGGAACTTTTTTCCCATACTGATGCCCAATCACACACAAAAATCTGCCTTTTCCATAATGGGCTAGATTGCCTTCAGAAGTGTTTGATCGGGTAAAGGAGGATTATTAAAGTTGTTACTAAAACTAACTTGCATTGACTTTTTTTAAAGTCCACTTAAATGCAATTGCCATTGTTGAAATAAATGTAAATAATTTTTGCTCATTTTATTCTTCACCTCCAAATTAAATCTTTTAATATGAATTAGTTTCACAGTTGCACTGTTAACACTCTCAGCATAAATAAAAGTGTTATAAAAATTAGCACTAGAGGCCGGGCACAGTGGCTCACGCCTGTAATCCCAACACTTTGGGAGGCCAAGGCAGGCAGATCATCCGAGGTCAGGAGTTCGAGACCAGCCTGGTCAACATGGTAAAAATGCATCTCTACTAAAAATGAAAAATTAGCCGGGCATGGTGGTGCTTGCCTGTAATCCCAGCAACTAGGGAGGCTGAGGCAAGAGAATTGCTTGAACCCGGGAGGCAGAGGTTGCAGTGAGCCAAGATCGCACCACTGCACTCCAGCCTGGATGACAGAGCGAGACTCCATCTCAAAAAAAAAAAAAAAAAAAAAAATTAGCACTAGAATTTCTTAGCTTCTTAATAGGCCTTTTTGCCAGAGTGAAAAATAGCCTACTGAATTTATAACAGACTTTGATGAGGGCAGTGGCCATCCATTAAATACATGATCACATATGAACATCCTTCTAATTGCACTAAAGAGAGTGAGAGTACATGTGTAGAGCATGTGCACACACACACACACACACACACACACACACACACACACACATGCATATATACAGCGCTTATTCTTGAGACTTACCCTTGGGCTATATTCCCTCATATTGAATAAATAAAAAGCTCAAGAAACCTGTCAAAGAGGTGCCCAATATATGTTTTTATGCTTTTAGATATCAACCATTCCGTGTTCTGACTTTTACAATCATCAGCAGGCCAAATGTGACATCAGTTTTTACAAAATGTGATACTTCATAAGGTCTTGGTACCTAGTGGCTTTTTTAGAGCCAAAGAGCTCCTTCAAAGGAGTGTGCTGCTTGTTTTAGGTGTGCCTGACAAGAGAACTGCTTAAATTGAATGGCCAGCAACACACGCACACGCACATGTGCCACACACACACACACACACACACATATGACAGTAGGCACCCTCAGTATTGTTGATGCCGGACAATTTCATTAAAATTTCATCTCAGTAGCCAGTTGTGACCTGGGTGTTTCCAAGAAGAAAAGGAAAAAATGGCTGATACAAAAGGGAGTTAAACTAACCTTAGTGAAAAACTAAACTGGCAAGTGTATCTAATAATTGCCCGGGTTCAGCATTTTTCTGCGATAAATGAGTAAACTTTAAATGTATCTCTGAGATGCACTATCGCAGGCATTGCCATGGGCAAGTTTTATCCGATGATGAAACAGCAAGGCCTAGTGAGATAAAGATGATAGAAGGGGGACTATCAGGTGGCAGCCGGGTAATTACAACTCTCTATTTGGGCTTTGCAGTGATGCTGCATGTGATAAGTGGAGAATAATGAAGAAAAAGGAGTAGTGATAATGCAGGAGCTAAATGGTAGAAAATAGCCTATCATAGCCCACAGCCCTCTGAACGCCTATGGGGACTTTGAACTATCTTCTTCAGTTTTCATCCGCAGAAAAAAAACACTCTCTCTCTTTCTTCTTCCTTTGCTAAATTTATGTCTGGTGGGACAAAAGGAAAAACTGAAAGGAAATCAAGGGTATGTGAAGAGAATATGACCTTTGCAAATAACTCTGAAGGTCACTATGTAATTATTCTAAAATAAAAGTATCCTGTAATCTTGCCCGTATTCACAAAAGATGTAAGAGCATTTTTCAAATGTGATTCGGTACAATTTTGTTGGGGATCATGACTTATAAAGGTCAAGTAAAGTATTTCTAATTATAGCCTGTCAAGTAGAGCCTCAGAAGAACACTCAAGCCATTTGCTACTATTGAGTCGAACTTTGATTAAGGTAAAGACAGGCCAAGACACAATCCATTATATGAAAGGAAAGAGACGCTTCTGGCTGATGTTTTAGGTGCAGAGTTTTAAACCAAAATAACCTGTGTAGAAGCTCAGGTCTTTTAACCCTGGTGCTTTTGCCATCTAAAGCAGTGTAAGTCTAGTCTTTCACAGGGGCCTGAGTTTGGGTTGTGTTTGTTTTTGTTTTACTTGGAGCCATCTGGACCCTCACACTGATGATGGATGCAATCAAAGGGGGAAAAGGGTGTGTATGTATGTGTACATGCATGTGTACATGTTTGCGCACATGTGATGGCAAAAGCCATTTAAACATTTTTTAATTGTGGTAAAATACACATAACATGAAATTCACCATCTTAAGTGTACAGTTCAGTAGCGTTAAGGACATTTGCACTGTTGTACAGTCAATCTCCAGAATTTTTCCTCTTGCCCAACGGAACCTGCACAGCCATTAAACCATAACTCCCCATTCTCCCTTCCCCCAACCCCTGGCAACCACGGTTCTACTTTCTGTCTTCATAAATTTGACTACCCTAGGTACCTCCAATGAGTGAAATCATGCAGCATTTGTCTTTTCGTGACTGGCCTGTTTCATGTAGCCTACTGTCCTCAAGCTGCATCCATGATGTGGCGTGTGTCAGACTTTAGCTGGGGAATTCTTCCAGGAAAAACAGAGTTTACCGGCGTAGGAGCTGAAGGCTGTTTCTACCACAAGGCCCACCCTGGCCGGAATGAACAGACCTAAGATGGAGATTGAAATAGCTCCTGTGCTAAAGGTGCCTTGAAACTGAAGGCGTTCGGGGTGAAATAGTGGAGTCGGTCATCTAAACCATTTTTTGATTGCGAGATAATTCACATACTATGAAATTCACCTTTTGAGAGTAGACATTTCTGTAGTTTTAGTTCATTCACAATGTTGTGCAACCAGAGCCACTATTTAATTGCAGAACATTTTTATTACCCCACAAAGAAACCTCATACCCATTTAGCAGTCACTCCTCATCCTGCCCCATACCCAGACACCCCATATCCTGGCAAGTCACGAATCTACTTTCTGTGTCTATGGATTTGCCTACTCTAGACAATTCATATGAATGCAATTATACAATATGTGGCCTTTTATGTAGCGTAACGTTTTCAAGGTCCATCCACATTGTAGCGTGTATCTGTACTTCATTCCTTTTCATGGCTGAATCGTGATTTGTTGTATGGATATACCACATTTTGTTTTTCTACTCATCAGTTGATGGGAATTTTGGTTATCTTCACTTTCTGGCTATTGTAAATAATGCTTCTAGGTACGTTTGTATACAAGTCCCTTTGTGAATATATGTTTCAATTCATTGGGTATATTCTTGGAAGTAGACTTGCTGGCAACTCTTTTTTTTTTTTTTTTTTTTTTTTGAGATGGAGTCTCACTCTGTCACCCAGGCTGGAGTGCAGTGGCGCGATCTCGGCTCACTGCAACCTCTGCCTCCCGGGTTCACGCCATTCTGCTGCCTCAGCCTCCCGAGTAGCTGGGACTACAGGCGCCTGCCACTGTGCCCAGCTAATTTTTTGTATTTTTAGTAGAGATGGGGTTTCACCATGCTCTCAATCTCCTGACTTCATGATCCACCCTCCTCGGCCTCCCAAAGTGCTGGGATTACAGGCATGAGCCACCGTGCCCAGCCGACTTGCTGGCAACTCTATCTTTAACTAGAAGTAGAGTGGCATGGCAGCTCTATGTTTAACTTTTTGAGGAACTGCCAAACTTTTTTACAGCTGCCGCACCATTTTGCATCCCCAACAGGAATGTATGAGAGTTCTGATTTCTCCACATGCTCACAAAGACTTGTTGGTGTTTGGGGATTGCCCTTTTTTTAATAGTCATGCTAATGGGTATGTAGGGCTATCTCATTATAGTTTGATTTGCATTTCTTGGATTGCTAATGATGTTGACCATTTTATCATGTGCATTATAGAGAAATGTATATTCAAGTCCTTTGCCCAACACAGTTTTTAAACTGTGTTGTCTTTTTATTGTTCAGTTGTAAGAGTTCTTTATGTATTCTGAATACTAGGCCCTTATCAGATACATGATTGCAAATATTACCTCCCATTTGGTGGACTGACTTTCAACTTTCTTGATTGTGTCTTTTGATGCAAAAGAGTTCATTGTGATGAAATGCCATTTATCCGTTTTTCCTTGGTTGCTGTGCTTTAAGCATCATATTTTAACCAAGATCACAAAGATTTATACTTATGTTTTCTACTAAGAGTTTTTTACATGTTACACCTGTATTTTGTTTCTAAGAATTTTATAGCTTTTCAAATTCCTTTTTAAAAGAGTGCAATTAAAATTTTTTTAACTTGGCTCCAAATGACGATATCTAAAACTTAGATTTGACATTGGAATCCACAGACAGAAATTCCCATAGCTAAACATATACATGTAGTAAAAAATTCTGCTGTAGTGGCAGCTATGAACTGGGCTCCTGAGGTACAGTGGGAACTAAGCCATCATCCTGACCTTGAAGAAACCCACAATATTATGAGAAAGAAGACTTCTGAACAAATACGTATATATAAAGGTAATAAATACTTTATCTTCTCTTAACCTGACCATCTGTTAAGACAGATATTAACGATAGGGACATAGCCTTAGACATGAAGTCATTTCTCCAAAGTCACATAGCTTGATGGAATTTGAATCAAGATCTGCTTGTGTGGCTGATGATATCGTTATCACTGTTCTTCGACTCCTCTGCATCACTCTGATCCAAGGCACCATCATCTTTTTCTGAGACCCTTGTGCTAGCTTCTTAGCTTTTTTCCACTCTCGGCCACTAAAATCCATTTTCCTCTCATTAGCCAGAGTGATCATCCCAAAACACACATCAGTTCACCCTTCTCCCTCCTTAAAACTCTCCCGTGACTTCCCATCGGAACTAGAATAAAACCCAACTCTCACCATGGCTTATAAGCCCCTTCATGACCTGATTTCTGACTACTCTTCTGACCGCAGCCTAGACCACTCACTTCAGTGCTCTCTTGTAATCCAGGTCTCAATGCAAGCAGCACCTTCTCAGAGAGGCTGTCTCTGATCACACAGTGGAAGGCACCTCTTTCCTCCTCCTGATTCTCCCTCACATCATTCCAATATCTGTTTCACAGCACTTGCCACTGTCTCAAATAAGTTTTAAATGTATTTACTGGTTTATTGTGTGTCTTCTCCTACTGAATTATGAACTCTATAAGAGCAAGGACTTCGTTTCTGTCATCCATGGCTAGCCCATCCATTCCTAGCTGGGACTGTCTGACACATAGTAGGTGATTAGTAAGTATTTGTTGAATTAATTAATAATAATGTGCACAGTGCTTAGGAGAAGGGAACAACTTCCTGGTGGGGCAAAGAAGGAGAAAAGCAGTAAAAGGGAGGACATGAGATGTTGAAAGTATTTAGAGAGAAGACAATTCAAGCATTTTAAATGGAAGAATCAAGCTCTGAGAGCCCTGCGAAGAGAAGTGAGATGAGGATATTCCAGAATGAAGGAGCAGCACATGTGATGTCATAGCATTGTGAAACACTAGCACAATCTTAATATGATTTTACATATTTTTGCACTCCATAGCTTAAAAGTACTTCAGTGTATTTCATTTGATCATTCTATTTTGCATCATCTTTATTTCTATTTTGCAGATGAGAAAATTAGGCTTCCAAGCCCTTCATATATACATTTACAGAAAGCAGCCAAGAATACAAATTTTATGGTTGGATCTTTGTGAAAAAAAAGTTTTGGCCACAAAGGTGACTCACGCCTGTAATCCCAAGACTTTGAGAAGCAGAGGCAGGATTGCTTGAAGCCAGGATTTCGAGACCAGCCTAGGAAAGATATTGAGACCCTGTATCTACAAAAAAAGGTAGAATAAATTTAAAAATTAGCTGGGCATGGTGGTGTGCGCCTATAGTCCCAGGCACTTGAGAGGCTGAGGCAGGAGAATCGCTTGAGCCCAGGAGTTTGAGGCTGCAGTGAGCTATGATTGTGCCACTGCACTCCAGCCTGGGCAACAAAAAGTTTTCACAAAATAAATGATTACTAAAAAGAAAATAATGTGTACGATTCTAGTTGGAGAAACATTACCTGCTAAAACGAATAAACTCCGAAAGTTCAGGGTCTTCATACAATGCAAGTTTATTTCCCATTCACACATCGGCCAAGGTGAGCATTCCTGGTGCCGTTCCTCTATGCAGTGATTCAAGAACTCAGCCTTATGCCATCTGTGGATCTGCCACACCCTAGGGCCTTGTCACTATAAATCCAGCTAAAGAAAGGGGCAAGAGTGTAAATAAGGAACAACATCTTAAAATCTTTGACTAGAAAGAGCCACATATCGTGTCCACTCACCTGTGAGAAATAGTCACTAGTCCACCCCACACAATTGTGAGAAATTAATGGAAAGAATTAGAAAACAATAGCAGAGGGCTAGGACAGGAATTGGTCATCATTCCATTGATTCTTCATCTTTGCCTTCCTAAAGCTTGTGTCATCTTCTAAATCCATTAGATATTTTAAGAAAATGAATCTCTGCCTCCAAAACTTAAATGAAAATCTTCCTTGGCCTTAATTTTTTTTTCAAAACTCATTTTTCTTCCTTTGCCATATCTCTGGATATTTTCCTGAGGAAATAAACTTTCCCACATGTCACAATCATCCACCACTCCTTCACTGGTACTTTGCCAAAGTTCCCTTTTTTGAATACATTTTAGACAGAAACAAGTTTTTCCCAGAAGCCCACATTCTGCCCTCAAGATACTCAGGTGCAAACCTATTTGATATCAGGGGAAGGTACAGACTTCAGAGCACAAATAATTAATTCTTTGGCGCTTTTATAAAAATTTTATTATGTTTTAAGAAGCAACCAAATGCTAAAACCATATTTGACTAAAGAAAAAGTTATTTAACCTATTAATTTTTTTTTTTTTTTTTTTTCCAGAGAGAGAGGGAGTTTCACTCTGTCGCCCAGGCTGGAGTACAGTGGTGCGATCTTGGATCACTGCAACCTCTGCCTCCCAGGTTCAAGCAATTCTCTTGCCTCAACCTCCCGAGTAGCTGGGATTACAGGGGCCCTCTACAACACCCGACTAATTTTTGTATTTTTAGTAGAGATGGGAGTTTCACCATATTGGCCAGGCTGGTCTTGAACTCCTGACTTCAAGTGATCCATCAGCCTTGGCGTCCCAAAGTGCTGAGATTACAGGCGTGAGCCACCGTGCCTGGCCAACCTATTACATTTTTAAATAGCCAATTAATAGTGAAGTTCTTAATATTCCTCATGAGAAATAACAATTGATGTTGGTAATAATCATAGATAACATTTACATACAACTTATTATGTGCCAGACACTGTTCTAACTACCTTATATATATATCAAATAATTCAATTCTCACAACAATCACATGGGGTAATTACTGTTTTTAATCCCCTTTTTCCAGATGAGGAAACCAGATACAAAAAGTTCAATTGATTGCCCAAGTCATGTGGCTAAGAAGTGGTGGGGCCAGGGTTTGAACTCAGTCTGTGGATGCTGTTAACATCTGTGGAACTCATATTTTGAAAAGACTCTATAACTATTAGATGTGAAAGAAGGTCATTAAGTTTGCTGCATATAAGACAGTTTTCTTTATTTCAAATCACACAGAGTCAATGATAGAGCTGAAACTTGCAACCTATATCTCCCATTGCCCTTTGCATGGCCTGCTGTGGGATTCCCTCGCAGCACGAGCATGCAAGGTGCAGAAGCTGCCACCCAGCCTTGGTAGTGAAATGTTTCCAGTGCCTGAATTTCTATATTGACCTAGAGAAAATTTGGATATTGATTCTGTTCCCTTTCTTTCCTTAATTCAAGGTTGTTGGTATTATCTCTGAGTTGTCAAGGTAAATCTTAGAGACAGTAGAGCAGTATCTACTCAACATTAAATACTAATCTTTTCAGTGAAAAAAAAGTCAAGTGGTCTCTGTTTCTCGATAGGGTTGCCTACAGGTGTCTTCCTTTTCTCTCTTTCACCATCTTCACTGCAGGGGGTAGAGGAAATAAAGTATGAAGACATTTATCACATAATCACCTCAAATCAACATCTAAAAAAACAGGATTTATCATCTTTTCTGAAAAAAAAAGTGCCTTTTCTTGTATTCCCCATTTCGGTGGGTGGTACCATCATCTACAGGGGCTAATGGAAGCCAGAAATCTGGTAGTTCCCATAGGTCCTTTCTCATGCCTTCTGTATCCAATTAATCACCAACCTCTGTTGATTTTTCTCCCCCAGAGATCTATCTTTCTCCATCCTCGCCCTCTTTAAACATCCTTCAGTCTACAGTAGAAATGATCTTTCTCAAATGGTGTTGTCTAAATCACTACTTGAAATAATTTAATGATTTTTATTACCTTCAGGATAAAATTCAAGCTCCTAGGCATGACATCCAAGGCTCTTGTGTTCTGGCCCATATCCCTTGACCAGTCTAATTTCCTAACACTTCTCCTAAGTCTCATTACTCTCCAAGCACATCAAATTTCTTAAAATACATCATAAAACTTATTCTTTTTTCCCTAGCTGACTTTTACACATCTTTCATTACTCGGTCCACCTGCTCTGAGAACCTCTTCCTACTCCTTCTTGCTTCCTGCTGCATCCTTACCCAGGCATTCCTGCTCCACAGTCTGGTGACTTCTCCCCTGAGTTCCATGAGAGTGCTATGCATATTTCCATCACAGTACTTATTATAAGGTATTCTAGTTGTCGACTTACTTGTCTTCTTTCCAATGAGGCTGGGCACTATTGAGGGTGGACATTACGTTTTTCCATGTTTTTGTATTTTTATATTATTTATCAGTCTATAGAATGACAAATGGTACACTATTTGTCATTCTATAGACTGATAAATAATATAAAAATAGTATACAAATAGTATACTGTTTGTCATTCTATAGACTGATAAATAATATAAAATAGTATACAAAGAGTATACTATTTGTCATTCTATAGACTGATAAATAATATAAAAATACAAAAACTTGGAAAAATGGATAATTTGCATCAAGAAAGAGTTCATTGAATTGGAGATATAAATAGAGAACTTAGAATCAAAGCCTATAAACTGTCAACAGGGTGATTAATGCTAAATTATCCTCCTTATAAGATAATTGATTTCCATAGAGTGAAAATCTTGTCTCAGAATAGTGATAGGAGAGGCATAACATAAAGAGAGCTCTTCACTTTTTTTGAGCATTATCTTGCACCTTGTTCACCAAAGCTGATATGATTTACCCTCCAACTCTGCTGGAGCTATTCTCACTAAGCTCTAATAATTCAATTGGCTTAAATCCTTAACAGTTAAAACGAAGCAATGGATAAACTAGGACGGATAAAGGAGCTAAGAATCCTGTTCTTAAGAAACGTCAAGATCATCAACATGACCTTTAGAGAGGTTCTAATAAAACTATAATAATAGCCAGCAATTGTAATAATAACAACAATCATGATTAATAATAATAATACTCTGTATTTATCTCATGCCTTTCATCCATGGATCTGAAAGCTCTTTTTACAAATATCAATTATGACTGACATTCTTGTAAGCTGAATATTCACAGTGTCCAGAAAATGGACTGAAACAGTTTTAAGACAGGATGGCCCAAAAAGGATAAGTTACAAGCTCTAGCTCTCCCACCCAATTTCAGCTGCAAACTCTGCTATCCATTAGGTTAAATGGCCTGTGACTGCCAGGAGACTATAAACTGATATAGACAATGGTAGTCGGTTAGTTCTATGGAATTCAGAAATTGTGTTAGATGTGATTGCTAAAGAAATCCTGATTATGAGAGTTCCCCATAAAAATTTAGTCCTGTCAAGGAAATGAAACTCTCCTTACTGGCCCAAATTCAACCTACAGATACTCATAACTTTTAATGTACTAAAAATTTGGCACAGAAAAATAATTTTTGATGTTGGCTTAACTTGTGGGAAAACTTGGATTGGGTATTTTTTGTTAGTTTGCATTTGAAATGAATGAGCATACTATCATTTTGAGAATGAAGTCTTAGGAATCTTTAATGGTGAGTTTCATGGTTTCATCAAAACTTTAGCCTAAATGGATCACTTTAGGGACTGCCAGGGAAGGAGCAAGGAGGTGCCTGGGTGATCAGTTTTTTATGGTGCTGCCCCCAAATCTAAAACACAAAACAAAACAAAACCCTAGAAAATCAAAGTAAAAATATAAAATATAAAAACATTTTATTAAAAATATAATATTTTATAAAAACAAAGTAAAAATGGAAGAGGAAGGGAAACAATTGGTGTAATACAAGAGGAAAGTTTTTATTCATCCAACCAACTTTTTTTGAGCATCTACCAAAAACAAGACATTTTGACATTTTTATGTGCAGGTATGTATGCAGAGAAGACTATAAAGGTGATCTCATTTCCTTTTACTAACTTCACTGGTCTGTATTAGTCAGGGTTCTCTAGAGGGACAGAACTATAGGATAGATATATGTAAAAGGGAGTTTATTAAGTAGTATTAACTCATACAATCACAAGGTCCCACAATAGGCCATCTGCAAATGGAAGAGCAAGGAAGCCAGTCTGAGTCCCAAAGCTGAAGAACTTGGAGTCCGATGTTCGAGGGCAGGAAGCATCCAGCATGGGAGAAAGATGTAGCCTGGGAGGCTAAACAAGTCTAGCCTTTACACATTTTTCTGCCTGCTTTATATTCTGGCCATGCTGGTAGCTGATTAGATTGTGCCCACTCAGATTAAGGGTGGGTCTGCCTTTCCTGGCCCACTGGCTCAAATGCTAATCTCCTTTGGCGACACCATCACAGACACACCCAGGATCAATACTTTACATCCTTCAATTCAATCAAGTTGGCACTCAATATTAACCATCACATGGTCTCATTCCATTGTCATTACTTTTGGAAAGCATTTTTTCTTTAGATTAGAGATTTTGCTATAAAATATTAATGCATTAATCTGTTTTCTTAAGACTATCATTTTAAGGCTTTGTGTCAGTTTCTTCTAATGCAGAATATCAGGGGGATATGATCATTTGGACCTGCGTGTACAGCAATGAATTTGGGATATCATCAAGTTAATTGATAGAATTCATTTGACTTATGTACTTAGGCTTTCATGAAACCTCATCTTAAATCATTAATTCTGCTCCGAATAAACAGTACATTTACCTACGTCCTTTGAGTTGGCCCCTACCCCAATCTCTGTACATCTTGAAACACCGTTATCATGTTTGGCTTCTTTATTTAACTGGAAAAGGGGTATTTTATTCATAGTACATACAGGTGTTCTACACATCATGTTGCTTGGTACTTTCATAAAACAGAAGAGAAAACTGAGACTTGTGGATATTGGGTGATCTTATGCAAGGTCATAAGCTAGTTGATGGAGAATTTGAAATAGAAATCAGGACTTTGGGTCATCTATCCTCTGCTCTTTCTGCCCAACTGAATGAAAAATGGCTGACTATCCACCCCTCAACCTGAAAATTAGGCTCTTTTTAGCCAAACTTTGACCACCACCCTCTGTATAAGCTTCAGCAGTGAAGTGTAAGATGAACCAATTAATAAAAAGTAACACAAGCGGACATCAGTCAAAAATCTCCCACACCTAATCTATATTACTTTGATAAATGATATCATCTTTGCCTTCCATTAATCCCTGTACTCAACCCAGAGAGAAAAATCCTCTTGACCCTGAATTTCCAGATGCATTCACCAGAAGACTAGTCTTGGTAAATATGTTGCAACCAACATTTTAAGTTCAGGTTAACATTTTCTTGTTCTTCACTTCTATTTATTTATTTATTTAGACAGAGTCTCACTCTGTCGCCCAGGCTGGAGTGCAGTGGCAGGATCTCGGCTCACTGCAAGCTCCACCTCCCAAGTTCACACCATTCTCCTGCCTCAGCCTCCCAAGTAGCTGGGACTACAGGTGCCTGCCACCATGCCTGGCTAATTGTTTTTTGTATTTTTAGTAGAGACGGGGTTTCACTGTGTTAGCCAGGACGGTCTCCGTTTCCTGACCTCATGATCTGCCCGCCTCGGCCTCCCAAAGTGCTGGGATTACAGGCGTGAGCCACCGCGCCCAGCTCAATTTATTTATTATTTGTTTCCAGCTCTTTCTTCTTTTTCGTTAAATAAACTGTTTCAAACACTAGCAATCTTTTCACTTCCCTGGGCATCAAACCTATGCCTTCTAGTCTATTTCTTTAAAAAGAAATTTAGTAATTATACCTACTTAAGGGTAGTATACTTACTATAGTAGTTATACTTACTTATATATATCATTCTATTCCTTTATAAACTTTTTCTTTTCCACTGACATTTTTGTTTCTTGAGAATCATCATAGCCAGGTGGCTAAAGGCTGCTCATGGGAAGGGATTTTTCTTTTTCATAAAAATTTCAATTTCTGATAATCTAAACAGTTCAGAATATTTTCTCATTCCATAATTAACTGTGACATGAAGAGTCCAGTGGAAGAGTCCACAGGCCAACTTACAAAATGTAGGAAGGTTTATGTATTGGTTTCCAAGGACTTCTGTACCATAAACTGGGCGGCTTAAAACAACAGGAATGTATTAGCTCACAGTTCTGGAAGCTGAAATCAAGGCTCTGGCAGGGCCTTGCTTCCTCCAAAGGTTCTAAGGCAGATTTTTTCTTTGCCTCTTAGCTTCCGGTGGTTTCTGGCAATCTTTGTCATTCCTTGGCTTGCAGCTTTATCACTCCCACCTCTGCCTTCTTCCCTCTGTGTGCATCTGAATCTCCCTCTACTTTCTCTTAAAAAGACACCAGTCGGCTGGGCGCGGTGGCTCACGCCTGTAATCCCAGCACTTTGGGAGGCTGAGGTGGGTGGATCACGAGGTCAGGAGATAGAGACCATCCTGGCTAACATGGTGAAACCCCGTCTCTAATAAAAATACAAAAAATTAGCCGGGCCCGGTGGCAGGCGTCTGTAGTCCCAGCTACGCCTGAGGTAGGAGAATGGCATGAACCCGGGAGGTGGAGCTTGCAGTGAGCAGAGATCGCGCCACTGCACTCTAGCCTGGGCTACAGAGTGAAACTCTGTCTTGAAGAAAAAAAAAAAAAAGACACCAGTCATTGGACTTAGGGCCTACCCTTATGGGTAGCAGACAGTCATCAAGCCTACTTTATAGCTGAGGAAACTGAGGCACATGGAGATTAAGTGACGTCATCTTAACCAACTACATCTGCAAAGATCCTCATTCCAAATAAGATCACATTCTGAGGTTCTGAGTGGACATGAATTTAGGGGTTGTCCCATTCAAATCAGTATGTTTGCTTCTTCCATTCCATCTTACTGTTCTCCCAAGACCTTTCAGATGCACAGAGTCCAATATGACCACTCAAAACCTTCTCAGGAATGCCACCAGTCCATTCTGAAAGTGAAGCAGCACAGACTGCAAAGATGTTACACAAGCAGGACTGAGTCCTACCTCCTCTTGTTCCTGGCTTTGGAACTTTGCACGAGTCACATTATCCCACTGGGCTTCCATGGCTTCATATTCAGATTGGAGTAACATCTGTATCACATGGCTGCCTTAAGAATCTAATGAGATCGTAGACCCAATTGTCTTACATTTGGCAAATGGTGGCTGCTCAGTCATCTTTAACACCCTACATTGATTCTAGAATTGATGAGCAGGTAATGTGCTGGGGCAAGCAGAGAAAAGACCCCTTTCAGGTAGCCCTGAGAGCATACCCCCACTATGCCCAAGAGTAAGGCATGTTCTGGAATGAGAAAGGGTGCACCCCACATGCCTGGGAAAATTTGCTGAGGTTTGTCATTTTTAAAAAAGATAATTAGGAAAAACAAACTGAACTCCCAGAGGATGCTTATTAGATTGCTACGTTGTACTTATCTACAATATATGGTGCCTAACATCTGAGAAGCTGAAAGCTTTTAATGAGCATTAACTCGTTATTCCCTGTGGGATAGGTAGCAGGCAGTCATCAAGCCTACTTTATAGCTGAGGAAATTGAGGGACAGGGAGATCAAGTGACTGATTCAAGGTCAGTACCAAGCTGATTGCTAAAGGGACCAACAGTGGGCCCTGGAGAATTGAAAAGAAGGCCTTGAGTGTAGTTATTTAGCTGTCATCCTTATGTGTTCCCACCCCCATGGATTCAATCCTATAGGCAACCTGCTTCCAGGAACAAGAATAGGGTGCCTTAGAAGAGAAAATGAAAATAAAGAAACTACAATAAACAAATGTGGTATATCCATACAATGGAATATTATTCAATCATAAAAAGGAAAGAAGTACTAACGTGTTATGATGTGAATGAACCTAGAAAACATTATGCTGAATGAGAGAAGCCAGACACAAAAGACCATATATCATATGATTTCATTTATAAGAAACATCTAGAACATGTAAATCCACAGAGACAGAAAGCAGATTTGTGGTTGCCAGGGGCTAGAGTGGCTTAAAGAATGGAGTGTCATTGATTCATGGGAACTCTTTCCTTTTGGGGTGACTAAAGTGTTCTGGAACAACAAAGAGGTGATGCTTAGCGGGGCGTGGTGGCTCATGCCTGTGATCCCAGAACTTTGGGAGGCTGAGGTGGGCGGATCATCTGAGGTCAGGAGTTTGAGACCAGCCTGACCAACATGGTGAAATCCAATCTCTACTAAAAATACAAAAATTAGCCGGCATGGTGACACGCGCCTGTAATCTCAGCTACTAGGGAGGCTGAGACAGGAGATTTGCCTGAACCTGGGTGGTGGAGGTTGCAATAAGCCAAGATCACACCACTGCACTCCAGCCTGGGCGACAAGAGTGAAACTCCGTTTCCCAAAAAATAAAAATAAAAATAAAAGAGAGAGAGAAAGAAGTGCTGTTTGCATAACGTTGTGAATTTACTAAATGCCACACAATTAGGCACTTTAAAATGGTTAATTTTAGGTGAACAAAATTCTCTCTGCATCTCTCTGTGTCTGTCTGAATCTCCCTCTCTTTTCTCTTATAAAGATGCCAGTCATCAGAGAATACAATTCACAAAAAGTTAATAAAATAAATAAATAAATAATGTGAGCATTAAAAATGAATGTTAGTCACCACCTGGGGCCTGCAGACAGACATGTGAAAAACAAATTACCTGAACTTGTAGAGACCACACCTTCCACCCAGCTAATTCTAACTGCATGACTTTAGACTAATATCCAAGTCTCAGTTTTCTCAATTGCACAATGGGGGGTTAGATTAAATTGGTTTTCAAACAGGAGTATTTTTTTTTTTTTTAGAGACAAGATCTCACTCTGTTGCCCAGGCTGGAGCACAGTGGCACCATTATAGCTTACTGCGGCCTTGAACTCCTGGGCTCAAGTGATCTTCCCACCTCAGCCTCCCGAGTAGCTAGGACTAAAGGTGTGTGCCACCACGCCTCATTTTTTTGAAAATTTTTTGTAGAGATGGGGTCTTGCTATGCTGCCCAGGCTGGTTTCAAACTCTTGGCCTCAAATGATCCTCCCAGCTTGGTCTCCTAAAATGGTGGGATTACAGGTGTGAGCCTGGCCTCAAACTGCACTTTTTAAAGCTGCTAAATGTCTTTTAAGCAAAATCCTATGTAGAACCCTAATATATAAAAAAGATGAAAGCCAAGCTAATTGAGGGGATCTGTTTAACCAGCTCCGTACTTCCATCCCGGGTGGCCCCAAAGGCACCCTCTGAACTGTGATGCTCTTGAATAAGGTTGAAAATCCCAGAATAGATTATTTCTAATCTTATGAGCCTATCACCCTAAGGGAAGACCATTTTCCTACCACCATTTAAATGCAAAAGAGTAAAATGAGAAGCAAATATCAGTATCATGTATGTTGTTGTTGTTGATAAATATGTACCTTAATGAAAACTTAGAATAGTACAAAATTGAACATGACAGATGTAGCCAGATATGGGCTGACCAGAAGACCCACAGCAACTTTGGATGTGTTGGAGGTATGAGCAGGCCCCACTGCTTGTACCTCATCCAAAGTCTAAGCCCAACTTGACCTGATCCAGGTGGCCAAGAGCAGGTCATTGCCATTTGCCCAGGGTTCAAGATCCTTTTGGGCCACCAATGGGGAGAGCCAAAGACTTTCATGCAAGATTTGGATCAAGGAGATTGTGGCTTGATATGGGAAAAATTTACATAAGGATGAAAATTAGATGGGAAAAAAAAAACAAGAAGCCAAAGGACATTGACCTGGTCACATTGATTCCTCCAATTTCTTCTTATCTGTGGCATGTGTCAGAGTTCATTTTAGGTTGGGCGCGGTGGCTCGTGCCTGCAATCCTAGCACTTTGGGAGGAGGCCAAGGTGGGCAGATGGCCTGAGCTCAGGAGACCAGCCTGGGCAACATGGTAACACCCTGTCTTTACTAAAAATACAAAAAAACTAGCTAGGCATGGTGGCCTGTGCCTGTAGTCCCATAGTCCCAGCTACTTGGGAGGCTGAGGCACGAGAATTGCTTGAACCCCTGAGGCAGAGGTTTCAGTGAGCTGAGACCGCCCCACTTTACTCCAGCCTGGGCAACAGAGCAAGGCTCTGTCTCAAAAAAAAAAAAAGAGTTTATTTTAGAGTTACCACCCCCTACACAGACATTAAAACATCTTTATATAGATCCCACAGATTTTTCAGAACCTGCTTGATTATAGAAAAGCTCAACAACTTGACCACAACTTTATTTACACTTCCACTCATCAATGTTTGTGCCTGACTTTACATGCCAAGAAGGTATTCTCCTTTTCCTCCCTGCAAAGACTCAAGATCTGCCAGGAAGAAAAGGGGGGAGTGAAAGCAGCTGAAAGTTTCAGCAGAGCAGAGCTGGTTATCACTTACGTGTAAATAAATAAGGCATGAATCCAGAAATGAAGATCACTTTCATGCATTCTTGGATATAAAGGAATTGCTCTTAACTCTCACAGTGTCCAAATTTTGGAAATCTACACTGGGATGAGGGATTACTGAATAAATGTTCTAGGTGCTAGTCTGCACAGTCTTAGATGAAATTATCATAAGAAAAATCTTTTGAGAAAGTTTAATGGAAAAGATCATATATCGTTAAACACTGAAGGTCAGGAGTTATGGGTAGATCAAAGTACCCTAAGCCAGTGGTTTTCAAAGTGTGATCCCAGATGGGCATCACCTGGGAACCTGTTAGAAAAACAAATTCTCAGCCCCACCCTAGACCTACTGAATCAGAAAATCTGGGGGTGGGGTCCAGAAATTAGCATTTCAACAAACCCTCCAGGTGACTCCAATGCACATGACAGTTTGAGAACCACTTCGAAATCTTTTGTTCTAATTAATTCCCTAATTTTAGATGAGAAACTCAGGGTCCACAGTAAGTAAATGCCTTTCCCACTATCATCCTGCTGACTGTGTGAACTAAAAAAAGAGATGAAAATTTGTTTTACTAGCTATACTTTTAAAAATAAGACAGATTTCTTTTCCCCAAAGATTAGAAGAGAATTGATGATTCTGGTTTGTATTAGGTTCTCTAGGAGGACAGGACTAATAGGATAGATGTATATACGAAGGGGCATTTATTAGGAGAATTGACTCACACCATCACAAGGGGAGGTCCCTAAATAGGCCGTCTGCAAGCTGAGGAGCCAGAAAGCCAATCCAAGTCCCAAAACCTCAAAATTAGGCAAGTGAATAGTACAGACTTTAGTCTGTGGCTGAAGTCCCGAGAGCCCCTGGCAAATCACTGGTGAAAGTTCAAGAGTCCAAAACCTGAAGAATTTGGAGTCCGATGTATGAGGGCAGGAAGCATCCAGCATGGGAGAAAGATGTAGGCCAGGAGACTTAGCCAGTCTAGTCTTTCCACGTTCTTCTGATTGCTTTTAGTCTGGCTGTGCTGGGAGCTGATTAGATTGTGCCCACCCAGATTGAGGGTGGGTCTGCCTTCCCCAGTCCACTGATTCAGATGTTGATCTCCTTTGGCAACACCCTCACAGACACACCCAGGAACAGTACTTTGCATCCTTCAATACAATCAAGTTGACACTCAATATTAACCATCATATGGTTTAAAGCCTGCTTTCTGATTCATCAAATGTGAACTAAACATGAATGATTCTGAGTAAAATCCCATCAGAATTCCCAGTGCCTGGCAAATAATGGGCACTCAGTAAATATTTATCATAATATGAATCAGCCTCACACAAAGACTATTGGCAAGTACTTCATCCATTTCCTTGTACAATTAGTGGGTCTCTGCCCAAATGGTTAATACTGAGACCCCAAAACACCACATTTTCTTGCATGGAATAATTTTGACAAGTAACTCAGTTTCTCCCTATTTCCACCCAAATGCCTCCAAAGGTAGACTGAAAAAGAGACATCCATTGTGAAAACTGAAAAGCTAAGAGAAGTCCCTGAAATGCTACCCATGTGAAATTTCCCCTAACATTTTCTTAACTTTCAAAACATCCGAGCAGATTTCACTTATTTTAAATAGCTGAAATTTTGTTTGTTTATTTTTGCTTTGCTTTACCAGGATAAAAATTGAAAATGCAGTCTTAGCATGTGTGAAAGCTTTTCTTTTTAGAAAAGGCAGGAAAGATTGAATCTAAGGTGAAAGAAGATCCCAGGGCTAGAAGATTTGAGAAATAAGGCATAAACTCTTCCCCAAAAGAACTCCAAACATAAAACTACCTGTATGGAAAGAATGATATCAGAATCAAACAATTATAGTAATACATTGAATCAATCTGGTTAAGCTTTCTTTTTTTCTCAATAGTAAATTCTTGACTTCTTCACTTGAAATGTTTTAATTCATAATTGTTTTTCTCTGAATTATCTGTCCTATAGTAAAAATGTTATTTTAAATGGTTTTTATTTTCTTTTATTTACAAAAAAAGCTTCTAAACATTTTTTCTTTTTTTAAAAAGAGCATAACATCTATACCAGGAGGAATACAGACATGTTTTATTGCTGTAATAACACTTACATCTAATGGATAAGCCTTTGGCATCACCAAGTACGCAAGGCTTATATTACTATCAAAAGTCTTTAATGAAGAGCAACAGCAACCAAATTATATAACACCAAGTCTTACAATTACACATAGTTTAAAAATGCTATACAATTAAGCCATTTACCTAAGAACCACATGATTTTGTGATCAAATAATGTATGGCAACTCTTTACATGGTACACCTCAATTGCTGATAAATTTTGGACCTCACAAACATTTTAGGAGCCTAAGAAAAAAATTTTTGTCAGTTCTTCATACCGTGTTTTATGCCTCAATTAACAGAATAAGCTGTGTGTGCATATGAATGCTGCACATCCAATTACTTTTTTCAGCGGTATGGAAATGGTAACTGGACCCTCGTCTGGAAGCTTTGCCACTGTGGCTATCACATTCAAAGGGAAAACGTGTATCTAGGAAACCAGCTATGCTGAAGGTGAATTTTCTCAGGGATCAGTTTTTTTCTACCAAGGAATCATGTCCTTTTTGGGAGCAGGGATTCTTTCAGCCTTAAAAGAACAATGATTTTTATAGTACACAAATCAAAACTTTATTTTTTGGAAAACAATTATTGATCAACATGTATCATCAGCAATGCAGCAAAGTCTCCAGCCAGACTGCAGAGATTTAGGCTGCTCAATTCTCCAGTGGCCCTGGGGGTTGAGAGATCCATAGTGATTGCTACTTGCAAAGCTCTATTAATGACACAACTTTTTCCATGCTTTCATACTAAAATACAAAAGTATGCCAAAGAAACCACAAAAGTGATATGTAAAAAGAGAATAGTCTTAAGTAGAGAAAGCCAGAACTCGTGAGTGGCAATTCTAAAACAAGTCCTACCACTGGCCTCATAACTCTTTAAGAGCCTTCCTAATTTTCACCTTTAAAATATGAGGCCAATAAACATATCTGTTATTGGCTCAATTCTTCTCTGACCTGCATATTTTAATAGAGCTTTTCTGGACCTTGAGCAAAATTATTTTAGCCATCTTTGAATGTTCTGGTCTTGGGAGAAGTCTAAAATCTCATATATTATTTTAAAAAAAACTTAAATAGTAGTGCAGTGGAGTTGCATGTGTATTTCTTACAGTTAGATATGTAAACAAAAAATTGCTTTTTTTCCTTGTTATAATCACCTGCTCATCATTGTTGGCAATACATGTAAACTCGGCCTAACCCACTAACTTAAACATATGTTTAAGGTCATTTGTCTCGTCGGATAAATCCTGGCTTTTTCAGATTTGTTGTCCCTCCCTCGGCTCCTGTCCAAGATGGCCCCTCGGCGTGTGTATCAAGGGTTCGGGGAAGAGCAGGGGGCTCGGGTCTAACAGTCCAGGTCTTTATCCTGACCCCATGCCTAGTGTTGGCACTGGGGGCTCGGCGGCTCAGCCTGGGCCCAGAAGCCCATCCTGTGGAGGAGCCACATCAGTCCTCTGATGCCATGGCAGTCCTGAGGCATGGCGCTGATCCCCACTGGGCTCTGTTGTAGAAGGTCCGCCCAGAAGACTTCCAGGTCAAGGACCTGCCACACCCAGTGCTGTAACCTTCTAGGAGGCTTGCCAGGCAGCTCAGCTAACCTAAGTATCTCTCTGCAGTCCCCCAGAGAATATGAGGTGCCTTCCTGTTTCCCCACAAGATTACCGAGGGATCCCCTAGGAATCAAACCCAGTCCCTCCGTGTCACCCTGAGGGGAGTAGAGCAGAAGCCTCTGCCTGCCTACACTTTCTCCACCGAGCCAGTATCCCCTTACCCCACACCTCCTTCTTCCCTCAGCAGCATCTACCCTTTCCTTGTTTAGGGGGCTACAGGGGTGAAACTTGACTTACCAGGAATAGAAAATACCTCGTTTGACTATGTTGAAGATTTTAGCCTAATTACAATAGGAATTTCTCTTACCCAGGATCCTAATATCCCTGGAAATGTGGCTTTCTTTCCACTCCTACTGCTTTTGAACTGGGCTCTTTCTTCCAAACTTATATTCTTTCAATCCTTCACGTAGGCCTGTATTTCCATCTGATTATCATTGTCAGCAAGGAGGCTTGTGCAGATAAAGACTCCCCAGTTGAGCCCTTCCATAACAATTCCAAAAAGCAGATGGCTGCCATGGCCCGGACCTGTAATTCCAGCTACTCAGGAGGCTGAGGCGGGTGGACTGCTGGAGCCCAGGAATTTGAGACCCGCCTGGGCAGTATAGCAAGACCCCTGTTTCAAAAAAAAAAAAAAAAAAAAGCAAGGTGCAGAATGATGACTATAACATGCTGTCTTCAGGTTAAGAAAAGGAAAATAAGACTTTTTCTTTTTCCTTTCTCCCTCTCTCTCTCTCTTTGTTTCCTTCCTTCCTTCCTGACAAGGCCTCACTCTGTTGCCCAGGCTGGAGTGGCACAATCATAGCTCACTGTAGCCTTGAACTCCTGAGCTCAAGCTATTTTCCTGCCTCGCCTCCCAAGTAGCTGGGCCTACAGGCATGTGCCATCACACCCAGCTAATTTTTTTTTTGAGGGGGTGGTTTATATCAAGCAAATTTATTTACTCAAAATGTCTTTAATGTTTGAAAACACCCAACCTCCCGCAACAACTGAAAACTCCACATGAGTTGGAATCTCCCACTGTGGGTGGCTTGAGAATGCTCAAGGGTATGACTGGAGTAAGGAGCCAAGCCGGGCAGTGGTCACCATGCATCAGGGCCACCGCAGGAAGGAAGACGAGGGGTGGGAGGCTGAGAGCTCAGGAGGAAGCAGTGGCTGGTAGGAGACACGAACCCCAAACCCACAACAGAGGGGACCCAGCACAGTCTGGGTGAGGACCTGGGGCACCAGCTGCCCCGCTGTGGCCTCCCTGTGGGGGTCTTGACCCTCCTGAGGTCGCATTTCACACAAATCCACAGGTGAATGGAGAAGTCCAGGCCACGGGAAGCCTCATCCCAGGACGGGAGAACCTGAGTGGAGGCCGCCAGCCTTGGGGAGTCCAGAACACCCAGATAATTTTTTAAAATTTTGATTATTATTATTATTTGTAGAGATGGGATCTCACTATGTTTCCCAGGCTGGTCTCAAAATTCTGACCTCAAGCAATCCTCTCACCTTGGTTCCCAAAGTGCTGGGATAACAGGATTACCATGCCTGGTGAAAAGATTTCATAGTCTTATTTGCTTGGATCTGCATAAAGACTGGGAGAAAACTTTTAAAAAAGTGATAGACAACCTTTTTATGTTAGTGAAAGTGTGAAGGAAACAAGGAATCGTTTGCCTTTCCTTTTTTATATGATTCTGGTTTTTTGTGTTTTCACTCTTTGTAAAGAAATTTTAAAAGGGTTTTTGCTTTTGTTTGTGTATTTTAGTGGTTTTGATGATAAGCCAGGTCTGGAAAGTAGCAGGGTTTCCCAAGAGATCTTTTTTTTTTTTTTTCTGAGATGGAGTCTCTCTCTGTCACCAGGCTGGAATGCAGTGGCACGATCTCGGCTCACAGCAACCTCTGCCTCCAGGGTTCAAGCCATTCTCCTGCTTCAGCCTCCCAAGTAGCTGGGATTACAGGCATGGGCCACCACGCCCAGCTAATTTTTGTATTTTTATTAGAGATGTGGTTTCACCATGTTGGCTAGGATGGTCTCTATCTCCTGACCTTGTGATCCACCTGCCTCGGCCTCCCAAAGTGCTGGGATTACAGGCATGAGCCACCGCGCCCAGCCCCCAAGAGACCTTTTAAACCTAAATCTGGTCACATCCCACTACTAACACCCTCCAACAATGTCAAATCATGTTTGGGATAAAATCAAACTTGTTTAGCATGAATAGTAAGGCCACTGCTGACCAGAGCCTGCCCTGCTTCTCAGTCTGCCCACCCCGGTGCATGCCAGCTACCCCTCCATTCCTGCCTGCCCCCTCCCCACCTCTCACAACTCCTCACTGTTTTCTCAGAAGATGCAGCCTGGCATCATCCTTTCCACCATCTGCCCTCCCCATAATCTGCCAGAATAAATAAGATTCTCCTTTCTATGTCACACTACACAACAATTTTAAAATATTTATTATTTGGAGACAGGGTCTTGCTTTGTCACCCAGGCTGCAGTGGCATGATCATAGCTCACTGCAGCCTTGATCCCCTGGACTCAAACAATCCTCCCGCTTCAGCCTCCCTAGGAGTTGGGACCACAGGCGTGCACCACCACACCTGGCTAATTTTTTAATTTTTATTTTTAGTAGAGATGAGGTTTCACTATGTTGCCCAGGCTGCTTGAACTCTTGGGCTCAAGCAATCCACTCTCCTTGCCCTTCAAAAGGGCTGGGATTACAGGTGTGATCCACCATGCCTGGCCAACATTTCTAAAAAATGTCTTTCTACTCTCCCACCTCCCAGTCAGGGACAATAGCATTCTCAGTTGGGGTAGTGTTTGTTGAATGAATGAATAAATGATTTTCAGTGTTGATGAAAATATTTTTAGAATAATAAAATAAACATAGAAGAAAGCTCATTAGATCACTTAAATCTGTGATTTTTAAAAAAAGATATGTGTTTGTGTTAGTAAACAAACAGCAAAATTATGATCAGGATAACGGGGTTATAAGTCTTAGCTGCGGACTGCTAGGTATGTTAATAGATAGATAAGAATCATCTGTAATTGACATGATTTTTGTATGCCCACAATGCCACTAACTGGTTTCTCAGGCCCTGGACAATGTTAGACCTCACTCTTAAGTAAAGAAAGTCCGTTTCCCTTGTTTACACAGTGAATTTACTCAAGGAGCACTGTCTTCATGGGTAAAACACTGGTGGCTTTACTGCTCTTTACACCTAAATTATCACAAAGTGGGAATGAATCTAAATGAGGTCATACAGTGTTTATGAACATGACATGAATTAATTTCATGAAGATAAGTCACCTTGTGATCTATATGATCAGAAACTAGTTTATTACTTTCTATATGAAAAAATAATGGTAAAATTTTGTCACTCTATCTTCTGTCTTGCCTTTCAAATTTTTTAAAAACACAATTCTACAATGATTGACGAAACTGACTTTTTAAAGAATTTCTACTTTTTATTTTTAAAAAGAAATTTGTAGTCATGAAAATATGAATATGTCACCTGACTTCTCAATAAGATCTTCATTGTAACAACTCAATTAGCTTCTGAAATGGTCTCATCTAGCTAATAACCTGCTTTCTGAGGAAATAATCAATTACTTTTGAACCAGGAAAATCTCTGATAGTAGATCAGAAAAAACATACAAACAAACCTGGAACAGGATAAATTAATAGTGTTTTGATTATTCAAAGAACATACATTATTTCAATCCAACAATCAGCTAAGAGTTCATGCCCCCTTTCTGCAGTTGAACATTAGCTTGCTAAGAGTTTTTTTTTAAAAAAAGGTACCATGAACTGATTTAGCTTGCTGCCACATATGAAATGTGGTTCTAATGACAGAATTAATCTTTCGTGAGTTACGAATTCTTTGAAATTAGAATCCAGATAATTATATGTGGGAGTCACTTCTTCCTTTTCTAATTAAGTGGATAGTATTGTCTTCACCATCCAGCTGGTTTCTCAGAAACCAAAGTTGGCTTCCATATAAATATAATTTCATTTTATGGGAAGTAGGTTCTCCCACACCACATGCCTAAGCTTCTTTAGATGTAAATGGCATGGCATGAAGGCTTGTCCTTCCAATCAAAACGTGAAACCAGTCTTTCCAAATGGCTTAATATTTAACTATTAACTACTAAGAGCAACGACTGCCTAAAATAAAAGCCCTTGGCATAATAACCATTTTCACAAAACTAATTCCTTCAAGTAGACATGTCCTAATGGACCAATAAAACTTGCCTTGTCGTGTCTGAATGCGGCATTAGCGCCTTTTAGAGCTGGCTATAATTGGTAATCACCGTTCAGGTGAAAGTGGGGGGTGGGGGAGATTTATAGAATAGTACTTTATACTGAGCTTCCACGGGGCCTTTCATCTGAAGATCTCAAAGCACTTGACAAACACTAATTAATACTCATGATACCCCAGTGAGAGAGGTAAGTATTATTATCCCCATTTCACAGATGAGATGAGGTTAAGTTGGGTAACTTGGTGAGTCAGGGACAGAATGAAGGGCTCCTAATTCTCAGTCTTGTGCTCATACAACCATTACAAGGGGCTGCCATTGAAAACATAAAAGGAAACACACCTCATTTTCAAATACCCTAAGGTGAAAACATCAATTGCAAATGGGATCACAATTAAGCCACTTGGTTTTAACAACAGTAACAACATCTTGTAATTGTCAAACTTCATTTTGAAAAAAATAGAAAATAGTATTAAAAGTAGTTTCCTTGAAGTGTAAAATAAAGATTATTTTATCATGGGAGGAGCCATACAGAAATTTATGTCGAATAATTTGATAAGGTGGCTAAAAAGTTGGATTTCACTTTTATTAGATGGTGGGTTAGATTCTTGCACAACTCTAAACTTTCTGAGGACAGATCCATCCTTTTAGAGTTTGTTTCCTAGTGTGGAGTGTAAATAGGTACATTACTCAATCAATGTTAGTTAAACCAACAAAACCAACTAAATGCCAAGGTGCTGGGGGGCATGTGAAGAGGAATAGGATAGAACTCCACCCTCAGGGGGGCTAGGGAATTAAGGAAAGACATAGAATACAAGAAAGTAATTTTAAAATTAGGGGAGAAGAGCAGGAATGGTCCAAGCATTCAGTGTGAAAACACTAAGGTTCTAGGTTCAAATTGGAACATTAAAGGTTTTGATGAGTTCTCAGAGGCTAAGACTATTGCTTTTGGAAACTGTATTAACTCTTATATGCCATCAGGGTGGCTTTTCTTCAGCTAAAGCTAATTGGCTTTCAAACAACCCATTGGGTTTTTAAATTCATTGTTTAAAATGCTGAATATTATAATAAATACTGTTTGGTCGAAGAGAAGACTTGGAAATAGCTTAGAGATGAGTAGGGAGCCAGCCATACTAGCCTTCTTTGGGTTTCTCCAAAGCCTCTCTGCCTCAGGGTCTTTGCATTCTGAATGGTAGACCATTCAGTCTACCCAGAATGCCTTTCCCACCCTCCCTCCCCACCTTCTTCACCTGACCAACTCTCACCTATCCTTTGGATTTCTGCTCAAATAGCATTTTTTGACTCTTTAGAATAGTTACAGCTTCTGAGAACTCTTTCCATATTTCCTTCAAAATAACTATCTCAGCTTGTAATGAAATATCTGGATTTTTAAAAATTAATGAATTTCCCTCTTTCTTCTACTCACTGTCTCTAATTTTAAGAGATCTATACCTGTTTTGCCTACTATTATAGCTTTAGCACACAGGAGGTCCTTAATAGAAACTTGTTGGATGAATAAACACACATGGTGCTAATTGCTGAGAAACTGGAAAGTAGCAGCATTTGGGGAGAGCTCATACTAAGAGAAAAGCAGCCTCAGTTAGTGGAGAGCAGGGCTGGTACTATCAGCGAGGCCCCAGTGTTGCTACGAGCTGGCTCGCCACCCACAGCTAGGCCATGGTGTTCATCCATTTAACATAAGCTGTTTCACAGCACAGGATACCAATGTCATTCAAGGCCATTGTTTTGTCTGATCTATCAAGACAAAACAAGAATATTGTCCAAGCCACAAAACCATCCAAACATCCCATATTCGGGCCTAGTGACTGCTGCTGCTTTGACAATTACAATGTTAGCCTTGCATTGTTCTTCTCACCTGCAATGTAAAAATGTCAGTCGTGGAATAGTCCCTCCTTCCTGACAGCAGCCTTGAACACTCCCTAAAATCTCCTAAACATGTCCCAGGCCTATAATAAGATCTTTTCAACATCCTCTTACTGAGATGCCCCATGGTGCCTCGTGATGTGAGGTCTCCCTCATCACAATGAGCCAACTGACCCAATTCCATCAATAAACCAACTTTGTGTCTCTGGTGGTCTTTGACCTGGGGACATGGAAAATACAAAGACTTGTATATAATGAGACAAAAAAAAACTGATATACAGCTGTTCAAATATGTCTCCCTTCCCAGAGAATGATTTAGGACTGGGAATGTTTCACTCCAGGAAGTCATTCAATCTGATTTTCAAGATATTATTGAAACACTGTATTAATATAGATCTTCCTAAATTATCAGATGATTTAAAAATCTCTTCACACTGGATTTTGGAAAGCAAACAATTATGAATTATTTTCATGGAAAAATTTTTAATGCGTTTTTATATATTCTTAAATGAAAATGGGTGTATGCTCTTTGGAATTGTCAATTTGAGGTAGCCAACTAGAAGAAAACAAGGTAACTTCCAAGGTTAATCTGCAAGGTACATAGACCAATGTCGATAATCAAAGACTGATTAAAGTTCTTGTAAGAAACTACTTTTCATGCTTCTCTCAACTGCTTCATGTAGGCTACCACCTCAAGGGGAAACTGTAGTCTATGCTTTTGCTATTTGTTTTTTTTCCTGTCTATTCAGTTACCTAAAGACCTAATATATTTGGGCGTTAGAATGAGAATGCATCTTCTCTATCTCTGTAATCCAATTCATTTCTTCCTAACAATTCTAGTTGCAAACTCCGCCCTCTGCCTCTTCTTAAGCAACTCACAGCAAATTCATTCAAAGCATTCCCAAAGCCAAGGGCAGATTTTAAAGGTTGTTCACAGTCAGCAGGGGCAGTGTATCTCAATCTTTTGTATCTCAGTTTCCTTTGGGATGACATAAAAATTTTCTGATTTCATCAACTGCTGGGTGTTCCCTGGAGTCCCCACTTGAAGACAATGGCTTTAGATTCTAGTACTTCTTAAGTTGATATATCATAAACCCCCCGTCTCACGTTAAGAATTATTCATCTCTTTAGAATGGAGCTTTCAGTCAAATTTGGTGTCACTCCTCAATATTCTGCTTATTGTTTCAATTTCATTAAATAATCTGTGTTTTCTGTTGCCTTATGGATCCAAAGAGAACCTTTGCCAGACCATCTTGGGAACATCCTTACCATGTGTCTCTCATGCTGCCCCCAGTTCTGGTTTAGCATCTGAATTCTTTTACCCACATATTTAACTTTTCTTGCCCATCTCATCTTGCTACTCCCCTTTCTTTCTTTGTGTATATATTGCATTTGAAGCTCAGCTTGTTTGAAACTAAACTCATTATTTGCCCTTTCCCACTTCCAAATTAATCCCTCACCACCTGCTCTTTTAAATATAGGTCTTTTTGCTAATTTGTTTCCATTTTTCTTGCCCCTAGCATTAAAGCAATTTTCAAACCCCATCAGTTCTTCCTTCACAGTCTCCTTTTTCCATTCCCTCCTTTATTCCCTTGGACTACTCCCAAGTCTGCTGTCTCTGTCTCTCTTTTCTCCATTCCATCTGCCAGATCATTGCCAAATTAGCCTCTGCTGAATATTATTTCAATCATGCTATAGCCCTGTTAACAAAATATATACAAATATAAATAAAGACACATCTACCAAATCTAGTTCGGACTCTTTAGTTTGGAGTTGGGTGGGCTACAGGGCCTCCCCTCACCCCCACAGAGAGTTTTGAAAAAAAGACAGTTTTTAAGAGTCAGAACCAGAATTCAGATGCAAGTCTTTCAACTTTAAATCTTCTATAACCTAACTACAAGACTGTGTGACTTCTTGCTAAACTTCATTTCAATATGTTTATATATTTCATTTGTAAAAAAAAAGGACCAACATGCAAAACACACACACACACACACACACACACACACACACACACCCCCCACTGTAGTACTGGAAGAGCTACATAATAAGTGTGCTTATGAATAACTCATTAAACAAAGACCACCTCTTGACATCCTCTTGTCTTTCCTCTCCATTCCAAGTTTTACCAGCAACACAAATATTTGATACTACAGCATTTTTACAAATTGAAGGTTCGTGTCGATCCTGCGCTGAGCGAGTATATCGCTCACTTTGTGTCTCTGTGTCACATTTTGGTAATTCTCACAATATTCAAATTTCAAAGTTTGAAATATTTCAAACATTTTAATTATTACTATATCTGTTTTGTTGATCTGAGAGCAGTGATCTTTGATGTTACTATTGTGATTGTTTTGGGGTGCCATGAGCTATACCTATATAAGACAATGAACTTAATTGATAAATGTTGTTTTTGTTCTGACTGCTCTACTGACCATTGTTTCCCCATCTCTCCCCCTCCTTGGGTCTCCCTATTCCCTGAGACACAGTGATATTAAAATTAGGCCAATTAATAGCCCCTACAATGACCTCTAAGTATTCAGGTGAAAGAAAGAGGTACAAGTCTCCCACTTTAAGTCAAAAGCTAGAAATAATTAAGCTTCAATGAATGAAGGCTGAGAAGGGTAAGGAAGCTGCAGAAGAAAAACTGACAGCTGGCAGAGTTGGTTTGCGAGGTTTAAGGAATAAAGTTTTCTCCATAACATAAAAGTGCAAAGTGAAGCAGCGAGTGCTGATGGGGAAGCTGCAACAAGCTATCCAGAAGATCTAGCTAAGATCATTGATAAAGGTAGCTTTGCTAACAAATTTTCAGTGGAGACAAAACAGCCTTGGATTGGAATAAGATGCCATCTAGGACTTTCATAGCTAGAGAGAAGACAATGCTTGGCTTTAAAACTTAAAAGAAGAGGCTGACTCTCTTGTTAGGGGCTAATGTGACTGGAGACTTTAAGTTAAAGCCAATGCTCATTAACCATTCTGAAAATCCTAGGGTCCTTAGGAATGACACTAAATCTACTCTACTTGTGCTCTGAAAAGGGGAAAATAAAGTCCAGATGACAGCACATTTGTTTAAAACATGGTTTACTGAATATTTTAAGCCCACTATTGAGAACTACTGCTCAGAAAAACATTGCTTTTTTCCAAACATTACTGCTCATTGACAATATACCTGGTCACTTATGAGCTCTGATGGAGATGTACAAAGAAATTAATGTTGTTTTCATGCCTGTTGAGGTGGTTTGGGTCTGTGTCCCCACCCATATCTCATGTGGAATTGTAATTCCCAGTGTTTGAAGTGGAGCCTGATGCAAGGTGACTGGATCATGGAGATGTTTCTCATGAATGGTTTAGCACTATCCCCTTCGTGCTGTTCTGGTGACAGTGAGTGGGTTCTCATGAGATCTCGTTGTCTAAAAGTGTGTGACACCTCTCCCTTTGCTCTTGCTGCTCCTGCCATGTAAGACACCTCTCTCCCCCTTCACCTTCTGCCATTATTGTAAGTTTCCTGAGGCCTTTCCAAGTCATGCAGATGCCAGCATCGTATTTCCTGTACAGCCTGCAGAACCCCAAGCCAATTAAACCTCTTTTATGTATAAAATACCTAGTCTCAAGTATTTCTTAAAGCAATGTGAGAACTGACTAGTACATCTGCTAATAGTACATCCATTCTACAGTCCATGGATCAAAGCAGTGTATGTAATGTTGTTTTTGTGTAAGAAAGGGGAGAGGATAACAACATGCTTTCAAATTTGCTTATATCTGCAAAAAGAACTCAGGAAGAATGCAGAGGAAACTAAATGAGTAGTTGTTCATAGAGAAGTGGAGGAGATGAAAACCAGAGTAGAGGTGATGACGCAGCCCCCAAATTGGGGCTTAGCCTGGGAAGGTCCGTGGTTTCCCCCAGGAAAGAATTCAAGGGCAAACCAGTGGTATTAGCAACTTTTATTGGACCAACAGTGTACAGCAGCAGCAGAAGTACTGCTCCCTGCAGAGTAGGCCTACCCCATAGAAAGTGTGCCCAGAATAGCTGCTCAGACGCAGTGCTGCAGTCATATTTATACCCGTTTTTAATTATGTGCAAACTAAGGGGCAGATTATGCAGACATTTCTAGAAAAAGGATGGTAACGTCTGGGTTGTTGGGTTGTTGCCATGGAAAGGGGTGGTAACTTCCGGTTGTTGCCATGGCAATGGTAAACTGACATGGCACACTGGTAGGTGTGTCTTATGGAAAGGTGCTTCCACCTCCTCCCTGTTTTAGTTAGTCCTCAATTTGGTCCGGTGTCTGGGCCCTGCCTCTGAAGTTGATTGCGTCCTGCCTCCTGAGTCACGTCCTGCCTCCATCCTCAGTAAGACCTCTCAATGTTTACCCTGTTAAAGCATTTTGATATTTGAATTGTACAAATGTATAACTCTTCAAACCAAATCCAACAAATAAAGTCTCTAAAGAAAAATATATAACTTTTTATAATTCTAGGAGTAACACCTACTTACGGAATATTTTAAAAGAACAGGGATATAAAAGCAATCCTTCATAATCCCATTTCTAGAAATAATCACTGTAAAGATTCTGGCATATTTCCTTTCAATCTCCCATGCAGATCTCCATAAATATTTGTGTCTATACTTACAAAGTTGAGATCACACTTCAATACACTTTTGTACTTTGCAGTTAACACTTGAGATAATTTTACAAGCATTTTATTATGTCATTTAAAACTCTTGATAATAATCATAATCTTAATATTCATTCTTCAAAAAACGTTAATAGTAAAGTCCATTATTCCTAACCATTGATTAAAAAATTCATTCCTAATTAACTGTAGCCTTAAGGCTTCCCTCAGGTTTCCCAAACAGGGCACATGCAGGACAATGCTTTCAGGACATCTTTGTCAGAGCTCCCTCAGCCATGCTGAAATGCTGTTTTGCCACATTAACAGGGAGCACCATGGGAACCACTCTAGAGGGTTTGTTAAGAGGAGAGGAGCTCAGAAGGCATATTCATGGAATACACAATTCTTGAACTTCATCAATGCCCAGGACTGTTGTCATTGTTGACTGACACAGTGCTGGGATATTTCACTACAGGCATACCTCAAAGATATTGTGGGTTCCATTCCAGACCACCACAATAAAGTTAATCTCTCAGTAAAGTGAGTCACCCAAATATTTTGATATCCCAGTGCATATAAAAGTTACATTTACACTATACTATAATCTATTAAGTGTACAATAGCATTATGTCTGAAACAACAATGAACATATTTTAGTTTTATAATAATTTATTGCTAAAAAATGCTAATGGTCATCACCATCTGAGTCTTCAGTGAGTGGTAATCTTTTTGCTAGTGGAGGGTTTTGCCTCCATGTTGATGGACGCTGACTCATCAGCGGGTGGTTGCTGAAGGTTGGGATGACTGTGGCAATTTCTTAAAATGAAAAAAAAATGAGGTTTGCCACATCAAATGAGTCTTCCTTTCATGAAAGATTTCTCTGTAGCATGCAGTGCTGTTTGATAGCATTTTACCCACAGTTGAACTTCTTTAAATATTGGAGTCAATGTTCTCAAGCCCTGCAGCTGCTTTATCAACAACATTTATGTAATATTTAAATCCTTTGTTGTCATTTTGACAATACTTACAGGATCTTCATTAGGAGTAGATTCCCTCTCACGTAACCACTTTCTTTGCTCGTTCATAAGAAGCAACTCCTCATCCACTCAAGTTTTATCATGAGACTGAAGCAATACAACTACATCTTCAGGCTCTATTATATATTTTCTCCTCTGCAAAAAGAGTTATGAAATAATTTTAAAATTTAAATGATTTTAAAGTACTTTTAAAATTTAAATGATTTTAAAGTAAAATAATTTGTAGTATACACTGAAGGCAAAAAGTGTTATATAAATGCTAAATAATAATATTGTAAAGCCCCTATATTCTGTGATAATGAGCACTATATAAATGCTAAGTGGAAAAGAATAGAAAATGTAGTGTTTCGAAATGGCTTATAAATGTATCAGGTTTCTTGTGTTTCATATGCACTATATATATAGGACTTGCAGCAAAAATGCAAAAGCAAATACTTATCTATTTTAATAATTGTATAGCTGTACTATTCATTATAACACTGTGACTCTCTAAATCATTTTGTACCTAAGAAGAAGAGGTCTTTTCCTGTTAGCTATTACTGTGAAACAAAATACCCCAAACCTTAGTGGCTTAAGTCATCAAGCATTTTATTACCTCTTATGATTCTGTGAATTACCCAGGCTCAGATGCCTGCTCCATATGGTTCACCTGAGGCTGGAGTCATTTGGAGGCTCAATTGGTTGGACTACCCAAGATGGCTTACTTGCATAGGTGGCAGTTGCTCATAGTGGTTGGCTGGTTGCTCAGTTGGGAGTCAACTGGAGTGTCTCAGTTTTCTTCTACTGGCTTCACTGTAGGGCTTGGGTTTCTCATACTATGGTGGCTGGGAACATTCCAAGCAGACCAGTCCCAATGTACAAGCAGCTTACTGAGCCTCTGCTTGCACTGTTTGCCAATGACCCATCAGCCAAAGTAAGTCATGAGACCAAGTCTAGAGTCAGTGTGGGGAGGACTATATAAGGCATGAATACCTAAAGGTGTGGTTAAATCAGAGCCATCATTGTAATAGTCCACCACAGAGCCATAGCCAGCCTTGAAAATATCCTCGTATCCCTGAGTGGCACAGAAACAGATGGGACCCTTGCCATCAACACCATCATAGCAAAGATCTAGAATAGAAGGTTGCAGGGCTTACAACAATCATTCCATACAAGGCACCTCAGTGATGACCTGTGTGGAATGGTAATGAAGGACCAGATGGGATAATAGTGACCCTAATACAAAATAGAACCATCACACCCATGGCACTCTATAACTCTCATGTATTACTTAAGAATACATTCAGCTGCAAGTAGCATAAAAGACAATTCTAATGACTTTAGAAAGAGACCTTTATTTCTCTCACATAATAAGATGTCCAAAAAACAGATGGTTACAAATTGGTTCTATAGTTCAACAATGTGTTTGTAATTTTTGGCTTTTCCTGCATGGTCATAAGATTGCTGCCCCAGCTCCAGGGATCATATCTGAGATCAAAGCAGGAAGAAAGAAGAGGGAGGGAGGAGCTAGCATCAAGCCATCTGAAATCAAAAGCTTTGCTAGAAATTTCCAGCTGACTTCTTCTTATGTCTCACTGGCCAGAATTGGTTACCCCAGCTGCAAAGAAGGCAAAGAAAAGGAATAGTCAGCTGGCACTTCGCTGCTCAATATGGTATCAAGAGTCTGTAAATAAAGGAGTTGGGGTGGGGGCAGTTATATTGGTTAAAAAAAAGTGTCTGTCTCTACCCTAAAACTTAGAAAAACAACCCAGAAACAAACTCAAAAACAACCCAGAAGTGTCTGAGATAAAAGCAGCTATAACCTTGATAGAATGAGATCTTGAAATCCGAATTAAGTTATTTTAAAGAAAAACAAAGTTACATACAGCTGCTATGATTAGATAATATCTCTGAAGGGTTATTCCCTGGCACATAGCAAGTGCCAATACATGTTAGCTGTTGTGGTAAATATGATGTAATAGTAGTGGTGCTGAAGATATTAATTATTATTACAACTGGCATGAGATAAATTAAGGTTTCCCTATTCATCCAACAAACACTTATTGAGCTTTTTCTTCATACAAGAACCTTTACAATTCAAATCTTAGGAAGCAAAGAGTTTAGTGGGTGATTCATATTATTAGGGGAAAAAACATTTATTTTGGATGCAGTATTAAGAGGAAAAGATAAGTGCTTTTGGAAAACATTCCTAATGATTCAGAATGCAATTCATTCTCCTTAAGAACATACCTATGGAGATGGAAAACACTGTGGTCTCAATTAAAATTTTTTTTGTGGTGAAAAGCACATATAACTCAATTGAAGGTCAGGAGTGCTGGCTCATGCCTGTAATCCTAGCACATTGGGAGGCTGAGGCAGGAGGATCACTTGAACTCAGGAGTTTTGAGACCAGCATGGACAACATAGTGCGACCTCATCTCTACTGAAATTAAAAAAAAAAAAAATAGCTGGGCATGATGGTGCATGCCTGTAGTCCCAGCTACTCAGGAAGCTGAGGCAGGAGGAACACTTCAGCCTGGGAGGTCAAGGCTGCAGTGAGCTGTGTTCACACCATTGCACTCCAGTCTAGGTGACAGAGTGAGACCCTGTCTCAAAAAACAAACAAACAAAAAAAAATTAAAAATATTCAATTGACCATCTTAGCCATTTTAAAGTGTACAGTATAGTAATAAAAAGATATTTTTGTTGCAGTAACATTTTCAGTAAAAATAACAGTAAATATTTGATTGGAATAAGGAAATATATAATATAGACCTGAAGAAAGAGGGAATATCAAACCTGTCTGTTTTGGGCTGTTTTATGATTTTCTTTAACTTGGTTTGACTTTTCGAGTCAGCAAAAGATTAAAGTTGATACAGAAACACACACACATCCCCCCGGACACACACACATTCCTCTGTTGGAATGTCTTGGTTATGGAGATGTGTCTGCTCTTTGTAATAGAAAAGGACACAGGTTTACTGCTAAGCCCAGGCAGGTTTGCTGGGCCAGCTCTAAGAGCTCAGAATGAAAACACAGAAGAAAAAATCAAAACAGGTAACATGCCCCAAAAGTGCACAGAACTTTTCTGAGTGTAAGAGAAGGGAACAGGGAGAAGAGAATGGGATGGAACTGTGAGGGGTGGAATGCCAGGGAGGATTAACAGGATGGATTTCAGGAGGGAACATGAGAGAAAACAAAACTCAAATGATGGTTTGGCATGATCCAAAAACAACAGATAGAAGGTAAATAAATGTTTCCTTAGAAGAGAGAACCTTGAAGTTTCCCCAAAAAAGGAAGAAAAAATGAAGGGAAAGAAAGAGAAGCAAAGGAGATGGGGAGAAAGGGGAAGGAAGGGAGACATCAATAAAGGCAAAAGCCAGAGAAAACAAGAAGCAAGTCTAACAGTTAGAATTCGAGTCCCAGAAGAAGAAGAATGCAAGAAATAGCACAATTCCAGGCAAGGAGAAGAGATACAACACTCAGGTTACTTTTAAGAAGAGGAAAGTACCTTTTGGCCTCAACTCCCAGCTTCCAGTAATTTGATAAAATGACGAACACAGAGGAAAGAAGAGAGGCAACTGCTGAGGTCCCCTAGGCCTTTGAGAAAACGGAGTTGTACCTTTGGCAACATAAGTGCATATCTACAAGAAAGGCGATAATGTAGACACCAAGGGAATGGGTACTGTCCAAAAAGAAATGCCTCACAAATGTCACCATGGCAAAACTAAAAGAGTCTACAAAGTTACCTAGCATGCTGTTGGCATCATTGTAAACAAACAAGTTAAGGGCAAGATTCTTGCCAAGAGAATTAATATGCATATTGGGCATATTAAGCACTCTAAGAGCCAAGATGATTTCCTGAAAGTGTGTGAAGGAAAATAACCAGCATAAAGAGGGAAGCTAAAGAGAAACCTGAAGCTGCAGCCTGTTCCACCCAGAGAAGCACACTTTGTAAGAACCAATGAAAAGGAGCCTGAGCTGCTGGAGTCTATTAACTGAATTCATGGTATAACAGGTGAAAAAAAAGAAGAAGAAGAAGACTTCTGGATTGTAAAGGAAGAAAGAGGAAGAGAAGGAGGAAGGGAAAGAGCAGGCAAAAATAAATTTGAAAGCTCTTTGAAACCACAAAATATGGTAAAATGAATAATTTTAAGAAGAGAGTACACTGTAAATCACATCTTAATATTAATATTATGTAAAAATTATGTATAAAAGCTAGAGATAAGTCTGTAGAACTCAAAGAGAAACAATGTAAACATTAGTACAAAAAAATGAATGCAATGTAGTTATTCAAATGTAGTTCAAAATATGTAAGATAAGGTAGAGAAGATATTAAATCATTAATAAGAATTGGGGAAGAAAAAAGAATCAGATTTCAAATTAAGCATTATATTAACTAGGATAATTCAGGTATCCACTAGGACCTGATAATTCAGGTCTCCATCTATGACAAACCCACAGCCAATATCATACTGAACAGGCAAAAGCTGGAAGCATTCTCCCTGAGAACTGAAACAAGAGAAGGATCCCCACTCTCATGACTCCTATTCAATATAATACTGGAAGTCGTAGCCAAAGCAATCAGGCAAGAGGAAGAAATAAAAGGAATCCAAATAGGAAAAGAGTGAGTTGAATGATCTCTCTTCATAGACAATATGATTCTATACCTAGAAATCCCCACAGCTTCTGCCCAAAGCCTCCTAGAATTGATAAACAACTTCAGTAAAATTTCAGGATACAAAATCAACGCACAATAATCAGTAGTATTTCTATACATCAAAAACATCCAAGCTGAGGGCCAAATCAAAAATGCAATTCTATGCTGCAGAAGGATAGTGTATAATAATAATAAAAGAATACAATTCTATTCACAACAGCCACAAAAAGAATAAAATACCTAGGAATACAGCCAATCACAGAGGTGAACAATCTCTCCAACAAGAGTTACAAAACACTGCTGAAAGAAATCAGAGACAACAAAAACAAATGGAAAAACATTCCATGCTCATGAGTAAGAAGAATCAATGTTGCTAAAATGGCCATACTGCCCAAAGCAATTTACAGATTCAGTGCTATTCCTATCAAATTACCAACATCGTTTTTCACAGAATTAGAAAAAACTCTTCTTAAATTCACATGGGTTGAGAGGGACCTCGCGCCGCCCCCTTGCCTCCGGCGCGCAGGGCCTCTAAGGGGCCGCTCCCGCCCTGCGCGGGCCTGGCCTGGACCGGAAGCTGCGCTGCGTGCCTGCTCCTGGCTCTGGGGGCGGGCACCGGGGCCAGCTGGACAGGGGCAAGAAGCACAAGGAGCGCAAGTCAGACAAACACTTCTATGAGGGGTATGTAGAGAAGCCCTTGAGGCTGGTCCTCAAAGTAGGAGGGAACGAAGTCACCGAATTCTCCACGGGCAGCTCAGGGCACGACTCCAGCCTCTTCGAAGGCGAATAAGATCATGACAAATACAAGGACAGAAAGCAGAAAAAGAGAAAGAAAGGAGAGAAGCAGGATCCAGGGGAAGAAAAAGAGAGAAAACGGAGGAGAGTTAGGGAGGATAAAAAGAAGCGAGATCGAGACCTTGTGGAGAATGAGGCAGAAAAAGACCTCCAGTGTCATGCCCGTGTGAGATCCTCTCACAAGCTCTTTAGCCAAACAAGAAGAAGTAGAACAGACACCCCTTCAAGAAGCTTTGAATCAACTGATGAGACAATTGCAGAGAAAAGACCCAAGTGCTTTCTTTTCATTTCCTGTGACTGATTTTATTGCTCCTGGCTACTCCATGATCATTAAACACCCAAGGGATTTTAGCACTATGAAAGAAAAGGTCAAGAACAATGACTACCAGTCGATAGAACTAAAGGATAACTTCAAACTAATGTGCACTAATGCCATGATTTACAACAAACCAGAGACCATTTATTATACAGCTGCAAAGAAGCTGTTGCACTGGGGGATGACTATTCTTAGCCAGGAAAGAATTCAGAGCCTGAAGCAGAGCATAGACTTCATGGCTGACTTGCAGAAAACTCGAAAGCAGAAAGATAGAACAGACTGGGGAGGATGGAGGCAGAGTGGGGAGGACGAAGGCTGCTGGCCCAGGGAGAGAGGACTCTGGAGATGCCGAAGCACAAGCCTTCCAGAGTCCCGGCAAAGAAAATTAAAATATAGACAAAGATATGCTTGAAGATAAGTTTAAAAGCAATAATTCAGAGAGAGAGAGCAGGAGCAGCTTGACCAAGTTATGAAGGAATCTGGAGGAAAGCTGACCAGACAGCCTGTGAACCGTCAGTGTGAATTTGAAAGAAGAAAACCAGATGGAACAACAACGTTGGGACTTCTCCACCCTGTGGATCCCATTGCAGAAGTGTGAGACTTGAATTCTGGACCTACAGTTCTTATGCACCACGTATGACTCCACGTTTACAAATATCAGCAAGGATCATTCTGATTTAATCTATCCAACCTATGGGGAAGACTCTGATCTTCCAAGAGATTTCAGCATCCATGAGTTTTGGGCCACATGCCAAGATTATCCATATGTTATGGCAGATAGTTTACTGGATGTTTTCACAAAAGGAGGGAATTCCAGGACCCTACAAGAGTTGGAGATGTCATTGCCTGAAGATGAAGGCCATACTAAGACACTTGGCCCAGCAAAAGAAATGGAGATTATAGAACTAGACCCAGCAGGGCATCTGGACCCCAATACTCAAGACAGGCTCACACACTGAAAGTAGTAAACTTTGGCGCTCCAGTTGAAGTTTTTGACTCTGAAGAACCTGAAGTATTCAGAAGAAACTTGATGAGGCCACCAAATTGTTCAGGGAGCTCCAGGAAGCCCGGAACGAGCATTTGAGCACCAGACCCCCTCCCAGTATGATCTGTCTCTTGGGTGCCTCCTGCAGAGAAATGCATCTCACTGAACAAGTGACCAATAATCTTAAAAACTTGCACAGCAAGTAACTCCAGGTGATATTGTAAGCCTGTATGAATTTCAAAAAGCAATGGGGATTTCCATTCCTTCCCCCAGCATGGAAAACAATTTTGTAGATTTAACAGAAGATCTTGAAGAACCTAAAAAGATGGATGTTGCTGAGTGTGGACCTGGTGGGAGTTGAAGCACATGGTATTTGATTATATATTATGTATATACTTTTTCATTCTTAACTTAGAAATGCTTTTCAGTAGATATTAAATATTTGCAAATTGTGTTTTTAGTTAAACTTTGGAACAGTGAATTTGAATGTTCCAGAGGGGAAAAAAATAAACAAAAATAAATAAAATTCGCATGGAACCAAAAAAGAGCCCGAATAGCTAAAGCAATCCTAAGCAAAAAGAACAAATCTGGGAGTATCATATTATCCGACTTCAAACTATACTACAAGGCTACGGTAACCAAAAAAAAACAGCATGGTACAAAAACAGACACATAGACCAATAAAACAGAGAACCCAGAAATAAAGCTTCACATTTACAACTATCTGATCTTCAACAGAGTTGACAATAACAAGCAATGAGAAAAGGACTTCCTATTCAATAAGTGATCCTGGGATAACTGGCTAGTCATACACAGAAGACTGAAACTGGACCCCTTCCTTTCACTGTATATACAAATCAACTCAAGATAGATTAATACTTAAATGTAAGACCTCAAACTATACAAACCCTAGAATAAAACCTAGGAAATACCATTCTAGACATAAACCTTTGCAAAGATTTCGTGACAGTCTCCAAAAGCAGCTGCAACAACAAAGTAAACAGACAATCTATAGGAGAAAATACTTGTAAACTATGCATCTGATAAAGGCCTAATATCCAGAATATGTAAGGAACCTAAACAAATCAACAAGTGAAAAACAACCCCATTAAAAAATGGGCAAAGGATATGAACAGACTCTTTTCAAAAGAAGACACATATATCCAACAAGCATAGGAAAAATGCTCAACATTACTAATAATTAGAGAAATGCAAATCCAAATCACAATGAGACACCATCTCACACTAGTCAGAATGGCTATTAACAGATATTTGGGAGGCTGCAGAGAAAAGAGAACTCTTACACATTGCTGGTGGGAATGTAAATTAGTTCAGCCACTGTGGAAAGCATTTTCGAGATTTCTCAAAGGACTTAGAACTACCATTCAACCTAGCAATCCCATTACTGAGTATACACCCAAAGGAATATAAATCATTCTACCAAAGAGATACATGAATTCATATGTTCATTTTGGCACTATTTATAATAGCAAAGACATGGAATCAACGTAGATGCCCATCAACAATGGACTGGATAAAGAAAATGCAGTACACCATGGTATACTATGTAGCTATAAAAAAGAACAAAATTGTGCCCTTGCAGCAACATGGATGCAGCTGGAGGCCATTATCTTGAGTGAATTAGCACAGGAACAGAAAACCAAATATTGCATGTTCTCATTTATAAATGGGAGCTAAACGTTGAGTACACATGGACACAAAGGGGAGAATAGACACCAGGACCTACTTGAGGATGGAGAGAGGGAGGAGGTTGAGGGTTGAAAAACTACCTGTCAGGTATCATGCTCATTACCTGGGTGATGACATTATTTGTACGCCAGTCTCCAGCAACATGCAATTTACTCAAGTAACAAATATGCACATGTACCCCCTGGACCTAAAATAAAAGTTGAAAAAGGAAAAAAAAGAGATAATCTTTCTGCTGTAACAAACAAAGCTGAAAAAACACCAGTGACTTAATAAGAGTTTATTTTGAGCACATAAAAAAAGTTCACAGTTTTCATTTTTAAGATAGAAATGGAAAACTTTCAAATCTGGAGACACCGATTTTACTCTATTTTTCATAGTAAGACTTGTGGATGGCTCTTCCTGGAATAATTAACAAGAATAGCAAAACACACAGGATTTCAGCATATCCATGAAAGAAAGTAACTGGCTTATTCTAATTCAAGTAGAAATGCAGTGTTTTATAAAGATGTCATAAATCACTTACAAAAGGAAGATTTACTCAATAAATAAGACAATTACATAGCTATTGGAGAAAAAGTAAAGTTGAATGTCTACATTGCTATATGCCAAAACAAATTTCAAATAGATTAAAGATTTAAATATAAAAATAAGCATAGCAACTAGAAAAAAAATAGTTGAATTTCTTTTACTTTACACTGGAGAAAGACATTCAAGCATGAAATCAAAGGCAAAAGCCATGAAGAAAAATATTAACAAATGAAACTTATGAAAACATTTAAAATTCAAATATATTTTTTTAAAGCCATAATTCATTTAAAAGCAAAAAACAAAGTAGACAAATAGTTGAGTCATATCTGACAGATGATTTGATATATAAAGAGCACTTATGAATCAATAAAAGACACTCAACATAAAAAATGGGCAAAGACAAGAATAGTCAAATCATACATAATACATGCAAATGGCAAATAAACGTAAAAAATCTTCAACTTTGCCAATAATTAAAGATAGGATATTTGCCTACAAATTAGCTAAAAATGTTTACAATGATAATAGCAGTGTTTTTGAATAAATAGAAAAATGAACACTCTCAATCAAAGCTGGTTATGAGTATAAATTGGTATAATTCTGAGGGTAATTTAGCAATATGTATAAATATGCTTAAGCTAAAGATATACTTGACTTAGTAATTCTCTAATCAATCTGTTCTCAGGATTAATTATTAATTTATTGTTGTTTAATTATAAATTATTTTTTGAAAATTTATGATTTTGAAAATTTTATATACAAAACTGAAAATATTATATACAAGTTTATTCAACTTATTTTTGACAGCATTATTTTTAATAATAAAAAATGGAAAACAACATAAATGAGTCACAATTTGGAAATTATAGCCCAATCATATGTAGGTATTAAAAGTCATGTTTTTTAAAGAATATTTCAAAATATGGGAAAGTATACTCACTGCAATGCTTATGTGGGCAATACAAACCTTATAACTTGTGTGACCATAATTTGTATAAATTGCCAAAGATTTGTTCTTATCCTCCACTGATTTCCCCCTAGGTCATAAGAGACATTCAATAATTTTTTTTTGAATTTAAAAGAAATGAAATTTTCTGTACACAAAAACAAACTATTAGTTTACTCTAAGTGGCAGGCTTATAGGCGATTCTCATTTCTTCTGTATGATTTAGTTTTCAAGTTTCCACAGAGAATGTTTACAACTTTTATGAGTAAAGAAATCTTATTGATTTGGGTTATAAAACATGATCCCAGAATATACTAGAGGAGCTAAGAGAAAAGGAATTTTTTGTTGTTATGTGAATTTTTAAGAGACAATTTTTAACTCTAGTCTACCAAAATATTGCCTTTCATATCCTACAATAGGCTGCACTCTGGAGCAATGTGCTGTAATGTGTGCTAGTGTTGGCAGCTAACATCACAGCATCTTACTCCATGAATGGATGAAAACTAAACTCTGAAGAGGGAAGTGAGGCAAGCCTGCCCATTGTATTAAAGGCAACTTAAAAGTGACCCATGAATCCATCATGGGTGTTTATGTTCTCTTGATCCTTAATTAAGAAATAGGCTGGGCATGGTGGCTTATGCCTATAATCCCAGCACTTTGGGAGGCCAAGGTGGGCGGATCACTTGAGGTCAGAAGTTCAAGACCAGCCTGGCCAACATGGTGAAAACCCATCTCTACTAAAAATACAAAATTAGCCAGGCGTGGTGGCGAGCACCTGTAATCCCAGCTACTCGGGAAGCTGAGGCAGGAGAATCGCTTGAGCCCAGGAGGCAGAGTTCACAGTGAACCGAGATCGCGCCACTGCACTCCAGCCTGGGCAACAGAGTGAGACTGTCTCAAAAAAAAAAAAAAAAAAAAAAAAAAGGAAAAGAAAAAAAATAGTTGAATGCAAAACTTGAACATAAAGTGTAAAGATGAGAGCCTTTTATCTTCTTAGCCTAGTTCTGGTTTATGCAGGTGATGTCACCCTGGCAACCACATAATGGGGCCATTACTTTGTATTTATAAATTGTACACCAGAGGAACTGGAGACAGATCAAGAGGAAAATGTGTTGCCCGTACTGTGTACAGCACATATTTACTTAGCCTGCTTGTCCTACAATATTCTAACCCCCATGAGAACAGAAAAGTTTTCTTCCATCCTATGTGCATCTACTTTGGAGCAGAGGGAATAGCACATAGTGAAAGAAGCCAAACACAAAAAGCCACATATTGTATGATTCCATTTGTGTAAAATGTTCACAACAGCCAAATCCATGGAGACAGAAAATCAATTAGCATTTGTCTGGGCTGGAGGGAGGGGGAACAGGGAGTGACTGTTAACAGGTACAGATTTCTTTCTGGGGTGAAGAAAGTATTCTGGAATTAGACAGTAATGATGGCTGCACAATTCTGGGAATACACAAAACCCACTGAATGGTAGACGTGAAAATGGTAAACTTTATGGCAAGTAAATTATATCTAGATTTAAAAGAAAAACATATTGAATAGAATATAAAAGACTGGAAAGACTCATGTGGCGGAGGCTGGGTCTGGCAGAGGGAGGAACTACTCCAGCTGGGTCTACCCAGCCTAATCATCCTTCTGTGGCAAATACTAGAGGGGTTCTTAACCCTGCAATTCTAAAAACAGCAAAAAGATTCCTTGATAACAAACGACTCAAACTACACTATATGCAAGGACAAAAGACATGTTGTTACATAAAAAATATTTTTATGTCTATCTGTAAATTTAATATATAAAAGATACGTTAGTATCTAAACATTCCAATGTTTACCTCCAGTTTCTCTTCACTAAAAAGTTGATGGGGAGAATTATAAGGCCTGATTAGGGCATAGTTTCTGTTACAGAACAGTCTGGATTCAGACCCTCTCCTTTTCTGTTGATTCTTTCCTATGGGACACACTGTTAGTGGTTTCACGGCATCTGCTCTGGAATCTGTTATTTTCTACATTTTAATGAAAATGTTGCACTAATTGCTGACATCTTTGCACCATTATTGATTGTCAACATTTGACCACAAACATTTATGTCTTCCTAAAGAACAAAATGCCAGAATGAAATAATTAATATGTGCTAAGCCAAGTGTGTGTGCTCACAATTTAAAAACTGCGTGTCATAAACGTGTTTAGGCCCAATGAAATGAACTACAAAAAGAAGGCAATACGTTTTATCCAAGTATTTTGGATGCAAATAGATATGAAGGCAACTGTAATTCATACCTCATTAAAGAATAATTGCAAAAACGTCACCAAACTGTGACATAATTATTGAACCATGTCAAAAACTCATATTTTTTTTATTTCTTCTGCACGTTACTAGGAGAATGAGCAAGTGTGGGGAAGAAAATAAATTATTTAAAATAAATGAAAGTTATATAACAATTGAGTCACCTCCAGTGTTTAATAAAGCATTTAGCCTGGTTATTATTCCATGCATGAAAACTGCAAGTTTAATATTTCTGTTAACTATGAGTGAAGTTTAAAATTCAAAATCTGTAGTCAAAAAGATAAATCAAGACCACACAGCCACAATTTATTTTTTCTTTTGGATAGGGTCTCGCTCTGTCACCCAGGCTGTAGTGCAGTGGCATAATCATAGCTCACTGCAGCCTCGAACCCCTGGGTTCATGCAATCCCATCTCAGTCTCTGGAGTAGCTGGAATTACAGGCATGAGCCATCGTGCCCAGCCCAGATATGATTCTTAAAAGGATCAATTAAATAAAATGTATTATAGATGGAATTAAATAAAAAGTTTAATAAAACAGATCACTTGCAAGACTAGTATTTGGCCACTGATCCTATTAAATTCCAGTTTATTAGAGAATGAATGCATACATATTCTGCACGCATCAAAAACAATACATTTATTAAAAACCCTGGGATATAAATTTTTATGGTAACTGAAGATTTAAGCATGAAAAACTACTTCTAGAGGTGTTTCCAAAACATTCTGGTGTCAGAGAGCCCTGAAAATAGTTTTTGATACTCTCTAGGATACAGTTTCACGGGTTGTTATATTCTGAAGTACTTACTACTTTGCTGTCTATGTGGTTCGGTGAAATGTCATTCCTGATATGAATCTCTCCGCTTATGTAACTGATCAGTGGACTGAAATCTGCAGGTTCTTCTATTCCATTTCATCAACATGGGCTTGCCTGTCACCTTCATTGTGCTTCTTCAAAGAACAGTTGCCACCTTATCTGGGAACAGCTCTCTTTATGAGTGCTACTCATGTGAAATAATCTTTCACCACTGAGGCCACTATTTCCTTAGCAAAAGAAGAGACATTTATCTTGCTGCTAATGGATAATTAATTTTAAAAATGTATATTATGACACAATTTTTTAAAAAAGGAAAAGGCAAGCTGGACAATGGGACTAAATGTCCCTTCTTCAAATTGACTCCTATTTAGCTCTTCCAATGTCATCCCAAACACAGATAACTTTTCTTTCATGAATTGTTCTCCTGAATGATTTATACATGTCGTGTTATCTGAGGCTCTCTCTGGGTCCCCTGGTGGATTTAGCCAGCCATCAGCTGCATAATTGTTAATTTTAACACTATAAAAGGTTCTGATGCAGAAGAGATATGGTGTTGGTAGAAGAATTAATTGAAATGTATCTCCCAATCACACTAGTCTCCTACTGCTGGTTTCCCATACACAGAAATTATACTTTAGATTTAAGGTTAAAATAAATTTACATCTTTGCTGCTCATAAAGCTTTGAGTCTAGTGGTAAATGGAAATGTTAATTGTTTCTAATACCCATGAAGGTTTTTCACCCTGAGAACAATTCCGGTAACTGTACAGGTCACGGTCCAATGCACGTTTTCATAGGTAGAGTAGCTCTTGCAGTCAAAGGCTGACAAGAGATAGGGTGGGAAGGAAGGTTATGGGAAAAAAATGAGGGAGAGTGGAGAAACTGGGAAGGCTGCGAAGTAAGAAAATAATATGTGTCACTTATTACTAAATCTGCAATCCCTCTTTTACACTTCTCAACAAGAATGATAATTTTCCAGATTTTCCATGCAGCCAAAAAAAAAGCAATAAGAGGTAACATAGGCAACATTTCAGCCCTGACATTTCCTTTTTAAGAATATAAGTATGCATGAGATATGGTCAAAAAGAAGGCCTTTGGAATAATTATATTTAAATATTTGAGGTGATGGAAAACAAAAGTGTGTTAAATGTAAGTGGTGGGTCACTTTAATTTTCCGGTCTACAAATCCCAAATCTGAATGCTTCCAGGATACTCCTCTCAGCTAAGTAGGCAACAAAGTTATATGTATTCATGATGTGTGGGGCACAGTGAAAGGCTTGATCCATGGAACTCATAGATGGGAGTAAAGCAATATATCAAGCCTGGCCAGGCATGGTGGCCCACGCCTGTAATCCCAGGACTTTGGGAGGCCAAGGCAGGCAGATTTCTTGAGCCCAGGAGTTTGAGACCAGCCTGGGCAACATGGTGAAACCCATCTCTACCAAAAAATATAAAAATTATCCAGGCATGGTGATGAGTGCCTGTAGTTCCAGCTACTTAGGAGGCTGAGTTGGGAGGAGAGCTTGAATCCGGGAGGCAGAGATTGCAGTGAGCCAAGATCGATCATGCCATTGTACTCCAGCCTGGGTGACAGAGTGAGACCCTGCAAAGGAAGGAAGGAAGGAAAGAAGAAAGAAAGAGAAAGAGAGAGAGAGAGAGAAAGAGAGAGAGAGGGAGGGAGGGAGGGAGGGAGGGAAGGAAGGAAGGAAGGAAGGAAGGAAGGAAGGAAGGAAGGAAGGAGAGAAAGAAAGAAGAAAGAAAGAAAGGAAAGAAAGAAAGAAAGAAGGGAAAGAAAGAAAGAAAAGAAAGAGAATATTCTGAGCCAAGCCTTTCATACTCATGCATTTACCCATTTCATACAACAAACATTTCATAAGCATCTAGTAAGTGCCTGTCACTGTCACTGTGCTATATAAACCGAGTCCTTGCCCCTGGAGAGTTCACAGATTAACAGAAGAGAGGGGTAAGTGGAGCAGTAATCACAAGAGAATAGCAGTGCAGAGGAGGGACACCAGAAACCAGCATTTAAACTCTCACTTCTCATTGTTTTCAAGTAAAAAAGTCACCAGACTTTACAAATCGGGACAATTTCCAGACATATTTCCTACATACCAAAACCTTCACCAGTGCCCATTTCTTCCCAGTTTGCAGTTCTCAATTGACATACACACTATTTTCAGCAGACTATAACCAGATCCTCAAAACTGCAAGAAAGTTTCAAAGCCTCATCACCTTGAGCTGACTTTAACCAGTTCATCTAGTCTGTTTTCCTTAAACATGAAAGCCAGAAACTGCTAAGTGCTGAAGGCTATTATCACTTGAATGACACTTTATCATTTAGTAAAATACTAAACATTTTGCTTTCATAATGCATATTGAGTCTTCAACCAACAAAAAGAGCATGCTCAACTTTTTTATTGTTTTTTTATTTTGTTTTGTTGTTTTGTTTTGGCCACACAGCAGATTTGAGGATTATATACCTATAATTTTAGGACACAAAGGCTCAGCTTCTTAAAGTCTAAAGAAATGCCAACTGATCTGTGAACGTTCTTATATATTACGTATTATATTAAAACATAAGAGTATCATCCAAGTGTTTCTATAGTGAAGCTCAAAGATGGTCTTTGGGTCAGGAATGGGGAAAGTTTACTCATTGCTATTGGTAGAATAGAATTCCTTGTTCACAGCAATCTACGTCTTTAATTGCACTTTCTTTTTAAAGCCCAGTGTAGGTAGGTAGATCTATACACAGAATTACAATGCAGCAATTGAGAACCAATGATTTTCTAAGCCAGGCATATTGGGTATTTAATTTTGCTTCTTAAATCCATACTATGGTGGGTTCTTATGAACACAATAGAGAAAGAGTTATGTCCTAATCAGTTTATAAGATAGTATAGGAAAAAATGCATAATAGACCAACCAGATGCGTAAATACAGCAATACAAAGAAACCTAATCTACTGCAAAGCTATAATTTAATCCTTCTATAACACAAGCCTATTGAAAACTGGCTTTATAAATGGCTCAAAAATAGCATAACTGAACTTTATAGTCTTGGTTCAGTTTAAAGTATTCAATTCTAACTTATAATTTATATAAAGTATTATTTAATTTTTACATAAAATTGAATCATGAATTATATCTAAGGAGGAGAAGATTTATGAATAATAACATAAGTATTTAAAAACAGTGCAAGACCAAGTTCTTAATATCAGCAAGGGTGAAAATGATTTGCACATGCAGTCGGGTCTGTGTGTATATGTATGTTTGTCTAACAAAGGGTTAAGATGCCTGAGTGTCATGTGAAACAGCAAAAAGTCACCTTTTAAAATTTTGTTTTATTACTGGATGTGGATAACAATAATCAAAGAATCAAGGTTACATTTATAAAATAATATCTATGAAACAAAATGACCTTGTAACCAATAAAGATATTATTTGACTTTTTAAAAACAGAATTATGAAAAGCTGAGCTGATGAATACACTGGGACTTAAAAATAGGAGAATAAAATAAAGAGAAGCCTGTCGTGATTTTAGCAAGAATTGCCTTTTACTCAAGCCCAACATTCACAATGTATAAGCTTTTGTTAGTGAGCTTTGAGTTCCTCTTCCTAAGATTTCGTTGCACATAGTCATCTCCATTGGTTTTCTCAATTATTTATCCATAGTCTCTTTCGACCCTCCTCTTTTTTTCTTTCTAACCCTCCCTTATTTCCCCCCTTCCTTCCTTCCTTTCTCTCTCTCTCTTTCTTTCTTTTTTTTGACGGAGTTTCGCCCTTGTTACCTAAGCTGGAGTGCCATGGTGCGATCTTGGCTCATTGCAACCTCCGCCTCCCGGGTTCAAGCGATTCTCCTGTCTCAGCCTCCCGAGTAGTTGGAATTACAGGTGGGCGTCACCATGCCTGGCTAATTTTTTGTATTTTTAGTAGAAACAGGGTTTCACCATGTTAGCCAGGCTGGTTTCGAACTCCTGACCTCAGGTGATCCGCCTGCCTCAGCCTCCCAAATTGCTGGGATTAAAGGCATGAGCCACTGCACCCAGCCTCTTTCTTTCTTTAATCGTCCTCCCCACCATAACGGAATGAAGTTGAAACAAACATAATTTCATCAGCTTTCAACAACACTGCCCTTCCTTGGATGCAGATTAAAACCCTTTGCCCAAACATATCAGAAACATATGAAGAGTCAGTAAAGAAGAGAGTTATGAAAAGAAATAACTCTTCTTAATTGCACTTCCTCGATCCCCTTTTTGACTCCCTGTAAATAAGGAAGCTCAGGTATGTTTTATATGTATATTCCAGACAGCACATATATATTATATATATCAGAGTCACTTGATCAATAATGTTTTGCCTAATGAAAGCCAGTGTGTGAAAGTCAAACATCCCGGCTGTTATGTTGATTCATTACTTTGCTGGATAATGTCACCACCTGTAATCGAAGGAAAAGTTCATGAAAAAGAAGGAAAACTTCTCAAAATAAAATAATGAATACTAACTGCATCAGAAATAGATCCTGGCTATAAAAGCAGAGGTGGACATATATAGTACACATTGGAATAAAATAGTCATATGTCTATGATGGTGGGAAAGAAGGTAGTGGAGAGGAATTTGGGGCTCTGCAGATCATGGTCATGTTCTATGTTTAGTAGATGAGTGGCTCCTGACAATCTTTTAATTTCTCCATATCAAATTCAAATATACCATCAGTTTAGTGGGAGTTCCACACCTAGGGACTCTGGTAGGCCATCCTAAGTCCTTGTGGATAGAAGGTGAGATGAGTTGGCCCCATGCCTGCTAATCATTGCTCTAGGCTTCCAGACCCCACCTCATAAGAATTTAACCTCTGAGCCCAGATGCCTCTACAGGGAAGCAGAGAAAGCAGGAAGAGGGGTGGAAGAAACATTATGCAATTATCTCAGAAGATTGAGCATTATCTAAAGGAGTTGTTTAAATTATTAGTTCTGACAGATGTCTAAATTGGATTAGACATCCTAGGAGGTGAGAGCTCATTAGGAAAACTAGATAGATTTTCAAGAAAATACAGAAAACTTGGGCTGGGTGTGGTGGCTCACGCCAGTAATCCCAGCACTTTGAGAGGCCGAGGCGGGTGGATCACCTGAGGTCAGGAGTTTGAGACTAGCCTGGGCAACATGGTGAAACCCTGTCTCTACTAAAAATACAAAAATTAGCTGGGCATGGTGGTGCATGCCTGTAATCCCAGCTACTCGGGAGGCTGAGGCATGAGAGTCGCTTGAGCCGAGGAAGTGGAGGTTGCAGTGAGCTGAGATTGTGCTGCTGCAGTTCAGCCTGGGCAACAGAGAAAGACTCCATCTCAAAAAAAACAAAAACAAAAACAAAACCCAAAATACAGGAACCGTATATATGTGTATATATGTGGGTGTGTGTGTGTATGTGTGTGTGTATACATACAAACACACACAGAGAGGGAGAGAGAATATATATAGTATATATATTTTGTATATATATAGTGTGTATATATATTCTGTATATATATACACTGTATATAGTCTATATATATTCTGTATATATATACACTATGTATATAGTCTATATATATTCTGTATGTATATACACTGTGTTTATATATACAGCATTTATTGTAGATGATCGAGATGAGAGACAGAGTTGGAGAAGGATTTGAGAGAATTTGAAAAGCCAAGGGCAATAATGACTACAGTAAATAATAATGTATTGTATATTTCAAAATTGCTGAGAGTACATTTCAAACATTCTCACCACAAAAAAATGATAAGTATTTGAGATGATGGATATGTCCATTAGCCTGACTTAATACACATGTATATATATACCCTATATATATAGGGTCTTGCTCTGTTGCCCAGGCTACAGTGCAGTGGCATGACAACAGCTCACTGTAACCCTGAACTCTTGGGCTTAAGCACTCCTTCTGCCTCAGAGAAACTACATTTTTTATGCACATCTTTGTTGTAGAGTAGGTTAAGTTTGTATCCCTGTCACAGATCTCAAACTCTTGCATCTTGTACTAATTTTGGAACATAAGCTTATGATCAATTAATATTTCTTTTCTTATTAGTATTTATTAGTTTGCTAAACACACCTAGAAACTTTTGGATTAAGAAGTATGGTTTTGCCTCAACTATACTATAGCTCGCCCCATAGTTTGCTACTGTTGAAGGAACAATAACATGGCTTTGTGTGTCTTTTGCCTGTGAATTTTGTGTAAGTTCCTGTCATTGACAGAGTCTAACCTAAAATCTTGCTAGCAAAGGATTCAGGAAAACGAAGCTGCTTGTTTTCTAAGGCCTGAGATGCAGAAGAATGACAGAAGAGAACAGAAAGTGATCTAACTTGTGAACAGACAATAGACATTCTGCTTTTCTTGAATAGTCTGGTCGTAAACCTAGCCACTTCTCTAAAATAGTAACACAACTATTTTATATACCTCTTTAAAAAACTTCTTACATAAGGCCTTATATTGTAGCCATTTGTGAATGTGAATTGTTTCTCAGGAGATGTAAGGTTCTAAAAATTTAGAACAGTGCTCTGAATATAACAGATTCAGTACATATTTATTAAATAAATGGGTATATTAATTTTTTAAAGTAGGGTTTTGTTTTGTTTTTAAGACTGTAGTCCTCAAAAACTCTACCAGTCTCCTGGCTGATACCAAGATTTCATTTCCTATAAATTTTAAAGTAATAATATTCTGCTTAGACTTGTATTCTTAAGTATCATGTCTGTATATAAAAATGGAATTAAACTTTATTTGATTCCATTGATTCTGAATTTATAGGTTAATCCACAGTTTGAAGTTTACTTCTGCAACAATTGTTTTTCAAAAAAGTCCTCAAAAAATTAACATCATAAACAAAATTTCAAGGTGCCATTTCAGCCATATTTTCAGCACTTCGTTGCTTTAATTGCTGATATGTAAATATGTATACATAATCAGAACTGCTTGCCTTTTGTTATCCTTAAAGGATGTGTGGAGGACTTATTCCTGGGGCTGGTTGCCAGGATCCAGGTGGAGGCAGTTCTCATGATGGTTAGAAGCACAGGCTTCTTGGTGGTCTCCATGTGCCAGCTGCGTCCATACTGACCACCCTGCTCAGGCAGACTAGAAAGTCTATTTAATTCTTCTCTGAGTCTCGTCATTTTCATCTGTGAAATGAGAATCACACCTTTAACCTCATTGAGTTGTTGAGTGAATCAAGGGCAGCCGGTGCTTGCTCAACTTCCAGCCCAGAACCTGAGGCTCAGCTGTGGTCAGCATATAAGTTTCTTATTGCTGCTGTAACAAACTGCCACAAACATGATGGATTAGAACTGCACAAGTGTATTAGTTTACCATTCTGGAGGCTGGAAGTCCAAAGTTTGACTCTCTAAGCTGAAGTCAAAGTGTTGGCAGGGCAGCATTCCTTCTGAAGGTTCTAGGGAAGAGTCTGTCTCCCGACCTCTTCAGCTTCTAGAGACCACCCGCATTCCCTGACTCGGTCTCACAGAACCCAGACTTCTTCTGCGGTCACATCATCCCTAACTCTGACTCTCCTAATTTTTTCATAAAGAACCCTTGAGATGATGTTGGGTTTACTGAGATAATCCAGGATAATCCCCCCATCTCAGAGTCCTTAACTTAATCAACCCTGCAAAGACCCTTTGGCCAGGTAAGGTAACACCCCTGCAGAGTCCAGGGATTCAGCTGTGGATATCAGCAGGGGTCCTTATTGAGCCTAGCACAGTCAGTATTATGATTGTGGTCACAGTTGGCTGTTTTGCTTTATTACAGAAGGTAATCTCTTTGTTTTCTTTCTTTTTCTCTTCCTTATAAGGACAGAATGCAAACATTTATCCTCACCTGATTGGAGATCTGTCCTCAAGGAGATCAAAACTAATCTTTTGGTTGTTAATGATTCAGGCTCTGGTTCTAATGGACACCAGCATTTATTGTAGATGATCCAGATGAGAGACAGAGTTGGAGGATTTGAGAGAATTTGAAAAGCCAAGGGCAATAGTGACTACAGTAAATAATAATGTATTGTACATTTCAAAATTGCTGAGAGTACATTTCAAATATTCTCACCACAAAAAAAGATAAGTATTTGAGATGATGGATATGTTCATTAGCCTGATTTAATCATTCCACACTGTATACATATATCATAATATTGCTTTGTACTCTGTAAATACATATAATTATGATTTGTCAATTTACAGTAAAGTTTTAAAAAGGAAAAGAAAGGCCAAGGGCAGAACGGAGCTACCTCAGGTTAGAGGAAAGGGAGGGCTGCAGGAAGAAGAGAGGGCTATGAGTCCTGGAGTAGCAAGGCTGCCAGCAATATGGTCCCCTAATAAGCCTGTCCTTTACCTAGTGCATCTCATCTCTAAACCACCCTTCCATATTCTGCCTATAATGCTGGAACTGAGACTTCGCAAATTTCATTTCCCAGATTCCTTTGACAATGGGTATTCTTGTTATGTTCCAGCAATAAGAGGCTTCATATGGACTGAGCGAATGTGTTCTTCCAAAATGCATATATCAATCAAAATAATTCATATATTAAAATCCTAATTCCAATGTAGTTGTATTAGGAGGTGCGGCCTTTGGGAGATAATTTAGGTTATGAGGGTAGAACCCTCATCAACGGGACTAATGCCCATATAAAAGGGACCCTAAAGAGCTCTCTAGCACTCTTTCCACCATGTGAGGATACAATAAGAAAATGGCAGTCTGAACCCGGAGGAGGGCAGCTATGGTCTGAATGTTTGGGTCACCCCCCCAGATTCATATTGAAACCTAATCCCCAGTGTGATAGTATTAAGAGGTGGGGCCTTTTGGAAGGTGACCGATTAATTAGAGTGAAGCCTTCATGAATGAGATTAGCATCCTTATAAAAGAGGCCTGATGGAAGCTTGTTTGCCTTTTCTACCATGTGGGAACACAGCTAGAAGATGCCATTTATAAACCAGAAGAATGAGCACTCACCAGATAGCACATTTGCTGTTGCTTTGATCTCTTGATCTTGACTTCCCAGCCTCTAGAACTGGTAATTTGTTATAGCAGTCCAAGCTGACTAAGACAAAGTTTTACAGGTAAATTAAAAGATGGGAGGCCAGTTGCAGTGGCTTATGCCTGTAATCCCAGCACTTTGGGAGGCCGAGGCATGTGGATCATTTGAGGTCAGGAGTTTGAGACTAGCCTAGCCCACATGGTGGAACCCCATTCTACTAAAAAATACAAAAATTAGCCAGGCAGTAGTGGCACACGCCTGTAATCCCAGCTACTTGGGAGGCCGAGGCAGGAGAATTGCTTGAACCTGGGAGGCGGAGGTTGTGGTAAGCTGAGATCGCACCACTGCGCTCCAGTCTGGGCAACAGAGTGAGAGCCTGTCTCAAAAAAAAAAAAAAAAAAAAAAAAAAAAAAATTAAAAGATGGAAGGTAGACAACATAGTGAAACTCCATCTCTATAAAAATTTTTTAAAAATTAGCTGAGCGTAGTGGCATTTGCCTGTAGTTCCAGCTACTCGGGAGGCTGTGGAGGGAAGATTGCTTGAGCCCAGGAGGTTGAGGCTGCAGTGAGCTGTGATTGTGCCATAGCACTCCAGCCTGGGCAACAGAGCAAGACCTCATCTCAAAAATAAAATAAAATAAATAAATAAATAAATGTAGGAAGAAAAGTTTTCCTTCCTTCCCCTTCTCCTTCTCCTTCTCCTTTTCCTTTTGTTCTTCTTCCTTGTCAGCATGCCCCCAGAAAATGCAGTTGGCTTCAGCTTTCATCTTTTTATTCAATCAGAACCAGCCTCATCATTCTAGAGATACTAGTAGCAGCCAAGTGGTACCACCTACTCAGAGGTGTAAGAACCAACCCTGCCTGACCTCTCATGGGCTCCTAGAGTCTGGTAAAGGCCATTTTTCCTTTTCCTTTTCTAATACTAAAGGTGGTAGTAGCTTCCTACTTAGTACCTCTGGTTACCTAGCAATCCTTCTTTGCTCTTTCAATCCTTAACCACCTGTGTAACAAATTCCATATCAAGTCCCTTCTACAGAAACCTAGTGGTTTCTGTTTTCCCAATGGGATCTGACTGATATTCAGGTTGCATTCAGATTGTCCTGAGTCCAGGACACAGCATGGAAGCCAGAGAGGGCCCTTGGACTTGAAGGGTTGATTGGTACTGCATAAAACCCAGGAAATTTGAAAATACCTCCCAGAATAATTGATGATAAACATTCTGCCAACCTGGCTGGCCTCAAAGCCTAGATCAAGTTTGTTCATAGAAATAAAGAGAAGCAGTATTTATTTCATTCCCAACAATTGAAATTGAAATTAAAACCAACTATACTATTATTAAAAATCACCTGCAGAAAAACGTATTTCCTTGCTTCTCAGTTTTAAGAGAAACTTAAATATGCCTAAATTCCCCAAATTTGTTACCTATTTCCAAAAGAATAGGAATGTAAGGTTTTCATTTCAAGAACTAGTCTTACTCCTGACTGCTTGTAAAATTTTTATTTTCCTGGCCAGGCGCAGTGCCTCATCCCAGCACTTTGGGAGGCTGAGGTGGGTGGATCATGAGGTCAGGAGTTCGAGACCAGCCTGGCCAAGATGGTGAAACCCCGTCTCTACTAAAAATACAAAAAACATTAGCCAGGTGTGGTGGCGGGTGCCTGTAATCCTAGCTACTCAGGGGGCTGAGGCAGGAGAATCACTTGAACCCGGGAGACAGAGGTTGCAGTGAGCCGAGATCATGCCATTGCACTAGCCTGGGCGACAGAGCAAGACTCCGTTTCAAAAAAAAAATTATTTTCCTTTGTTTTCATTTTAGCAATCATGTAAATATATTTTGTCCAGCTAAGTTATAAGCACCATTATATTAGATCATTTTAGGCATAAGGTATAGTTTTAATGAACTATTTAATTAGCTTCCCCCATCCAATCTATTAGCAAATATTTTCCACTTAATTTTCTATAAATCTTTCAAGCACCCACTTACACCATCCTCATATACATCCTAGGGGCAGTCTATGTGGATATTTCGGAGACCTCTAATTCCTCCCTCCACTCCACAGCCAGAGTCATCTTTGTAAAAACAAATCTGCTTAAATTTAAGCTTAAATAAACTACTACTGTGCGTATGGGAAGTACCAACTTCTTCAAATGGCTGACATAAGGCTCTCTGGGATTTCTGTCCCCCCATTCCACTCCATTCTCATTTCTATCAAATTTCTGCCTTGAATCCTGGCCACCCTGGACTTGTATGAGATCCTCAAACCTCTGAGACTATTTGTTTTCCTCAGGGCTTTGAATATGTTTGTATTACTCTCTAGAGCTTTCTTCCCACACTATCCCCTATTTAATTCTCTCTCAGGTTCCAGCAACGTTATGCTTTGAATGTATGTTTTCCTCCAAAATGTATATGTTGGAACTTAAACACCAAGGTGATTGTATTAAGAGGTGAGAGCTATCACAGGTGATTAGGCCATCACCCCACAGGTGAGGGTCCCATCACCATGAATGGGATTAGTGCCCTTATGAAAGGGCCTGAGGTTGAGTTCACCCTTATTCCCTTTTGTCCCTTCCATCATGTGAGGACGCAGTGTTCATCCCTTCCAGAGGACACAGCAACAGGGTACCACCTTGGAGCAGAAAACCAGTCCAGCCCTTACCAGATACTAAATTTGCTGGCACCTTGGTTTTAGACTTCCCAGCCTCCCAAACTTTAAGAAATAAATTTATATTATTCATAAATTACCCAGTCTGCGGTATTTTGTTGTAGTAGCAGGAACAGATAAGATGAGCATCAATTTCACTTCCTCAGAAAAGCCTTCCCTGAAATGCCCTGTATCCCACCAGAGTTGGTTAGAAAATCCTGACATATCTGCATAGCACTCAGTACGCTTCCCTTTCTTGAAGCCATCACTCTTCTTCTTACTTATTTAAATGTCCGTTACTTTCAATAAGGCAGGAATTATGTCTAAAATATCCACTGTCCCTAACACAGTGTTTCATGCCTAGAAATATTTGTTGAATTAATGAAATAATAATTACTTCTACTCTGCCACTTAGGATTTTAGAGCTGGAAAAAATATCCTAGCGTTCCAGTCTTTTTGTTTTGTGAATTAAAAGTTAGTTTGTCCAGAAAAAGTCATATAGTTCGTTGCAGTTACAATATGCTTTACACATAATGAATAAATGAGTAAAAGAATGATAGCAGAGGTAGATCTAAAATCTTACCCTGATTTTGAAATATTATCTGTGAGGATTCCATATAATTCCAAGGGCATTGATAAATTACACCAGCTCCAAGAAAATAATTACATCAAATAATAATTTGGGCTCTTGTAGCATTTATAAATTATATGTCAACTTTTCACAGACATATATTCCTTCTTAAGTTAATTCTCAGTACATTCAATCATATTATTTTTAATCTTTAAGCAGAATTTCCTGTCTTGTATAATAAGATCTGTATTTCCTCCATGTATTTTTCCATGCCATGGGAATTGTTTGCTCCTTTATTTACTATTTATCTAATCTCCCTCCTCATTAATGGAAAATGTTTGAGTTAATTTACTCAGCAGTGGTGGTAGATTTACACATACACACCTCCTTTTCTTAGTCCCATCCCAACTGGCACACAACCTCAAGATAAATAAAAGCTGAATGACAACTGTGAGATCACACCCAGAGCCTTGATTTTATTTGCATTGTATTTGGATCAATAGAACTAACAAGACCACTCTGGAAAGTTTTTTCTTCCCAGTAAAACAACTAGTTAAAAATTATTTAAAACAAACAATAATTTAAAGTCTCCATAAGTTGTCCTAAGAGCATACAGCAAATGGAAAAACATTTACTCAAGAAAATCTACTACAGGGCTAGGCATGAGATGTACACACTTGTAATCCCAGCAGTTTGGGAGGCCAAGGTAGGAGGATTGCTTGAGCTCAGAAGTTTGAGACCAGCCTAGGCAATGTAGTGAAACCTCATTTCCATACACACAATACTTTTTTTTTAAATTAGCAATGCATAGGGGCACATCTGTGTAATCCCAGCTACTCAGGAGGCTAAGGTGAGAGGATCACTTGAGCCCAGGAGTTCGAAGCTGCAGTGAGCTGTGGTCACACCATTGCACTCCAGCCTGAGCAACAGAGCAAGATGAAAGAAGGAAGGAAGGAAGGAAGGAAGGAAGGAAGGAAGGAAGGAAGGAAGGAAGGAAGGAAGGAAGGAAGGAAGGAAGGAAAAAGAAAAAGAAAGAAAGAAAGAAAGAAAGAAAGAAAGAAAGAAAGAAAGAAAGAAAGAGAAAGAAAGAAAGAAAGGGAAAGAAAGAAAGAGATTTACTACATCTTGGTAAGAGCAGCACAAGATGGCGGTACTTGAACCACAACCTGCTCCCTCTTTCCCCTCTGTCAGCACACTTTGGCATAAGCTCCATTCCATGTGATATGGCCAAGATTACAGAATTCTCTATATCCCAGCCCCCAGTCAAGGGCTACGGTGTCTCTTCAGGAGGGGCAGGCCCCCACACTTCTCATCTCTTTCTATCCCACCTTCATGTTGCAGAAGCTACATTCTAAATAAGTGTAGCAAAGAGACTGGAGATTCTATTTTTCCACCAGCCACCACTCATAGGATGGAGGCTCTACCCTAGATGCAGCAGAGTGAGAATACTGGAATCATGACAGCCCT